>NT_187562.1:0-370523 GCF_000001405.40 Homo sapiens
GATCCCACAAATAGGTGAAAACATGTGATGTTTGTCTTTATATGCCTGACTTATTTCATGTAACGTAATGATCTCCAGTTCCATCCGTGTTGATGCGAATGTCCGGATCTCAACTTACTTTTTTTAAAAAGGAGGGCTATGGAAAATAGAATTACAGCCTGGGACCTGCCTAGCATACATACTGGAATAGAAACATCTGTTTATCCTGAGGGAAGAATAGGAGACATGAGCTGGGGAAGGGGAATCTGTCTAGGGGTGCAGAGGGGCTTGAGTAGGTGTCACAGAATAATTTGGGGGGTTTGCCTGGGCAGACGGCCTGCATGCTTTCAACAGGTTGTGTGTGAGTAGAGCTGCTACAAATCTCATTGGCAGTGGCTCAAATCTCAGTGAACTGTCTCTCTGGTTTTCAGGTTCTACGAGGACAACAGCACTTGGGATGTGCACCAACAGTTCTTATGGGGGCCCGGCCTCCTCATCACTCCAGTTCTGGATGAAGTAAGTGTTCCCACAGAGATACACTAGAGATCTCTGCATCTGTATCTGCTGCCCTGCAAACTCCTCTCTGCTTCTTATTCCAAACTCACTTCTGACATCTGTGACTGAGTCAGCCTTGAAGAGAGTGTGCTAGGTTTTGAGAAGCTAGACATCTGGTAACTACACATTTTTCTTTCTAGAATTTCTTTTTTCTCTTGATCAAGTTCCCAACCAGTTTAGAAGCATCTACTGGAAACTCTAGAGTTACAAGTTATGTTAGGTTGTTCTTGCATTGCTATACAGAAATTCCTGACACTGAGTGATTTACAAAGAAAAGAGATTTCATTGGCTCACAGTTCTGAAAGCTTTACAAGAAGCATGATGCTGGTATCTGTGCAGCTTCTAGGGAGGCCTCAGGAAGCTTACAGTCATGGAGGAAGGTGAAGAGGAGCAGCGATGTCATATAGCAAAAGCAGGAACAAGACGGGGTGGGGGGAGTTGCCACACACTTTTTTTTTTTTTTTTTTTTGAGATGGAGTCTCACTCTGTCACCCAGGCTGGAGTGCAGTGGCACAATCCCAGCTCACTGCAACCTCCAACTCCTGGGTTCACATGATTCTCCTGCCTCAGCCTCCTGAGTAGCTGGGGTTACAGGCACCTGCCACCAAGCTCGGCTAATTTTGTATTTTTTGTAGAGACGGGGTTTCATGTTAGCCAGGCTGGTCTCAAACTGCTGACCTCAGATGATCCACCTGCCTCAGCCTCCAAAGTGCTGAGATTACAGGTGTGAGTCACCGCGCTTGGCCGCCACACACTTTTAAACAACCAAATCTTACAAGAATTCACTCACTATCACCAGGACAGAACCAAGGGAATGGTGTAAACCATTCATGAGAAATCTGCCCTCATCATCCAGTCAGCTCCCTCCAGGCCCCACCTCCAACACTGGGGATTACATTTCAACATGAGATTTGGGCAGACAAACATCCAAACTATATCAAGAGTGGTCCTATTTGTTGTTGGATTCTCATAGCAGATCCTGACTTGCTCCATGACGTAGAAACAGGATGGAGCAGTGACCCAACACTCACTCTAAAGTCAGGCTGATCGGGATGTGATTGTTGTCTCTGCCACTTTGAGCCTGTGTGATCAGGGGTGACTATTGTGCTGGCTTCTCATCTGCAGAGGGGTAATACTACTACTACTAAAAATAATGGTACCCACCATTTGGGAATGTTGGGAAAATTAAATGAGGTAATCATGTAAAGCTGGAATGTTTGTCACCACACATGTTTTATTATTATTTTATGATTATTATTATTCCTAATGTGGCTACGTTTGGGATTTCTCTCTGGGTTGCCAAGTTACAGTTTCTATTATTTGTATTAGAGGAGAAGCAGAAGAAAGGCATAATAGCAGGGCATTCCTGCCCTCTCTGTGTATGATTAAGAAATTCCCTAGAGAATAAAAAGAAATCCATTTTATTTCCCTCAGGGGACACTACATTTTTTTAATTTCAGGGTGCAGAGAAAGTGATGGCATATGTGCCTGATGCTGTCTGGTATGACTACGAGACTGTAAGTAGCTTTGACTTTTCTTCTACTCCTTAAGACTGTAGCTGCAGCTGCATAGACAAGCTACCTTTCTGGAGAGAGAAACATCCATCTACATGCTGAGGAGTAGTTTTTAGTGTTTTCTGTAATTTCATAGCAGAACCTGGGTAAAGTTAACCTAAACCGTTAACATCAGTCATGATGAAATGTGAAAAAATACCTTCATATACTTTATTTAGCAATAAGATAGGCTGACATAGTATCTCATAAATTAATATTGGAGGAACTGATGGACAATGTGAGCTTGGTCAGGAATCAGACTATCTGTTTAAAACTATCAGTTTATATAATATATCAAATAGCCTCAGCATGGCATAAATTTTTTCACAAACCCCCAACTGGTAGCAGAACATGTTATTCTTGATTTTTTTCCTTCTGTTGTTTGATTGCCTGGCTAGACCATAATTCAGCTAATTGGAAAAGGGAGAGAGCTGTGTATCACCAGGCATGTAGATAATCAGTGAAGGGCAATATGCTGTCATGCCAATGTGTTTGATTTATCTGCATGCATCAGGGGAGCCAAGTGAGATGGAGGAAGCAAAAAGTCGAGATGGAACTTCCTGGAGACAAAATTGGACTTCACCTTCGAGGAGGCTACATCTTCCCCACACAGCAGCCAAATACAACCACTCTGGCCAGGTATAGCATGGCTGGAGTGTCCTTTCAGAATTCATGTCCTTGCTTAAACCCTTTGAATTTCTTTTCGAAACACACTAACAGCCAGGTGGTCAGCCTCTTTGGTTTGGCCACGACTGTTGCAGTTTTAGCACCAAAAGTCTCTTCCCTTGGGAGGCTTTTCAATTCTGGGCAAACCAGGTCAGTTGATCCCTCTGTCTGCCTTGGCCACACTGCATCCATGTTTCTTTACCCTTGACTCACTTGTTCTCATTTCTAGAGAACCTTGACTCTCCTCCCTCCTAGAATTTCAACTTCCTATTTCTTTTCTCCCACTAAGATTTCTTTCTTGTGATTCAAAAATTACCTTATGCAAACCTCAAATCTCCAAGTCACTGAATTTTCCTTTATATGTAATTGATTCCAAAAAAATAGATTCCATCTGTACTAAAGAGGTGCACATTTATATCTTCATGGCTTTGAGAGTATTAGCCTACTTGTCTTTAATAGACCAGGAGCTCTTTGGAAGCCAGAAACCTGTCTTTTCTTTTGAACCTCTCTTACTGCTTTAATTTTCCAAGTTGTAGACTTTTTATGATACTAATGGAAAATATCCCTGAATCCAATGCCAGTTGGCTTCCTTTTTCTAACTGTTCACCTTCAAGCTGTTCTGCACACTGATACCAAATTAATTTTTCCAAAATGAAAATCTCAACTGGTTGCTCCCAGGCTTGAAGTCCAAAGTCTTTCATTAATAGGGTATTCAAAACCAATCACAACCTGGTTTCACGTTACTTTAACAACTCTATCTCCTGCCACACCTTCATGTACATACAGACCAGTCATGCCAAAAGCTTTCTCTTTCCCAGACATACGTATGTATTTTACAACATTTGGGCTTTTGCACTTATCCTTTCCAACATTCTTTGCCTGGTGTATTCTTAATGATCCAAATGAAACTTTACATTTCAGCAGCAAGAAATCTTTCCTTAATCTTCCAGCAGAGGAAGCACTGCCACTTTCAAGTTTCTGGTCATTTTATATATATATTATATATATACGTATAATATATAATATATATATTATATATATACGTATAATATATAATATATATATTATATATATACATATATATAATATATATATATTATATATATATAATATAATATATATATATTATATATATAATATAATATATATATATTATATTATATACATATAATATATAATATATATACATATAATATATAACATACAATATATAACATATAATATATACATATAATATATAATATATAATATATATACATATAATATATAACATATAATATATATACATATAATATATAATATATAACATATTATATATACATATAATATATAACATATTATATATACATATAATATATAACATATATTATATATACATATAATATATAACATATATTATATATACATATAATATATAACATATATTATATATACATATAATATATAACATATATTATATATACATATAATATATAACATATATTATATATACATATAATATATAACATATATTATATATACATATAATATATAACATATATTATATATACATATAATATATAACATATAATATATAATATAACATATAATATATAATATATAATATATATTATATACATATATATAATATATAATATATATTATATATACATATTATATATATAATATATATTATATATACATATTATATATAATATATAATATATATTATATATACATATTATATATAATATATAATATATATTATATATACATATTATATATAATATATAATATATATTATATATACATATTATATATAATATATAATATATATTATGTATAATATTATATATAATATATTACATATATTATATATACATATAATATCTGAATATAATATATATATTATATATACATATATCTAAATATAATATATATACATATAATATCTAAATATAATATCTAAATATAATATCTATATTATATATACATATAATATCTAAATATAATATCTACATTATATATACATATAATATCTAAATATAATATCTATATTATATATACATATAATATCTAAATATAATATATATATTATATATACATATAATATCTAAATATAATATATATATTATATATACATATAATATCTAAATATAATATATATAAAATATAAACATAATATCTAAATATAATATCTATATTATATATACATATAATATCTAAATATAATATATATATTATATATACATATAATATCTAAATATAATATATATATTATATATACATATAATATCTAAATATAATATCTATATTATATATACATATAATATCTAAATATAATATATATATTATATATACATATAATATCTAAATATAATATATATATTATATATACATATAATATCTAAATATAATATATATATTATATATACATATAATATCTAAATATAATATATATATTATATATACATATAATATCTAAATATAATATCTATATTATATATACATATAATATCTAAATATAATATCTATATTATATATACATATAATATCTAAATATAATATCTATATTATATATACATATAATATCTAAATATAATATATATATTATATATACATATAATATCTAAATATAATATATATATTATATATACATATAATATCTAAATATAATATGAATTATATAGATATATCTAAATATATATATTATATATACATATGATATCTAAATATATAATATATACATATAATATCTAATATATAATACATATATTATATATACATATACTATCTAATATATAATACATATATTATATATACATATACTATCTAATATATAATACATATATTATATATCATGTAATATGTAATATATAATATATACATTATATACACATACGACATATAATATATACATTATATACACATACGACATATAATATATACATTATATACACATACGACGTATAATATATACATTATATACACATACGACGTATAATATATACATTATATACACATACGACGTATAATATATACATTATATACACATACGACGTATAATATATACATTATATACACATACGACGTTTAATATATACATTATATACACATACGACGTATAATATATACATTATATACACATACGACGTATAATATATACATTATATACACATACGACGTATAATATATACATTATATACACATACGACGTATAATACATTATATACACATACGACGTATAATATATACATTATATACACATACGACGTATAATATGTACATTATATACACATACGACGTATAATATATACATTATATACACATACGACATATAATATATAATATATACATTATATACACATACGACATATAATATATACATTATATACACATACGACATATAATATATACATTATATACACATACGACATATAATATATACTATATATAATATACACATACGATATATAATATATAATATATATATAATATACACATACGATATATGATATATAATGAATATTATATACACATACGATATATGATATATAATGAATATTATATACACATACGATATATATAATGAATATTATATACACATACGATATATGATATATAATGTATATTATATACACTTACGATATATGATATATAATGTATATTATACACTTACGATATATGATATATAATGTATATTATATACACGTGTAATATATGATATATAATGTATATTATATACACGTGTAATATATGATATATAATGTATATTATATACACGTGTAATATATGATATATAATGTATATTATATACACGTGTAATATATGATGTATAATGAATATTATATACACGTGTAATATATGATGTATAATGAATATTATATACACGTGTAATATATGATATATAATGTATATTATATACACGTGTAATATATGATATATAATGTATATTATATACACGTGTAATATATGATATATAATGTATATTACATACACGTGTAATATATGATATATAATGTATATTACATACACGTGTAATATATGATATATAATGTATATTATATACACGTGTAATATATGATATATAATGTATATTATATACACGTGTAATATATGATATATAATGTATATTATATACACGTGTAATATATGATATATAATATGTATATTGTATACACGTGTAATATATGATATATAATATGTATATTATATATACGTGTAATATATGATATATAATATGTATATTATATATACGTGCAATATATGATATATAATATGTATATTATATATCATATATGTGATATATAATATATATATTATATAACATATATGATATATAATATATATTATATAACATATATGTATATAATATATATTATATATCATATAATATATGATATATAATATATATTATATATACCTATAATATATGATATATAATATATATTATATGTACCTATAATATATGATATATAATATATATTATATGTCCCTATAATACATGATATATAATATATATTATATATCCCTATAATACATGATATATTATATATATTATATATACCTATAATACATGATATATTATATATACCTATAATACATGATATATTATATATATTATATATACATACAATATATGATATTATATATTACATATACATATAATATATGATATAATATATATTATATATACATACAATATATGAATATATAATATATATTATATATACATACAATATATGAATATATAATATATATTATATACATACAATATATGAATATATAATATATATTATATACATACAATATATGAATATATAATATATATTATATACATACAATATATGAATATATAATATATAATATATACATACAATGTATGAATATATAATATATATCATATATACATACAATGTATGAATATATAATATACATATCGTATATACATACAATGTATGAATATATGATATATATTATATATACATACAATATGTAATATATATATTATATATACATACAATATGTAATATATATATTATGTATACATACAATATGTAATATATATATTATGTATACATACAATATGTAATATATATTATGTATACATACAATATGTAATATATATTATGTATACATACAATATGTAATATATATTATGTATACATACAATATGTAATATATATTATATATACATACAATATGTAATATAATATATAATATAGAAATTTATATGTGTAATTATATATTTATTTTTATATTTATATATTTATTATATATTTATATATTATATATATATTTATATTATATTTTTGTTTTGTTTTGTTTTTTGCTCCTTAGATGATTTTGTCTTTCTTCTTTAATACTGTTAGTATTTCAAGAACAGTTGTATACTCTGTGCTTGAAAATTTTATTATCTGAAATGTTTAGGGGAGTCTAAGTCTATTGTTAGTTAACTTTGTTGACTTTCTTTCATGTTGACTTATTACCTTGTGTGCTTGGTGATCTTATTTTTTTTAAGCTGTGATAATCTTATAACTGTGGGTCTCATTCCTCCAGAGATGATTTGCCTTCTCCTCTGTGTGCAAGCCAAGAATTGCTTCCAACTGGCATTATGTTAGCTTCCTTCAAGGATCTCAGCTTCATGTGGGAATCAGAGGTTCACATTCTCTACCTTGGATCACTAGGCTTAGTAGCCCAATTTTAACCTTGCTATGGGAATTTGCCACACGGAGATTCTAGGTTTTGCTTACTAAGCCCCCTTTTGGTTTTAGCTCAGTGTTTTGTTATCCTGTTATTGTTTTCATCTCTTGGATATATTTCTTACTTTCTTGCAAATCCAACAATATTTTAACAGGAATATGTGTTGTAATTTAACTAGGATCAGGGAATATTTTACTGGGTAAGTCTCCAGAAGAATATCCGGTCCACCATATTTCTGGAACTGTGGTTCTGGACTCCTAGAATATCCTAACTTTTGTGTTGTTTTCATTGTTCGCCTTCATTTTTTAATGAATGTGCCTATTTTTTCCTATAATATTTAAGGTCGTTCAGATCAGGGGTTGTGATTTATTTATTTTTGTATCTCATTGACTTCTTAGAAACGACTGCTACTCAGTACATGAATATTTAATGAAAGCAGATGTTTTTGCTGATAATAAAAACTAACTTTCTTGCATAGTGAAAGGCTGAACTGTGAAAGAATACAATGGAGAATATGAGACCAGTGACAGAGGAGAAACAAGAAGAGCAGGAAACTGGGAGGTTGCTTAGAGCAGTGATAGAATGAGGAGAGACTCCAAATAAAAATTTCTCTCTTCTCCCCCTCTTCCTCTCTGTCCATCTACTTTACCATGTATTTGAGTAATGTTTTGTGTTTCTTATTCTAAATTATAGAGTAGATTAGAATGATTTGTTTTTCTTTCAAAACAAACTAATAACCAATAATCAGATAAGTTACTACTAAATAGATGGACCTTATTATATGTTGTTGCTTTCTGAGTATAAATGGTCCTTAGGCAGGCGAAAATGTGTCTTCCTCACAGCACTGGACACTTCTACTGAGGGCATCATTGCTAAAGTGATATAACTGAACCAGTTATTGCCCAAGATTTATTTCTCTTCTCATACTCTGTATTCTAAGTAGTAGTTGCAGAAGCAGCTTTTATTTGAGTTATTGCAGTGCCTCTGGTGCTTAAGTTCTTGCCTCTAACATAGATGTTATTGTTAATGTTTGGGGTATTTCTATCTCTTGTGACACTGTTGATATTAAAGATAGGGGCGCCTGTCAATTTTGTGTTTGTGCCTGAAGAAAAGCAGAACCATCTGCTGCTAGTAACTTTTCCAATTTGAAATTTGATGGAAATATTCTCAGCTCGGCTGGCAAAATTCTCTGACTCCTGTCTTTGTGTCTTGAATCTTGTTCCCCACAGTCGAAAGAACCCTCTTGGTCTTATCATTGCCCTAGATGAGAACAAAGAAGCAAAAGGAGAACTTTTCTGGGATAATGGGGAAACGAAGGGTGAGCACTTATACGATAATGTTGCTGTTTCCCAACCTGCACCTGTGACTTATGGTCCTTCACTCCTGCTGGTCATTCAGCTGTGGGAGAAATCTCAGTAGGCACAGTAGCAAGAGTCACTTAAGTATTTTGTTTCTGGTTGCACCATTCAGAGGTAGTGGTAGATGACCTACAAAGGAAAGAAAAATACATTTCTATCTCTGGCAATTCTCCTATTGGACAGTGATATCTATAATAGGCTTTTTATTTATTTATTTATTTATTTATTTATTTATTTATTTATTTATTTATTTATTGAGGTGGAGTTTTGCTCTTGTTGCCCAGGCTGGAGTGCAGTGGCGCGATCTCGGCTCACTGCAACCTCTGCCTCCCAGGCTCAAGTGATTCTTCTGTCTCAGCCTCCCGCGTAGGACTACAGGTGCCTACCACCATGCCTGGCTAATTTTTTGTATGTTTAGTAGAGATGAGGTTTCACCGTGTTAGCCAGGATGATCTCGATCTCCTAAATTCGTAATCTGCCCGGCTCGGCCCCCCAAAGTGCTGGGATTACAGGCATGAGCCACCATGCTTGGCCAATAGGCTCTCTTTTTATTGTCAATGGGTGCTTAGAAGAGATGGTTTCAAGACTGTTCCCGTAACCCAATGTTAATGTCTTCCTCCTGAAATTCTTATGAGCAAATGTTGATGATATAGAAATCATGCCCCTGCCAGTGAGGCAGTGAGAATATACTTTTTAGCATATTTGTGGATCCAGTATACTAACAATTCCTGTGCTTCAAGTTTAGGAAATAGATTCCCTTGAGGCATATGCCTTGGAAGCCCTTGGAAGGGAAACTTTGCAATGTTCCAGTAGGAAAGAGAAGGAAAAACAATGGCTTGGCCTTGGAGACTCTTGTCCATCTAATCCAATGTGTAGATTTAAATATTTATTTTTTAATTGCAAAATATTTAATTGGCAAATAAAGATGAAATATATTCAAAGTGGACAATGTGAGGATTTAATATATATATAGGCATAGTATAATGATTACCACAGCTATTTTAAGGAACAGATCCATCACCACCCATACTGTAGACTGGATCCCCAGAACCTATTCATCTAATAACTAAAAATTTGTACCCTTGACCATCATCTCCCCAGTTTCCACACCTGCAGGCTCTAAGAACAACAGTTATACTGTCTGCTTCTAGGAGCTCAACTTTTTTAGGTTTCACATGTAAGTGAGACCATGCAGTACTTGACTTTCTGTCTCTGGCTTATTTCACTTAGTATAACGTCCTCTAGATTCATCCATGCTGTTGCAAATGGCAGAATTTTCTTCTTTTTATGTCTGAATAATATTCTATTGTATATATATACCACAATTTCTTTATTCATTCATCCATTGATGGACACTTAGGTTATTTTCATATCTTTGCTACTGTGCAGAAGTAAAATTAAAAACTTAAATGTAAGGGTTGAAATTGTAAAGCTCCTAGAAGAACACAGGAAACAACCTCCTTGACATTAGTCTTGGCAATGACTTTTTGGATATGATACCAAAAGCAAAGGCAAAATAGCAAATAATAAACAAGCATGACTACATCAAACTAAAAGGCTTCTGCACAGGAAAATAAATAATCAACAAAGTGAAAAGGCAAACTACAGAATGGATAAAAATGTTTGCAAACCATGTATCTCAGAAGAGATTAATATAAAAAAATAAGGAACTCATGCAACTCAGTAGCAAAAGATCAAATGACCCAATTAAAAAGTGGGTGAAGGACCTGAACAGATGTTTTTCCAAGGAAGACATACAAGTGGCTAACTGGCATGTGAAAAGATGCTCAACATCAGTAAGTGACACAGGTATGCAAATAAAAAATTACAGTGAGCTACCACCTCACACCTGTTAGCATGGAAATAATAAAAAAGATAAGAGATAAGTGCTGGCGAGGATGTGGAGAAAATGGAATTTTTGTAGACTGTTGGTGAGAATGTAAATTGTTACAACCGTTATGGAAAATAGTATGCATGTTCCTCAAAAAATTAACAGAACTTCCATACAATCCCATGAAATCCCACTTCTGGGTGTATATCCAGAGGACATGAAACCAGTATCTTTAAGAGATACAGTCACTCCCACGTTCATTACAGCATTATGTGCAACAACCAAGATATAGAAACAATCTAATTATACATTGATGAATGAATGAATAAAGAAATGTGATACACATATACAATTGAAAATTATTCATCCATAAGGAAAAGGAAAACTGCTATGTGTGACCTCAAGGCATAGCTGAAAGGAGTGGTAGGGTGAAATCTGTTCTTCTGAGGTGGGCAGGCCAGAATCTGACTTGTCTTTCTCTCACTTTCAGATACTGTGGCCAATAAAGTGTATCTTTTATGTGAGTTTTCTGTCACTCAAGTGAGTAGCATATTTTTATGAATCTTAGGTGTGGGCTTTGGACTGACCATTAGCACATCTGTGCTTGTGTATATTGTATATGTGTGATTATATTTGTAACTTTATATGCATTATTGGCTATAGGTGAGTACATTTCTATTTATGATTTCATCGATGTTTTCAAAAGGAGGCATTAATATAGCAGCTAGTGTTTCTGAACACAGTTTTTAAATGCCTGTGTGTTTTTATGATCGTTTTAAATTAGAGGATTATCCAAATAATGTTGTACTTCTTCAGCACACACTAGTAGAGAAAGCAGAGAGGCATTTATGGCAGTGGGGGGTATCCGGTCTGGAATGGAATATTTGAGTGACTTGAGAATCTGTGTATACTCATATACCTTTATGCATACTTGGACTTAATTGTTTTGCAGAACCGCTTGGAGGTGAATATTTCACAATCAACCTACAAGGACCCCAATAATTTAGCATTTAATGAGATTAAAATTCTTGGGACGGAGGAACCTAGCAATGTTACAGTGAAACACAATGGTGTCCCAAGTCAGACTTCTCCTACAGTCACTTATGATTCTAACCTGAAGGTAAAAACCCATTTTGTTGAGATGGTACATTGAGAATTCTCCATAGCATCGTGATGTTCCTTCTTGCCAAGTTTGCATGGGTCCCTGAAGGACCAGGGCACCTTTGAGGCCTGTTTTGGGGAAGTGAGAGGGCTGGGGAAAAAAATGAGGTGGCCAGAGCTAGAATGAGTTGGGTATTTTTCTTCTTATTCCCTTCTCTGCCTATCAGTGTTCCCGTCTTTCTAGCTGGTTTCACTTGCTTTTCCCAAAAATAGAATAATTATGATGAGACCCAGGAACAGCAAAGTTGGAAAGTGGGGAATAGCCTGACATTATTAGACTGTGAATTTTGTATGACTAGCACAAATAAGAATTGGTATTTGAAAAAGGCCAGTTTGGATAGGAAACTTGTGGTCAGGTTTTGGAGGTCTTAGTTACCAACTTGATTTAATTCTCAAGCAGTCTCATATTGATCCTTGAATGAAGGCTGTGCTACTGTGTGTGAGCATTGTTGGGAGTGGGAGTGGGGGCTGGGGACTAGTAGAACAGGGAAGTACAAGATGGTTTAGATTGGGAGGAGACTAGGAGAAGGATGATAATCTTTAGAATGTGATTTTTGTACTCCAGACAAGTGAGAACTTTAACTTGGGAAGTGTTGTTTAAAGAAGTGTCAAGATAAGAAAACTATATAGAAAAATATTAAATATTTGAACTAATGGTATTCAAGGAAGGTTTCAGAATTGGAGTCTTTGGGCTTAGAGAAATGAACATGCTGGGATGTTAGAAATAGAAAGAAATATAATGTTTTTTTCAACTTTTCAAATTTGCCGTTGCTAAAATTGAAACCCAAAGAAATGAAACAGAATACCTGACTTACCCTGATGTGATTATTATGCCCTGTATGCCTGAATCAACATATTTCATATAACCCATAAATATGCATACCTACTATATACCCATTAAAATTAAAAATTAAAAAAAGAAATCATTTGTCCAACATTCTACAGAAATGTGGGCATGATAACCAGGTCATATGATTCTTATTGCTGTGCTCTTTCTACCACTCCACGCCAATGGGTGATACTGGTTTGGGCATTGGAGAGCAAGAGGATCAACTCACTTTAGGATGACATCATGTGTCATCTCACAGCGAGCTAAGAGGAGTCAGGGTAGAAAAGAATAAGGGGTGATCACAACAGGTTTTATTTGACCTAACTGTTTTCATTATGCTAAGTACAAGATTGTGCTAGAGGGGAGACATTTGACCTGTTGCTGCTAAATAGATTCTCCCAATGTGCAGTTCTCTTCTTATAAGCTAAAGTCATATGTTGCTTGGATGTTTGAAAGTCTGGTCTAATTTCTATTTTTTTTTTATCGAAAAAAAAACCTCAGGTCTTGCAAAGCCTGTCTCCTAAAGATGAATTTCCTTATGATTTCCACATTCCTACAGGTTGCCATTATCACAGATATTGATCTTCTCCTGGGAGAAGCATACACAGTGGAATGGAGCATAAAGATAAGGGATGAAGAAAAAATAGACTGTTACCCTGATGAGAATGGTGCTTCTGCCGAAAACTGCACTGCCCGTGGCTGTATCTGGGAGGTAACCATGCTGATGGGGTTTGTGTGCATGAGAATCTCCACACCTAATCTGTAGTTTCTTAAGCATAGCAGTGGTACTTACATAACTACTTAAAATCCATAGAAAGAACTTCCTAAGGGACAGGATCTAGATGTGACAAGTAGGTGGGGACATGTGCGAAACTTCTTAAGATGAATATTTTGCTTGGAGACAAGGAATTGAAATTTATGTTATTGCCAAGTGATAAGTGATGGGCTAGTTTTATCGTCATATAAAATGACTTTACTAACCCTGTTTAGGTTAGAGAACTTTAAGACCACATGCTGTGCTGATCTATGACTTTGGCCTTACTTTTCAGGCATCCAATTCTTCTGGAGTCCCTTTTTGCTATTTTGTCAACGACCTATACTCTGTCAGTGATGTTCAGTATAATTCCCATGGGGCCACAGCTGACATCTCCTTAAAGTCTTCCGTTTATGCCAATGCCTTCCCCTCCACACCCGTGAACCCCCTTCGCCTGGATGTCACTTACCATAAGAATGAAATGCTGCAGTTCAAGGTAAACACAGTACATGTATCAGGTAGTGATTAGACCCTTTTCAGTTCCATTACCTTTTATTGGTCTGGATCACAGAACCCTAAAATAAGTTAATCATGCTACAACAGACTATATCATTATCCAGAGAGCATTGAGAAATCATTGAGGGAACAATGAGACCTGCCCTAATTTTCATTTGGAAAAGATTACTGTGGCTACTGTTAGGAAAATGGTTGGGAGAGCAAGAGTAGGTACGGAGAGACAACTTGGGAGGCTACCAGTTAGGCAGGTCAGTGGAGGGATTAGGTTTGGACTAGACAGTGGAATGCAGGTGGAGAACAGTGGACCCGTCTGAGGTTGAGAAAGTTGGGTTACAGGATCTAGTGCTCAATTGCAAGCAGGTGACAATGGAGATGGAACATCAAGAATGATGACCGTGTTGGTATCTTGCATCTTAATATGGATGGTGCTGACATTAACTCAAATAGGAATACTGAAAAAGTTTGTGCTTGATCAATGTAAGATGATATGTTCAGTTTGGGATGCTGAATTTGAGATTTCTGTAAAATGGCCATCAATATGCAGTAATTTCATTTCTTTCCAGAATTTAATTGCATTTAAGGACTAGGGATGGACTAGCTGTGATGTCTATTTTTCTATTAAACTAAGCTTCTCAAGGACAGGAATGTGCCCTTTCCTGTTTGTGCTTCTGAAATCTACAGAGCCTGGCCGATAGTGCTGTAATGTTATTGACAGAGTAAGTGAAAGTGGTCAGGACATTGTCACATTGCCTGAAAGGTTCTTTACAATCTGACATCAACCCGAATTCTGAGTTCTTGTTCATCCTCTAATGCAGGGAAGAATCTCTTGTATGTTTGTACCCTCCTTGTAACACTAGCATGTTTTAGGCACCTAATGGGTTTGAAGTGAATGAACTTCCCTGGAGTTCTAGCCTTAACCATTGCCTACTCTACCTCTTGACCGTAGAGTAACTCTTTCCAAAATATGTGCCTCTTTCTGGCCCACTTTAATTCTCTCTGCCTTCGTGGTTGTTATTCTTCACCAGAATGACTTGATCTCCTTTCTTTGTTTGGTTAATGACTACCAAGCTTTTAATATTCTAGACTGTATTTCTCCCGTGAGACCGTCTCAGTCTCCCAGAAACAATGTTAGGCATTTCCTTCCCTAGAATCTCACAGCACTTCTACATAGCTCTCCCTTAGCACACATCACCCACGTGTTGTGAGCTGCTCTCTTTGACTTCTTATTCGCATGTGAATTTCGTAAAACCATAACACTGCCTTATTGAGCTCACGTCCCTAGTGTCTTGTGCAGTGTCAGGCAGGGGATGTAGTAGGTACTCATGAATCAGTTTAGATACCACTTTCAGCAAGGACATTCTGATTATTTTAATCAAATAGATTTCATTTTGGGGAGACAGGTTTTTTTTTGAACTCATAATGATTTTAAGTTATTTATATATACTCATATACCCACAGAAAATAACAAGTAACATATTCATAAATACCACACTGATTCCAGAATGATTTTCCAAGTCAGCAGCAATGTCCCATTGAGTTTATTAAGGTAATAGAGGCCTTAATAATGAGAAATCACAGAAAAATGTTAAATGTGACATTGTTATCTGATATATTAATTAAATCTCAGATATCATAAAGAAGATAGAAACATAGCATCTGAACTTTGTGTCCAAAAATCAAAAAGGTTCTGCTAAGGGTATAGGTTTCAAGAGTAGTATTGTTGCCTAAAATTGATTTCCTCTGGCCTAGATTTATGATCCCAACAAGAATCGGTATGAAGTTCCAGTCCCTCTGAACATACCCAGCATGCCATCCAGCACCCCTGAGGGTCAACTCTATGATGTGCTCATTAAGAAGAATCCATTTGGGATTGAAATTCGCCGGAAGAGTACAGGCACTATAATGTGAGTGGCTTCTAGTGTGACTCAGAGTTGATGGCTACCTGCGCCTTCGCTGCCAGGTCCATTGTCCTTGGATGTATCCTGGTTCAAAACATCACATTGTCCACTTCCAGATCCATGGATGAGTTGTTTCCTTCAGACCTATTCTTACAGGAAATCTTTAGCATTCTGGAAATAAATACTGAAGGAGTTGAATGTGCCTGAGGATTCATCCAACAAATGTTTATGGGGTGCCTTCTCTAGATTAGGTGCTGCTCCTTATACACAGCTGAGGTTTCTCTTCTCATGACAACAAATAATAAGTAAATATCACTTTGAGTGCTATGTAGAAAATGGACTGAGGGGTGCAAGGATGGAAGGCAGTGCTGGTGTGGAGTGGTCCCAGCTGTGATGATGAGGGGTGCTTGGATTTGTATTGTGGAGGACCACTGAAAGGAGGCAGTGACAGAGGGAAACGGAAGAATGATGAATAACTCCTGGGCTTTTAGCGAGGATATCTGTGATATTTTAATCAAATTGAGTTTCAGTTTTGTTTGGGATATGAACAGCTTCTTGGTAGGAATCAAGTGTTCTGTTGTCCTTGAAAAGTCACCTGCTGGAAACAGAGATAAAAGCTCATTTTCTGTTTCAAATCTGCGTTTTTGTGTTTCAGTTGGGACTCTCAGCTCCTTGGCTTTACCTTCAGTGACATGTTTATCCGCATCTCCACCCGCCTTCCCTCCAAGTACCTCTATGGCTTTGGGGAAACTGAGCACAGGTCCTATAGGAGAGACTTGGAGTGGCACACTTGGGGGATGTTCTCCCGAGACCAGCCCCCAGGGGTAAGGACAGAGCATTTGGGATCTGTGTCTCTGCTTCTCTCCACCCACACTGCTCAGGCTTTGGGCTTCATCTTCCCAAACTCCACTTGGTCATCACATTCTGCTTTTAGGCAAGTGGGCCAATTCTCAGGCTCCTTTGTTTCATGTGTTTAGTTTATGTGTCTAGTTTCATGGAGAAAACTAGAGCCATGTTAGCAAGCACATTTTTGTTGAGTTTCTTTCTCAGGCATAATGTCTTTTAAACTCCTACTGCTTCTTCCCATGACTCCCCAGTACAAGAAGAATTCCTATGGTGTCCACCCCTACTACATGGGGCTGGAGGAGGACGGCAGTGCCCATGGAGTGCTCCTGCTGAACAGCAATGCCATGGGTAAGGCCATCAGCACCTCCCTTATTTTGGGGGGATACCAATCATGCCTGAGTCAATTTACAATGTGTTTAGCCTAACTGTTCCTTGAAGGCAAAATCTTCATTTTACGGGCACTGCTGTTTATTTTTTCTTTGTGTTTAGCCTTTCTGTTTATTTCAATCTAATATCATGTAATAAGAAGATTTAACCCAACTCTCATTTTGGTAAAAATCACATAAGAAGGGATAGTAACACCACATGGGTCCCAAATATCCTGGAGGGCAGCTCGTGAGAGCCAGTTATATAATTTGAATTAGGGTAAAACTATGGGTCAGAGAAGTTAGTCTGGGGGTATTGAGGGTGTATGGTATGTTGGAAAATTACCTATCGGGTACTCTGCTCACTGTCCGGGTGAGGGATCCATACCCTAAACCTCAGCATCATGCAATATTCCCATGTAAGGAACCTGAACAGGTATCTCTTTATCTAACATAAAACTTGAAATGTAAAAAATAATAATTTTATAAGAGTAGAATGATAAAATATAGTAAAGTACCCTAAAGAGAATCAAACCCAGGAATGGGACCTGTAGACTTCCATTGATCTTCTTCAGTTCTGTGAGTATGATAGAAAATGCCTGCTGTTACTACTCTATGATAGGGAGGGTGCAGGAAGATGGAGAATGTGTGGATTTCAGGGGTGATTCGTGACATGGAAGGTGTCCGTGAGGCTTGGCATTTTTCTTTATTTTCAGATGTGACGTTCCAGCCCCTGCCTGCCTTGACATACCGCACCACAGGGGGAGTTCTGGACTTTTATGTGTTCTTGGGGCCGACTCCAGAGCTTGTCACCCAGCAGTACACTGAGGTAGGGGGAAATCCAATTGTTTATCAAGTACTTACACAGCACATTCTGGGTGCCAGAGTCCACATTGATTAGTATAACTCTCAGTTGACAACTGGAAATATTGGTCTTTCTTGGAGAGAGATTATAGAATGAGAAAAAATAAATACATTCTAATTATCATTAAATTTATAGCCTCTGTAAGCATTGCAGAATAGCAGAAGTTATAGTGGTACTAGTGGTGGTGCTGGTAGTGATAGTAGTGTGATGTTGGTGTTATTTGTGGTTATATGGTGATGATGGCAGTAGGGGCTGACGGTGGTGATAGTGATGTGGGAATGGTGATAATGATGGTGGTGGTAGTAGTGGTGTTGGTGATGGTGATGATAGTGGTGGGGGTGGTGGTAATGGGTGTGTTGGTGATGATGACGGTGATAGTGGTGGTGATGGTGACAAGGGTGGGGCTGACGATGGTGTTTGTGGTAGTGATGGTGATGATGATGGTGGTGTTGGTTATGGTGGTGGTGGTAGTGGTGGTGACAGTGAGGTGGTGTGAGGAGTGTGATGTTGGTGATAGTGGTTGTGGTGATAGTGGTGATGGTGGGGATGGTGGTTGGGGTGGTGGTGGGGGTGGTAGTGGGGGGTGGTGGTGACGGTAGTGAAGGGTAATGATAATGGTAATGGTGGTGGGGGCACGATCGTGGTACTGGGGGTGATGGTGAAAATAGTGATGATGGTGGTGGTGATGATGGTGATGATGACCATGGTGGTCGTGGCAGCAACAACAGACACTTACATACTACCAAGTGCGCATCACTGATTTATCACTTGCTGCATGTTAGAGCATTTCACACATATTAACTCATTCATGCATCACAGAAACACTATCAGGCAGATGCTATTATTATCCGTTATTTACAGATGAAGAAACTGAAGCACTAAGAGATTACTTAATTTTTGCCCAAGGTCACACAGCTAGCAGGATTGGAGCCTGTATACTAAGCCAGGCATATGTCTCTGATTCTGGGTTTCTTAACCAGTTATCTACAGTGTCTCTAGGAATAGCGTAACATCAGATTTTCCATAATTTTTAAGAAGGAGCTCAAGTCTAGCAGAAAGCTTTCTCTAAGTATCCTAGTGGCTCTATATCCTGTCAGTTTTGGTCTGGATTTCAATTAGTTAGTTGTCTAGCTTGGGGCACAGAAAAATATTCTTATTACTTGATGTAAAACTTCAATGTGGTGCCTCTGTTCTGAAGACTAATATTTTCTGTCTATTTTCTAGTTGATTGGCCGGCCTGTGATGGTACCTTACTGGTCTTTGGGGTTCCAGCTGTGTCGCTATGGCTACCAGAATGACTCTGAGATCGCCAGCTTGTATGATGAGATGGTGGCTGCCCAGATCCCTTATGTACGTTCTCAGTCATGGCTCTGGAGTTTCAAAACTAACCCAGGTGCCTCTGTGTCTGGGTTCATTTGTCTAATGTTTGTTGGATTCCATAAAGACATAAAGTTCTTTTTCAGACAATATCACAGTTAGCCTCACCCCAGCACAGTAATATAGGTAAGGGCACTTGTTTCCGTCTTCCAGAGATGACAGCTCAAGACCCAGCATGACTCGCCAGAGTGGGAGATAGGCTGGCTCCAGGGCTCTTTCTGCTCTCCCGTGCTTCCTTCCATTTCTTTCACTTGGCTTCAAAACATGTAGTCAAAAAAGTCCTTGGTTTCATAAGAATAAAGTATATCCCACAGTTCTTTTACTTAATTCTTGAAAAGACTAACCACAAATCAATCAGACAATTGTATATGTGAATACAACCTCAGTTCCTGCATCAGCTCTGAGCTAATAACAGATGGATTAAACAGATCCTGGGATGGGTTTCCAGAGGACATACATATGGAAAGAAACCTTATCCTTCAGTGGAGGATGGGAGGGGACCCAGTCATCAGAGAATTGATCCCATGAACCATCACATATTTAATTTTATCCCACTTTTCTATTGTTTACAGTTGTTCCATTAGTGGAATGTAGTGTTTCCATTAGTGGATAGTGAAATGCAATATTACAGTCTCAGGAAGAATGTTGTGTATGATTACCCTCAAGATTCGGTATTCCAAAGCAACTATACATCTTTGCTTTGTTTTGTAGTAGATTTACTATTAGTCCTGGATAATTAACAGTATTTTTCCTAAACATGAACCACTGATACCAGGGGCAGCCTCTTGGGGTAGGTCATCACCATCACTCCTGATAGTGGCAGTTTACAAAGCACTTTCCAAACCAGTGTTTTCTCTTATCCTCAGAATAGCCATGCTAGAGACGCATTCTCATCCTAGCTTGTGCTGACTTCGATTTTTTTTCTATCTTATCACTGAACATTTTAAAAATTAAGTGTATTTCCCAGCACCTGTACCTAACAAATGGCAGAGCTGGGATTTGAATGCATCAACAAGAAGCTGTCTGGAATTCCACCATGGGTGGTGGAGGGTTGTTCTCCTATAAAGCTTGGGCGTGTACAGCAGCAGCCTCTCAGCTCCCCATGTCCTCCCGCAGGATGTGCAGTACTCAGACATCGACTACATGGAGCGGCAGCTGGACTTCACCCTCAGCCCCAAGTTTGCTGGGTTTCCAGCTCTGATCAATCGCATGAAGGCTGATGGGATGCGGGTCATCCTCATTCTGGTTAGTCCTGATGTGAATGTGTGCGGTCTGTTTGGGAGCAGGTATGGGCTTTGGTGGAGTCAGAGTTATACTTTATTTCCATGTTGCAAGTAGATAAATTGAAGTGCAGTAAGAAAGGTGTATTTCCCAGGACTCACAGAAACTCTACTGTGCAGGTAGAAGCCAGCGAGTTCACCCTTGAGGAGTTCTCCTTCATTCTGTTTCTCCTCATTCTCTGGCTTTGGTTTTCCCAACTGACTTATGCTTTGATTTCAGGATCCAGCCATTTCTGGCAATGAGACACAGCCTTATCCTGCCTTCACTCGGGGCGTGGAGGATGACGTCTTCATCAAATACCCAAATGATGGAGACATTGTCTGGGGAAAGGTATAATCCTAAGCGATGATCCACTAGTCCCCAGCCTGAGGGTGGGTCACTGTTGGTGGGTCACTGTTAGTGGGTCACACGCCTGTGTATGTTATTTTTGGCCTTTTCTATTTGGGCTCTGAGGTCAGAAGCTCTCCTTTTCTCAATCAATATTTGTTGATACAATTAACGACTTTTAAGGTAATGTAACGTGTTATGGAGTTCACTTTTCTTTTATGTCAATCCTATGTGATAGTCAAAGTATTATTGCTCCTAGGAGCACGGTTTGTATAACAATTTATTAGGAAATACTATGTAAGGGAAATTGTCTAGTGCATCGCTACTGAACGTATTTCTCTCCATAGGTCTGGCCTGATTTTCCTGATGTTGTTGTGAATGGGTCTCTAGACTGGGACAGCCAAGTGGAGGTAAAAGGGTGTTTGTAAATTTGGGTGGAGTCAGGGTTTGTAGGCAGGGGCAGCTGTTCCTGGGATTGTGGACATGCCTGTACCGTGGACATGGGCTTGGCAAGGGAGAAACACTTAGGTGATGTGTCTTGGGTGTCATTCTGTATGCCTATTACTTTATAGGTAGTCATACTTTACTGGCCACTGGGATGTAGATATGTATTATTATCCTTGGAATTTAAGACCAGAGAGCTTAAATTATTTGTTCACAGTTTTAGGTGACAGAGTGGTGATTTCAATTCCAAGGCTGTCAGATTCCAAAGGCCCAAGAAATTCCCACTGGGCGATACCTCCTAGCAGTGCCATCTTTTCTCTGAACTGGCATACTTACTGTTGTTGCCTCGGTTATCCCTTTTAAACAGTCTTCAACCCTCGAAGACTGACTAGGTCATTTTCTTTGTATATCTTTCTTTTTTTCCCCATGAACAGGTGTCTCCATCTTCATACTTACGAGTCCTGCCCCGAGCCCCACCATTCCTTGGGTTTCTCAACTTTGCTTTTACCTGTCAGTTTCCAGCCTTATTGTAAAACTTGCTCTCTCCTGGGGACGGTTTGTTGCTTGTAATGGATCCAAGTAGTCCATGCTTCTGGACCTGAATTTTTTTCCCGATTGACTAAGCATTTCTTGCTTGAATGAATACATGGCTCCTTACAGGAGAGTGGAGAAAGTGAAGGCAGAAGCCACAAGGCAAGAGTTGAATATGGACAGGCAAAGCCAGCACCTTGGAGAACGGCAGAACATTTTTATGAAGTTGGAAAGGGTCATCCGAGCAGTACTTAGGGAAGTTCCTACCTCACGGCTGGCCAGGTTCCCTACGTGTACCCCGTATGGGATAGAATTCTGACTCAGCTGTGGCTGATAATCTCTTTATTCTAATTCTCCATCCCCCACCCATCCCGTCGTTTCTAACCCTGCCTGATCTGGAGCTCTCAGTTTCTGGTGAAAGGTTCTCTTTGTCGGGTTTCCTGGTTCCTACCTCCATTTCCTAACAAAAGGCATCCCTGGCATGCCCACGTCTCTCAAGATTCTCTGTGATGTGACCCACTGTCTTCTCACATCCTTGACTGCCAGACCCATATAGGCTGATCTGTTTCTGTTTTCTTATGTTCCCTTTTCTGCCCTTTTTCTAGACATCTGGGTTCCTACCTGCCCTTTATCTGTGGTGTATAAGAACTGGAGCTCCCCTAGACCAAGTCCTGTTTTTGTTGCCTTCCCCACCCTCCTCACCAGCATTCTTTAGCTCTTTCACTCTTACAATGGTGTGATTATCATAGAGGAGGCTATTTACTGAGACAAACAAAGGACTGTAATGTTCTATAACAAACAACATGAGTATATTAAAATTGAAGGACATTTACTTGCTGCTTCTAAGTGGTGTGAACCCACTGTTAAACACTGAGTATGTATTTTATCCCAGGTTCTAAGCTCAGCATTGTGGGCAATATAAATATCACTCAGAAGGATATAAAACAAACTTCTTACTCTCAAAAATCTACAATGTAGTTAAAAAGTTGTATCTTGAATCTTTCTTTCAGGTTAAGGTAAAAACACTGCTTTTATTATGTGAGGGTAGAGGAAAATAAAGGGAAGTTGATGCATCCTCTTTAAGTCCTCTCAATTTATGTTACACACAGCTGTAGTTGTCATGTGATTCTGAAATCGTAGAAAACACTGAGGCGTACTTGTCTAATATCCAGAAATGTAATCTTATTCCTTCCTCCCCTCTCTCAGTGGGAATGACATAGGAGGGAGTCCCTGGGTGTTTCTTCCTAACCTATTACCATGCATCTCATGTCTGCAGTCTCTCCCTGGCTTTGTCTTTGAGGAGTGCATAGGAAATGGCAGGACTGACGTTGAGGGTTGGGCATCGAGTGCATGAGGTCACTAGTTCGGGTCATTGATTGTCATCATCCACGTGTATAGGAAGAGAACAGTTTTTGGATGTTTTCCAAATGCTGGGAAGGTGTGCAAATTGCACTAATTTCTCCTCTCATTCTACATTTCTCTAAGAAGTTAATAACATTATTTAGGCCCTGTTCAGGCTGTCTGTCACCATGCAGTTGAAGTATTTGTGTGAGTTGCATTCTCAGTAAGTGCCTGTTTGCTGTCTTCTATATTTGTGTGGGACAAAGAAATTATATTTCTTTTTTATAGCTATATCGAGCTTATGTGGCCTTCCCAGACTTTTTCCGTAATTCAACTGCCAAGTGGTGGAAGAGGGAAATAGAAGAACTATACAACAATCCACAGAAT
This sequence comes from Homo sapiens, assembly GCF_000001405.40. NCBI lineage: Eukaryota > Metazoa > Chordata > Mammalia > Primates > Hominidae > Homo > Homo sapiens. The sequence goes on from NT_187562.1 coordinate 24,547, forward strand.
CCAGAGAGGAGCTTGAAGTTTGATGGCATGTGGATTGTAAGTGTGTGTGTGTCTCTGTGTACCAGTGGCTCTTGTCTATCTTTGTGTGCCTAAGTATATGTACCACTGACCTTCAATCAAGAGGATAGTCATTGTCCAAAGAAGACTTTGGACATAGCAGACACTTCTTCCTCTCAGGAGAGGAACTGCCCTGGTAGCCCTCACACCTTCTACCAGACCTGACGCTCCTACTGTAAAACCTGTGAGGCGGGACCAGGCGTGGTGGTTCACGCCTGTAATCCCAGCACTTTGGGAGGCTGAGGTGGGCAGATCACCTGAGGTTGGGAGTTTGAGACCAGCCTGACCAACATGGAGAAACTCCGTCTCTACTAAAAATACAAAATTAGTTGGGTGTGGTGGCACATGCCTATAATCCCAGCTATTTGGGTAGCTGAGGGAGGAGAATCGCTTGAACATAGGAGGCAGAGTTTGCAGTGAGCCAGGATCGCACCATTGCACTCCAGCCTGGGAAACAAGCATAACTCCATCTCAAAGAATGAAAAACAAAACCAAAAAAAAAACCTGGGAGGCAATTTACTAGGAATTTCTGGAAATTTGATTGCCTCACAGCCACCCTGAAAGAGATCTATTTTTTTACCCCTCTAGCCAGTCGTTCTGTAGGAGTGAATTAATCTTTCTAGCCAGTTCTCACCAGGATTTGATGAAGCTCCCAGGGCTGGCATCTACAGAGATTACTGGATGTTGAACAATTTATTCACTACTTCCTTGGCTCAGAATTGGCAGGACGTAATTATCTTAAAAAGTGAGGTATGTCTGTGTTTGGCATTTCTAGGATATGAATGAACCATCAAGCTTCGTGAATGGGGCAGTTTCTCCAGGCTGCAGGGACGCCTCTCTGAACCACCCTCCCTACATGCCACGTAAGAAGCCTTGGCCTCCTTGACTGGCAGAGCCATGACTGGAAGGATTACACTGGAGGAGCCCGAGGCCAGGGGCAGCCCCACAGCTGAGGGCACATCCTCATGGCTGCTGTGGTTTACTGGGGACCAGAGACAAAAGCTCTGCACGTGCTTTACCCAGCCGGGCATGGGCAAGTGACTAGACTCATTGAGCAAATTTCTTGAAATTTGTCCAGAAAGCACTTAGCAGAGCTCATGGCACAAAGGGTTCTCACAGCTGAGTTTCTTAGTTTTTAGGCTTGTGTGAATTCCATCACAGGAATTTCTTGTGTCATCAGTGAGTGGAAATTACTGGCTTCCCCTTATCATGGAGCTGATGGACTTTGGAGTTACACTTGGGTTCATATCTTGGCTCCAGAAATTGTTCTCTCTAGGAGTTTTGTGACTTTTCACAGATTATGTGATATTTCCAAATCTCAGTTTGCTAAATTGTAAAAGACGGATAATGAGATCTTCTTCATAGAATTATGGAAATAATTGGAAGTCAAAAGCCTAAATCAGAGCCCGTCATGTAGTGTTTGACAGCTGTACGTTCTTCCTGACACCTCTGCTTCCTTCAGTGAACTTGATGTTGGAAACACAGCAGGCGCCAATGCAGCTCAGAGCTGGGGGCGCTGTGCTCATGTCTCTGGGGAGATGGAGAGCGACACAGGCAGGACTGAAGTTAGTCTTAAGATCCAGGGCCCAGTCCCTTGAAGAGAAGTCAGGGAGAAACAGAATCAGGGCTGGGTTTCACCTCGCCAGTTCTTCCTCCTCAGATTTGGAGTCCAGGGACAGGGGCCTGAGCAGCAAGACCCTTTGTATGGAGAGTCAGCAGATCCTCCCAGACGGCTCCCTGGTGCAGCACTACAACGTGCACAACCTGTATGGGTGGTCCCAGACCAGACCCACATACGAGTGAGTCTCCGTCTCCCTTCTCCAGCTGTCACAACCTATAGCGATTGCCAGTGACTGACATAGCTACCCTAGTTTTCCTTTCATTCCATTTCTAAGGATTAAGAAGATTCTCATAACTCTGTAATGATTCTTATTTATTAAACAAATGCTCATTGACATGGAGCCAGGCCCTGTGATTAAAAGTAGGAGGACAGATTTAAATAAGGCATGGTCCCACCAGTGAAAAACTTAATGATCCTAGTGGGAAAGACTCACATGGAGACACCATAATGGTCACACAGGGCAGCCAGTGGAACAATAGCTTTAGTTACAGGAGGTGAAGGGAACACAGAGGACTGGGCATCTCTCCCGTTCATTTCAAAGTGAATCATCTTTGGAGATGTTTGTATTTTTGGCCATTCTTGGTGGAGGGTAACTGGTATTGTACTGAATTAGCACAGTCCTGCTTTGCAAGCTCAATGAATAGTATGAATTCTTCTAAGAGGATCTTATAACCTTCACTGTGTTCCTTCTCAAATATAGAAAACTAAGTATTGAGGAAACCATTAGCAAGACATAGTAATTCCTTAGTATTTTGGGAGTACTCCAGTGAGGCTGCTACAGTGAAGTTCTTTGTAAAGCACTGTGAGAACACGTGACTCATTATCTCCATCATCTGGGATCAGTGGAACTCCTATTACAGCTCAGAGTCCCATGTTCCCTCCAGTCACGCAGCAAACATTGACTAGGCTCAAGGGCTCTGGGAGCAGAAGCTCTATGGCCTTTACTCCCTGGCTGTTGCCTCAGTTCACCTCCTGTTCCCTTCCAAGCAGAGCCGTGCAGGAGGTGACGGGACAGCGAGGGGTCGTCATCACCCGCTCCACATTTCCCTCTTCTGGCCGCTGGGCAGGACATTGGCTGGGAGACAACACGGCCGCATGGGATCAGCTGAAGAAGTCTATCATTGGTGCGTGGGTCCTTCCCCAGGGCCTTTGCCGACAGGGCAGGGAGTTGGGATCCTTAGGGAAGAGGTGAGGAGGCAGATCATGAGAGCCTGGTGTGACACAGCTGTGCTTCTCGTTGCAGGCATGATGGAGTTCAGCCTCTTTGGCATATCCTATGTGAGTGTCCTTGGGATCCTCCTAAGCACCAAGAAGGTGGGGACATCTTTCAGAAATCATCAGCAGGCTCCTTTTATTTCCTCTTGTTTCAGACGGGAGCAGATATCTGTGGGTTCTTTCAAGACGCTGAGTACGAGATGTGTGTTCGCTGGATGCAGCTGGGGGCCTTTTACCCCTTCTCAAGAAACCACAATACCATTGGGACCAGGGTAGGACAGTGGCTTCTACCTCCACTGTTTTATGTCACTTGAAAGACAGTCTCCATTTCTGTGCTAAAAGTAATGCAGTCTCTATTTCCTGGGATATCTTTAAAAAAAGGTGTTTTTTTTTGTTTTGTTTTGTTTTGTTTTTTTTTTTGAAACAGGGATTTACTCTGTTGGCCAGGCTGAATCGTGCAGTGTCCCAATCATGGCTGACTGCAGCCTCCACCTCTGGGGCTAAAGCGATTGTCCCACGTCAGCCTTCTGAATAGCTGGGATAAAGGCACATCCCAGCGTGGCTACCTAATTTTTGATTTTTTGTAGAAATGGGATCTTGCCATATTTCACAGGATGGTCTCGAACTCCTGGGCTCAAGCGATCCACTCGACAGCCTCCAAAAGTGCTGGGATTACAGGCGTGAGCCACTGCACCCTTAAAAATTGTGAAGACCTGGTGTCTCAATGAACCATATTCCTCATTGTGCTTTAGATTATTATTTTTTTCCTGTATTTCAGGCAGAATTTTACCAAATGTTCCAAAAAGAATGTCTTACAGTGAAATTTTATCAGCTGTCTTAGGAGAGCTTTGGTGACTCTTTCCGGTCTATTAAGAATATTCTCTGGGCCTCATGTATAGTTTTCTTTTGTTTAGCTGTGAGTGATCTTCAATTGGAGTATGCTTTTAGTGACCTTCTTAAATCCCCTAGAAATTCCAGGGCGAGCTCCCAACACTGTTCTCTTTCTCCTTTAGAGACAAGACCCTGTGTCCTGGGATGCTGCTTTTGTGAATATTTCCAGAAATGTCCTGCAGACCAGATACACCCTGTTGCCATATCTGTATACCTTGATGCAAAAGGCCCACACGGAGGGCGTCACTGTTGTGCGGCCTCTGCTCCATGAGTGAGTGTCCAGCAGGGATCCCGATGACTAATGGATGACTTATTGCATTCTATGTGGTAGCAGTTGATATACACAACGCTTCCAAATTAAAGACATGATGGCCTTTTGACATGAGCTCTTCAGACACAAAGTATACCTGATTACTGTCTTTAGCACAGTGTTATACATACCGTAGGTCATAAAAAAAGGGTATTTATTGAATGACGAAAATTGAAATGATGCAGTACAGCATAGAATAGTTTCATTCTAATTTGGTTGTGCAAAGGCCTATCTTATGTAGCAGTTTTGTTATATGGACCCAGGTCACAAAAGAAGGATTTCAGCAAGAGAATTGAGGGACGAGGGCCATCCTCACATTTAAAATGTGCCATGGTTAAGAAATGAGGTAATATTTTACAGGAGAGAACACATCTACATCCCAGCATTTCTGAAGTTTGAGGCACATCCCATGGGGAAAGCAGAGGCTGGGTGCTCCTGATGAAGCTAGGCCTAGGAACAAAGCAAGGATGGCTCAGGGGCAGCTGTATTTCCGACTTGGATCTGAACTTGAGGAGCTTCTTCAGAGTGTCGGGCTGGGGCTCTGTTGGGCTCTGTTGGGCACCTTCATTTCCCTTTCCAGGTTTGTGTCAGACCAGGTGACATGGGACATAGACAGTCAGTTCCTGCTGGGCCCAGCCTTCCTGGTCAGCCCTGTCCTGGAGCGCGTGAGTATGGAGGCCTCCGATGAGGGGAGGATCCCAGCTGTGAGGCTTGGGGAAAAGGACGAGGAGAAGAGGCCTGAGCTGGTGGGGGTCCTGAGACATGGTTTCTTATTCTACCTGTGTCTCTTCCTCTCTTTCTGAGCTGAAGTCCATCACTTAGGTGTTCTTGGCACTCAGCTCCTTCATCTTTAAAATGAGCCTAACAATTCTGGTTCGTAGGATGATCAAGAAGAAAACACCTCATGGAATAGTCAATGACACAATCATTTCTTCGTTAACTAAAATAATTAATAGAAGGTCAGATGGGGGCAGTATTGTAAAAAATTTATAACAGTCCTCTAGCACTATTACAACTTTTCAGAAGGATGACTTGGCAATGTGTGTACTTGTATTGCTGCTGGCTAACCCTTCCCTTCCTCTACAGGAGCTCCTCCCAGCAGTAAAAGCCATTTCTTTACTTCTGTTGTTGATTAGGCTTCTGATTAAAATATCAATTAATTGTACCTCCCTCAAATATATATATATATATATATATATATATAAATATATATATATATATATATATTTTTTTTTTTTTTTTTTTGAGACAGAGTCTCACTCTGTTGCCCAGGCTGGAGTGCAGTGGCATGATCTTGGCTCATTCAACCTCTGCCTCCTGGGTTCTAGTGATTCTCTTGCCTTAGCCTCTTGAGTAGCTGAGACTACAGGCATGTGCCACCATTCCCGGCTAATTTTTTTTTCTTTTTTTGTATGTTTAGTAGAGATGGGGTTTCACTGTATTAGCCAGGATGGTCTCAATATCCTGACCTCATGATCTGCCTGACTTGGACTCCCAAAGAGCTGGGATTACAGGCATGAGCCATCGCGCCCGGCCCCAAAATCTCATTATACCCACAAAATTTTCTTCTGCCCCAGACACAACCTCCCTTGTTTGTCTCTTTAAGAGTCAAAGGGGTAAGTCTATGTCTATAAGCAAACAGTGATTTATTTTTTCCCGAAGTCCTGGATATCAAAGTGCTTTATGAAAGCCACTTGTTTTGGGTAGACAAATCTCTGGTTTAAAAAAGAAAACAGGAAGAAGGTTGCCCCAGTTGTTAACCTCTTGGGACATGAGGCAGCTGGGTCCAAAGCCATCACAATTATTTCACCTCTTTCCTAAGCAGTTTGGTTACTCTGTCCTGGAAAATGGTGGCACTGCCTCACCTTGTTTGTGTTTCATTTTAGAATGCCAGAAATGTCACTGCATATTTCCCTAGAGCCCGTTGGTACGATTACTACACGGTAAGTTTTTCTGAATGTTTATATAACACGGGAATGTGGTAGAGAGTACAAAGGCTTTAGGTCCGATAGACCTTAGGTCAAATGCTGGCTCTGTAACCCACCTGCTGTGTGGTCTTAGAGAAGCCACTTTAACCCTTGTAATCTCAGTTTTCTCACCTCCAAGTGGGGTAAGACCACTTTCCTCATAGAACCATTGTGAAATAACACATAAAGCATCTCACTCAGGGTCTGTTTTTTTGTGGGTGTTCTCTTTGTGTTAGTTTTTAATATTTCTTTATATCACTGCTATTTACAATGTTGTGTAAAGGCAGATGCTAGCCAACATCTGAGATTGTGTTGCAAACTATAGTTTTTGTTTTTATTGTTGATATCTTTGCCTGCTGTAAGTTTGTAAGCATAGAGGCCGTTTTGTCTCTTTTGATTAAATACCTCCTTCCATAGCATAGATGCTCAAAGAGGGGCGCTGCACATAATTACATAAGGCACACAAGTGATTAGGCAATGTGCAAAACACACACAGAGGTATGGGACCCAACCCTTGTGTGTCTAAGTAGTGCAAGTGCATTTAGAAATGAGGAAGCAATGAAGAGCTCCTTGCCGCATAGTTTCATTGCTAGTATGATTCCCAAAGACTCAGCTGGGAAGCCAGGGTCTTCCCGGGCAGCTCTGGGGTGGTGGGCTCTTGCTGGGACCCTGACAAATCAGACCCTGATTCTTGGGGAAGAATCAAAGGAGGTATTTCCTTCGTTTCTAACTAGGCCTCTTCTTCTGACTTTCTGAGGAGAACATAGTTGAGGGCTGGAAATACAACAAAGGGGTACAAGCAGGGATACAGGAAGCAGAGCATGTGCTGGCCCCTTTCATCCAAGGAGATTTCAGTGAGATTAAGTGAAAAGTGGAGAAGGATGTGCAATTTTGTTCCTTCTCTTCTCAGTCCATTGGAGCCCAAGTCCTCTCCACAGCCCCAGACTCCTCTTCCTGCTGCTAGTCTGGATCTGCCCTTAGGGTGGTAACATGTTAAGGCTCTGCTATGTGTGTCCCAGCCAGGCGTTTCCCAGGAAGAGGTGGCCAGCTTTCTTTACGTGAGACTGGCCTTTGTCCTGAGTGTGCATGTTGAGTCTCCCATTCACTACCAGAAGATATCTTTGATGGAAGAGGGAAAGACAAAAGAAGTCATGGAGCAAGCTGTTTAGAAAAAGATGAAATTGGGCCAGGTGTGGTGGCTCACACCTGTAATCCCAGGACTTTGGGAGGCCGAGATGGACAGATCACAAGGTCAGGAGATCGAGACCATCCTAGCTAACACGGTGAAACCCCATCTCTATGAAAAATAAAAACAATTAGCCGGGTGTAGGGGCATGCACCTGTAGTCCCAGCTACTCGGGAGGCTGAGGCATGACAATTGTTTGAACCTGGGAGGCGGAGGTTGCAGTGAGCTGAGATTGTGCCACTGCACTCCAGCCTGGGTGACGGAACCAGACTTTGTCTCAAGAAAAAAAAAAAAAAGAAAGAGATGAAATTTTTAATGTTTAATTAAAATGAAGATGAATCTCATAATTAGGATTAATGAAGAAGTGTCACCTTAATTAATCTTCCCAAGTTTGGGTAACTATTACTCATTCTAGAGCACAAGCTGGCAAACTATGGCCCACAGCCAAATCTGGTTGTTAGCTGATTTGCAAATAAAGTTTTAGTGGAACACAGCCATGCATATTTGTTTGCTTGTTGTCAACAATAACTGCTTCTTACCTGTAAAGTAGCAGCTCTGAAATGAGAGGATTTTGCCTACCAGGGGACATTTGGCAATGCCTGGAGATATTTTTGGTTGTCACAACAGGCTGGGGGTGAGGAGGCTATGCGGCTGACATCTGAGGATTCTGCTAAATATCAAAAGGCACAGGATAGCCCCATCGCCAGAGAATTGTCTGGCCCCAAATCTCAATAGTGCTGAGACTGAAAAGCCCTGCTCTAGTTGAGAACATGTAGGATGGAAGGATGGTCCCTTAGGTTCTGATACAGGTGAGAGTGTAGCAGTTCTTCCTGTTACACATCAGGCAAATGTAGTTTGTATGGTGGAAGCAAAGGTAAGAGACCCTAACAAGATATTATAGCAGCCTTGCGAGGTTTTATGCAGCACTGTGCGAATGCAGAATGGGTAATAGCAGGTATGTTGCAAAGGGTGATGAACAGGCATAAGTTCAGAGGGGAGGATGAGATGTCTGGCAGGATGCATTGTTCAGGGAGGGGCCTGTCCTCTCCTTCATCATCTTTTACCTTCTTCTGCCCCCAGGGTGTGGATATTAATGCAAGAGGAGAGTGGAAGACCTTGCCAGCCCCTCTTGACCACATTAATCTTCATGTCCGTGGGGGCTACATCCTGCCCTGGCAAGAGCCTGCACTGAACACCCACTTAAGGTGAATGACAGGACTCAGGTTTTCCTTTACATTTCAGTTAGCTCAACAATTTGTGATGAAGTCTACCAAAATGTAAGCATCACTTTCAAACCCACATGCAATTCTACTCAACACTTGTTTTTTCTTTGTTTTGTTGTTTGTGTGTTAATCTTTTTCAGACTCTATACTTTTTGTCTAATTATTAACAACTCTTTTAAGTCTAAGGGAGTGAGATGAAAGGTCTAAGAATGTCATTTTTTAAATCTCACATCTGACATGGAAGTCAAAATAAGAGCAACCACAATTCACAAGAGCTTTTCAGAAGCTGTTGTTTTAGAACTGTATCCAGTAGATTTTGAAAGACTGTAATTCATGTCCTTCCTTAAACCCTTTGAATTTCTTTTCAAACACGCTAACAGCCAGGTGGTCAGCCTCCTTGGTTTGCCAGGACTGATGCATTTTAGCACCAGAACTCTCCTCTCTTGAGATGCTTCTCAATTCTGGGTAAACCAGGTCAGTTGATGCCTCTATCTGCCTTGGCCACACTGCTCACCCATGTTTCTTTACTCTTGAATCACTTATTCTCATTTTAGGAGGGTCAGGATCCACTTTCCACCCTCCTAGAATCTCAACTTCCTCTTTCTTTTCTCCCGCTAAGAGATTTCTTTCTTGTGATTCAAAAGTGGATTCAAAAAAACCCTCAAAAGTCTATGTCACTGAATTTTGCTTTATACGTAATTGATTCCAAAATTATAGATTCCATCTGTACTAAAGAGGTGTGCATTTATATCTTCATGCCTTTGAGAGTATTAACCTATTTGTCTTTAATAGACTAGGAGTTCTTTGGAAGCCAGAAACCTGTCTTTTCTTTTGAACCTCTCTTACTGCTTTAATTTTTCAAATTCTAGACTTTTTTATGATACTAATGGGAAATATCCCTAAATCCAATACCAGTTGGCTTCCATTTTCTAACTGTTCACCTTCAAGCTGTTCTGTACAGTGATACCAAATTGATTTTTCCAAAATGAAAATCTCAACTGGTTGCTCCCAGGCTTGAAGTCCAAAGTCTTTCATTAATAGGGTATTCAAAACCAATCACAACCTGGTTCCACGTTACCTTAACAACTCTTATCTCCTGCCATACCTCCATGTACATACAGACCAGGTATGCCAAAAAACTGGCGATTTCCCAAACATACCCATGTATTTTACTGCATGTGGGCTTTTGAATTTATCCTTTCCAACATCTGTGCCTGGTGTATTCTTAATGATCCAAATGAAACTTTACGTTTCAGCAGCAAGAAGTCTTTCCCTAATCTTCCAGCAGAGGAAGCACTGCCACTTCCAAGTTTCTGGTCATTTGTAATATATATTTATTTGCTCCTTAGATGATTTTGTCTTTCTTCTTTAGCAGTGTTAGCATTTCAATAGTAGTTGCATACTCTGTGCATGAAAATTGTAGTATCTGAAGTGTTTAGGACCATCTAAATCTATTGTTAGTTCTTTGTTGCTGACTTTCCTTTATGTTGACTTATTACCTTGTGTGCTTGGTGATTTTTTGTTTCATACTGTGATAATCTTAAGCATCTAAATGTGGGTCTCCTTCCTCCAGAGATGATTTGCCTTCTCCTCTATTTGCAAGCCAGGAATTCCTTCCATCTGACATCACGTTAACTTCCATCAAGGATCCCGGCTTCATGTGGGAATCAGAGGTTCACATTCTGTACCTTGGATTACTAGGCTTAATAGCCCAATTTTAACCTTGCTGTGGGAATTTGCCACATGGAGATTCTAGGTTTTGCTTACTAAGCACCCTTTGAGTTCTAGCTCAGTGTTTTGCTATCCTGTTATTGTTTTGGTCTCTTGAGTATATTCCTTACTGTCTTGCAAATCCAAGAACATTTTAGCAGGAATATATGTTATAATTTATCTAGGATCAGGTAATATTTTACTGGGTAAGTCTCCAGAAGAATATACAGTCTACCATATTTGTAGAACTGTGTTTCTGGACTCCTAGAATATCTTAAATTTGTGTTGTTTTCACTGTCTGCGTTCATTTTTTAGTGAATGTGCCTAATTTTTCCTATAATATTGAAGGTCGTTCAGGTCAGGGGTTGTGATTTATTAATTTTTGTATCTCATTGACTTCCTAGAAATGACTGCTACTCAATACATGAATATTTAAAGAAAGCAGATGATTTTGTTGATAATGGAAACTAACTCTCTTGCATAGTGAAAGGCTGAACTGTGGAAGAATACAGTGGAGAATGTGAGTCCAGTGAGAGACAGAGGAGGAATAGGAAGAGCAGGAAACTGAGAGGTTGCCTAGAGAGTGACAGAGTGAGGAGAGATTCCAAATAAAAATTGCTCTCTATCCTCTTCTTCCTCTATGTCCATCTACTCTACCATGTCTTTAAGTAATGTGTTGTGTTTCCTATTCTAAATTCTAAAGTAGATCATTAGAATGATTTATTTTTCTTTCAAAACAAACTAATAATAAATAATCAGATACATTACCATTTAGTAGATGGACCTTAGTGTATGTTGTTGCTTTCTGAGTATAAATGGTCCTTAGGCAGGCGAAAATGTATCTTCCTCACAGCACTGGACACTTCTCCTGAGGGCATCATTGCTAAAGTGATCTGACTGAACCAGTTATTGCCTAAGATTTCTTTCTCTTCTCATACTCTGTATTCCGAACAGTGGTTGCAGAAGCAGCTTTTATTTGAGCTATTGCAGTGCCTCTGGTGCTTAAATTCTTGCCTCCAACGTAGATGTTATTGTTAATGTTTGGGGTGTTTCTATCTCCTGTGACACTGTTGATATTATAGAAAAATGCATCTGTCGATTTTGTGTTTGTACCTCAAGAAACAGAACCATCTGCTGCTAGTATCTTTTCCAGTTTGAAATTTGATGGAAATATTCTCAGCCCAGTTGGCAAAATTGTCTGACTCCTGTCTTTGTCTCTTGAATCTTGTTCCCCACAGTCGAAAGAACCCTCTTGGTCTTATTATTGCCCTAGATGAAAACAAAGAAGCAAAAGGAGAACTTTTCTGGGATGATGGGCAAACAAAGGGTGAGCGCTGTTACAATAATGTTGCTGTTTCCCAACCTGCGCCTGTGACTTATGGTCCTTCACTCCTGCTGGTCATTCAGCTGTGGGAGAAATCTCAGCAGGCACAGTAGCAAGAGTCACTTAAGTATTTTGTTTCTGGTTGCACCATTCAGGGATAGTGGTGGACGAACTACTGACGAAAGAAAAATGCATTTGTATCTCTGACAGTTCTCCCATTCGCCAGTGATACCTATAATGGCTCTTATTTTATTGTCAATGGGTGCTTAGATGAGAAGGTTTCAAGACTGTTCCCTAATTCTATGTTAATGTCTTCCTCCGAAAATTCTTATGAGCAAATGTTGACGATATAAAAATCATGCACCTGCCAGTGAGGCAGTGAGAATATACTGTTCTAGTGTGTACTCAGCTAGCCATACGTTTTAGCATATTTGTGGGTCCAGTATACTAACAATTCTTGTTCTTCAAGTTTAGGAAATAGATTCCTTTGAAGCATATGCCTTGGAAGCCCTTGGAAGGGAATCTTTGCAATGTTCTGGTAGAAAAGAGAAGGAAAAACAATGGCTTGGCCTTGGAGACTCTTGTCCCTCTAATCCAATATGTAGATTAAAAATTAATTATTTATTTGGTAGTCAAATATTTTGTTGGCAAATAAAGATTGAATATATTTAAGGTGGACGATGTGAGGATTTAATATATGTAGGCATAGTATAATGATTACCACAGCTATTTTAATGAACACATCCATCACTACCAATGCTGCAGACTGGATCCCCAGAACTTATTCATCTAAGAACTGAAAGTTTGTACCCTTGACCATCATCTCCCCATTTTCCACTTCTGCAGGCTCTAAGAACAACTGTTGTAGGCTCTGCTTCTAAGAGATGAACTTTTTTAGATTCCACATATGAGTGAGACCACGCAGTATTGGACTTTCTGTCTCTGGCTTATTTCACTTAGTATAATGTCCTCCTAAGTCATTCATGCTGTTGCGAATGGCAGAATATTCTTCTTTCTATGTCTGAAAAATATTCTACTGTATATATGTACCAGAACATCTTTATCTATTCATCCACTGATAGACACTTAGGTTGTTTTCATATCTTGGCTACTGTGAAGAAAGAAATTAAAAATTGAAATGTAAGGGCTAAAATTGTAAAGCTCCTAGAAGAAAACATAGCAAAAAACCTCCTTGACGTAGTCTTGGCAATGACTTTTTGGATATGATACCAAAAGCAAAGGCAAAATGCCAAAAAGTAAACAGGCGTGACTACATCAAACTAAAAGGCTCCTGCACAGCAAAAGAAACAATCAACAACATGAAAAGGCAAACTACAGAATGGATAAAAATGTTTGCAAACCATATATCTCAGAAGAGATTAATATCAAAAAATAAGGAACATATGCAACTCAGTAGCAAAAGATCAAATGACCCAATTAAAAAGTGGGTGAAGGACCTGAACAGATGTTTTTCCAAGGAAGACATACAAGTGGCTAACTGGTATGTGAAAAGATGCTCAGCATCAGTAAATGACACAGGTATGCAAGTCAAAAATCACAGCGAGATGTCACCTCACACCTGTTAGCATGGAAATCATAAAAAAGAAAGGAGAGAAGTGCTGGTGAGGGTGTGGAGAAAATAGAATTTTTTAGACTGTTGGTGGGACTGTAAATTGTTACAACCATTATGGAAAATAGAATGGAGGTTCCTCAAAAAATTAAAAACAGAACTTCCATACAATCCCATGAATTCCCACTTCTGGGTGTATATCCAGAGGACATGAAACCAGTATCTTTAAGAGATATACTCACTCCTCCCATATTCATTACAGCATTACTTGCAACAGCCAAGATATGGAAACATTCTAAGTATACATTGATGAATGAATACAATGGAATATTATTCATCCATAAGGTAAAGGAAATACTGCCATTTGTGACATCAGGATGTAACTGAAAAGAGTGGGAGTGTGAAATCTGTTCTTCTGTGGTGGGCAAGCCGGAGTCTGACTTGTCTTTCTGTCACTTTCAGATACTGTGGCCAAGAAAGTATATCTTTTATGTGAGTTTTCTGTCACTCAAGTGAGTAGCATATTTTTATGAATCTTAGGTGTGGGCTTTGGACTGACCATTAGCACATCTGTGCTTGTGTATATGTGTGATTATATTTGTAACTTTATATGCATTATTGGCTATAGGTGAGCACATTTCTATTTATGATTTCATCGATGTTTTCAAAAGGAGGCATTAATATAGCAAGTAGTGTTTCTAAATATAGTTTTTAATTATCTGTGTGTTTTTATGATTGTATCAAATTAGAGGATTATCAAACTAATGTTGTACTTCTTGAGCAGACACTAGTAGAGAAAGCAGAGAGGCATTCATGGCAGTGGGGGGTATCCAGTCTGGAATAGAATATATGAGTGACTTGAGAATCTGTGTATTACAGGCATACCTTTATGCATAATTGGAGTTAATTGTTTTGCAGAACCACTTGGAGGTGACTATTTCACAATCAACCTACAAGGACCCCAATAATTTAGCATTCAATGAGATTAAAATTCTTGGGATGGAGGAACCTAGCAATGTTACGGTGAAACACAATGGTGTCCCAAGTCAGACTTCTCCTACAGTCACTTATGATTCTAACCTGAAGGTAAAAACCCATTTTGTTGAGATGGTACATTGAGAATTCTCCATAGCACCATGATGTTTCTTCTTGCCAAGTTTGCATGGGTCCCTGAAGTACCAGGGCACCTTTGATGCATGTTTTGGGGAATTGAGAGGGCACCTTTGATGCCTTTTTTGGGGAAAAAAATGAGGTGGCCAGAGCTAGAATGAGTTGGGTATTTTTCTTCTTATTCCCTTCTCTGCCTATCAGTGTTCCCATCTCTCTAGCTGGTTTCACTTGCTTTTCCCAAAAATAGAATAATTATGATGAGACCCAGGAACAGCAAAGTTGGAAAGTGGGGAATAGCCTGACATTATTAGACTGTGAATTTTGTATGACTAGCACAAATAAGAATTGGTATTTGAAAAAGGCCAGCTTGGATAGGAAACTTGTGGTCAGGCTTTGGAGGTCTTAGTTACCAACTTGAATTAATTCTCAAGCAGTCTCATATTGATCCTTGAATGAAGGCTGTGCTACTGTGTGTGAGCATTGTTGGGAGTGGGAGTGGGGGCTGGGGACTAGTAGAACAGGGAAGTACAAGATGGTTTAGATTTAGAGGAGACTGGGAGAAGGATGATAATCTTTAGAATGTGATTTTATTACTCCAGACGTGTGAGAACTTTAACTTGGGAAGTGCTGTCTAGAGAAGCATCAAAGATAAGAAAAATATATGGAAAATATTAAATATTTGAATTAATAGGATTCAAGGAAGGTTTCAAATTTGCAGCCTTTATGCTTAGAAAAATAAAGATGCTGGGATGTTAGAAGTGGAAAGAAAGATGATTTTATTTCCACCTCTCAATTTTGCTGTTGCCAAAATTGAAATTCAAAGAAATGAATTAGAATTCCCAATTTGCCCTGATGTGATTATTATTCATTGTATGCCTGAATCAAAATATTTCATATACTCCATAAATATGTATACCTACTATATACTCATTAAAATTAAAAATTAAAAAAAGAAATCATTTGTCCAATATACTACATAAATGCGAGCATGATAACCAGGTCATATGATTCTTATTGCTGTGTTCTTTCTACCACTCCACGCCAATGGGGGATGCTGGTTTGGGGACTGGAGAGCAAGAGGATCAGCTCACTTTGAGATGACACCATGTGTCATGCTAAAGAGGAAGTGCAGAAGACACCCTTCCAGACAAGACACAGAGGGCTAAGAGGAGTTAGGGTAGAAAAGAATAAGGGGTGATCGCGACAGGTTTTATTTGACCTAATTGTTTTCATTATGCTATGTACAAGATTCTGCTAGAGGGGAGTCATATGCCCTGTTACTGCTAAATAGATTCCCCCACTGTACAGTTCTCTTCTTATAAGCTAAAGTGATATGTTGCTTGGATGGTTGAAAGTCTGGACTGATGTCTATTTGTTTTTCCAAAATAAATAAATAAATAAAGTCTTAGATTTTGCAAGGCCTTTCTCCCAAAGATGAATTTCCTTGTGATTTCTGCATTCCTACAGGTCGCCATTATCACAGACATCAATCTTTTCCTGGGAGAAGCATACACAGTGGAGTGGAGCATAAAGATAAGGGATGAAGAAAAAATAGACTGTTACCCTGATGAGAATGGTGATTCTGCAGAAAACTGCACTGCCCGTGGCTGTATCTGGGAGGTAACCATGCTGATGGGGTTCATGTGCATGAAAATCTCCACACCTAATCTATAGTTTCTTAAGCATAGCAGTGGCACTTATATAACTACTTAAAATCCATAGAAAGGACTTCCTAAGGGACATGATCTGGATGTGACAAGTAGGTGGGGACATGTGGAAAACTTTTTAAAATAAATATTTTGCTTGGAGACCAGGAAATTAAATTTATGTTATTGCCAAGTGATAAGTGATAGGCTGGTTTTATTGTCATATAAAATGACTTTTCTAACCCTGTTTAGGTTAGAGAACTTTAAGACCACATGCTGTGCTGATCTATGACTTTGGCCTTACTTTTCAGGCATCCAATTCTTCTGGAGTCCCTTTTTGCTATTTTGTCAACGACCTATACTCTGTCAGTGATGTTCAGTATAACTCCCATGGGGCCACAGCTGACATCTCCTTAAAGTCTTCTGTTCATGCCAATGCCTTCCCTTCCACACCCGTGAACCCCCTTCGCCTGGATGTCACTTACCATAAGAATGAAATGCTACAGTTCAAGGTAAACACGGTACATATATCAGGCAGTGATAAGACCCTTTTCAGTTCCATTATCTTTTTCTGGTTCAGGTCACACAACCCTAAAATAAGTTAATCATGCTACATTAGACTATGTCATTATCCAGAGAACATTGAGAAATCATTGAGGGAACAATGAGACCTGCCCTAATTTTCATTTGGAAAAGATTACTGTGGCTACTGTTAGGAAAATGGTTGGGAGAGCAAGAGTGGGTACGGAGAGACAAGTTGGGAGGCTGCCAGTTAGGCAGGTCAAGTGAGGGCTTAGGTTTGGACTAAATACTGGAATGAAGGTGGAGAACAGTGCACCTAGTTGAGATTCAGGAAGTTGGGTTACAGGGTCTGGTGCTTGATTGAAAGCAGGCGACAATGGAGAGGGAAGCATCAAGAATGATGACCGCGTTGGTATCTTGCATCTTAATATGGATGGTGCTGACATCAACCAGAATGGGAATACTGAAAAGGTTTGTGCTTGATCAATGTAAGATGATATGTTCAGTTTGGGATACTGAATTTGAGATACGTATAAAATAGCCACCAACCTGCAGCGATTTCATTTCTTTCCAGAATTTAATTGCATTTAAAGACTAGGGATGGACTAGCTGTTACGTCTGCTTCTCTATTAAACTAATCTTCTCAAGGATAGGAATGTGCCCTTTCCTCTTTGTGCTTCTGAAGTCTAATACAGAGCCTGGCAGATAGTTAGTGCTGTAATGTAATTGACAGAGTAAGTGAAAGTGATCAGGACATTGTCACATTGCCTGAAAATTTCTTTACAATCTGACATCAACCCGAATTCTGAGTTTTTGTACATCGTCTAATGCAGGGATGATGCTGTTGTATGTTTGTACCCTCATCATAGCACTAGCATGTTGTAGGCACCTAATGGGTTTGAAGTGAATGAACTTCCTTGGAGTTCTAGCCTTAACCATTGACTACTCTACCTCTTGACCATACAGTAGCTCTTTCCAAAATATTTGCCTCTTTCTGGCCCACTTTAATTCTCTCTGCCTTCGTGGTTGTTATTCTTCACCAGAATGACTTGATCTCTTTTCTGTGTTTGGTTAATGACTACCAAGTTTCTAATACTCTAGATTGTATTTCTCCTGGGAGACCATCTCAGTCTCCCAGAAACAATGTTAGGCATTTCCTTCTCTAGAGTCTCACAGCACTTCTACATAGCTCTCCCTTAGCACACATCACCCAGGTGTTGTGAGCTGCTCTCTTACACTTCTCATTTGCTTGTGAATTTCATAAAACCATAACACTGCCTTATTGAGCTCACATCCCTAGTGTCTTGTGCAGTGTCAGGCAGGGATGTAGTAGGTACTCATGAATCAGTTTAGATACCACCTTCAGCAAGGACATTCTGATTATTTTAATCAAATAGATTTCACTTTGGGGAGACACGTTATTTTTCAATTCAGAAAAGTTTTAAGGTATTTATATATTCTCATATACCCACAGAAAATAACAAGTAACATATTCATAAATACCACGCTGATTCCAGAATGATTTTCTACGTTAGCACCAATGTCACAATGCTTATATTGATGCAGTAGAGGCCTTAGTAATGAGAAATGACAGACAAACATATTAAATCTGACATTGTTATTTGATGTGTTAATTAAATCTCAGACATCATAAACTTAAAGAAGACAGAAACATAGCATCTGAACTTTTGTCCAAAAATCAAAAAGGTTCTGCTAAGGGTATAGGTTTCAAGAGTAGTATTCTTGCCTAAAATCGTTTTCCTCTGGCCTAGATTTATGATCCCAACAACAATCGGTATGAAGTTCCAGTCCCTCTGAACATACCCAGCGTGCCATCCAGCACCCCTGAGGGTCAACTCTATGATGTCCTCATTAAGAAGAATCCATTTGGGATTGAAATTCGCCGGAAGAGTACAGGCACTATAATGTGAGTGGCTTCTAGTGTGACTCAGAGTTGATGGCTACCTGCGCCTTCGCTGCCAGGTCCATTGTCCTTGGATGTATCCTGGTTCAAAACATCACATTGTCCACTTCCAGATCCATGGATGAGTTGTTTCCTTCAGACCTATTCTTACAGGAAATCTTTAGCATTCTGGAAATAATTACTGAGGCAGTTGAGCGTGCCTGAGGATTCATCCAACAAATGTTTATGGGGTGCCTTCTCTAGATTAGGTGCTGCTCCTTATAGACAACTGAGGTTTCTCTTCTCATGACAACAAATAATAAGTAAATAACAGAGATAATTTAAGTTATAGTATAAAAAGGAGATTGTGATAGTGATAATTGCTGTGTAGCCAAAAGAGCAGGGTAATTGAGGGTTATGGTGTGGTTACTGCTTCTGATATTGGGGTCAGAGTAGATCTCGCCAAGAAGGTGATATTTTAATAGGACCTGGATGAGAAGGAGCCACCCACATGAGACAGGGCGAAGGGAAAGAGCATTTCAGACAGAGGGAATAGGAAGTGGGTAGGCCAGGAGATGAAGCGAAGCTGGCATGCTAAAGAAAAGAAGTCTAGTGTGGTTGGAGCAATGGAGGAAGTAAGCAGGTGAGTGCTGGGAGAGGAAGCTGCAACGCCGGTTGAGGGGGCAGCTTCAGCCTTGAAGGCTTCATAAGATGTTTGCATGAGAAGCCATGGAAGAAGCACAAATGGGAGTGACATGAGGTGAGATCCTCGTAGGAATATCGCTTTGAGTGCTACGTAGAAAATGCGCTGAGGGGTGCAAGGGTGGAAGGCAGTGCTGGTGTGGAGTGTTCCCAGCTGTGATGGTGAGGGGAGCTTGTATTTGTATTGTAGAGGACCACTGAAAGGAGGCAGTGAGAGTGGGAAACAGATGAATGAAGAACTCCTGGGCTTTTAGTGGGGATATCTATGATATTTTAATCAAATTGAGTTTCAGTTTTGTTTGGGAGATGAACAGCTTCTGGGTAGGAATCAAGTGTTCTGTTGTCCTTGAAAAGTCAGCTGCTGGAAGCAGAGAGAAAAGCCCATTTTCTGTTTCAAATCTGCCTTTTTGTGTTTCAGTTGGGACTCTCAGCTCCTTGGCTTCACCTTCAATGACATGTTTATCCGCATCTCCACCCGCCTTCCCTCCAAGTACCTCTATGGCTTTGGGGAGACTGAGCACACGTCCTACAGGAGAGACTTGGAGTGGCACACTTGGGGGATGTTCTCCCGAGACCAGCCCCCAGGGGTAAGGACAGAGCATTTGAGATCTGTGTCTCTGCTTCTCTCCACCCACACTGCTCAGGCTTTGGGCTTCATCTTCCCAAACTCCACTTGGTCGTCACATTCTGCTTTTAGGCGAGTGGGCCAATTCTCAGGCTCCTTTGTTTCATGTGTTTAATTGATTTCATGGAGAAAACTAGACCCATCTTAGCAAGCATATTTTTGTTGAGTTTCTTTCTCAGGCATAATGTCTTTTAAACTCCTACTGCTTCTCCCCATGACTCTCCAGTACAAGAAGAATTCCTATGGTGTCCACCCCTACTACATGGGGCTAGAGGAGGATGGCAGTGCCCATGGAGTGCTCCTGCTGAACAGCAATGCCATGGGTAAGGCCATCCAGCGCCTCCCTTATTTTGGGGGGATACCAGTCATGCCTGAGTCAGTTTAGAATGTGTTTAGCCTAACTGTTCCTTGAAGTCAAAATCTTCATTTTACGGGCACTGCTGTTTATTTTTTCTTTGTGTTTAGCCTTTCTGTTCATTTCAGTCTAATATCATGTGATAAGAAGATTTAACCCAACTCTTATTTTGGTAAAAATCACATAAGAAGGGATAGTAAAACCACATGGGTCCCAAATGTCTTGGAGGTCAGCTCGTGAGAGCCAGTTATAAAATTTGAATTAGGGTAAAACTATGGGTCAGAGAAGTTAGTCTGGGGATTGTGAGGGTGTATGGTATGTTGAAAAGTTACCTATCGGGTACTACGTTTGCTATCTGGATGACAGGATTCATACCCCAAACTTCAGCATCGTGCAATATTCCCATGTAACAAATGTGAACATGTACCTCCTTATCCAAAATAAAAGTTGAAATGTAAACATAATTTTAAGAGTAGAACGACAAAATATAGTAAAATACACCAAAGGAAGCAAACCCAGGAATGGGACATTTAGACTTCCACTGAACTTCTTCAGTTCTATGTGATTATGATAGAAAATACTGGCTCTTACTACTCTACGATAGGGAGGGTGCAGGAAATAGAGAATGTGTGGATTTCAGGGGTGATTCATGACGTGGAAAGTTTCCAGCTTGATTAGCATTTTTCTTCATTTTCAGATGTGACGTTCCAGCCCCTGCCTGCCTTGACATACCGTACCACAGGGGGAGTTCTGGACTTTTATGTGTTCTTGGGGCCAACTCCAGAGCTTGTCACCCAGCAGTACACTGAGGTAGGGAGAAATCCAATTGTTTATCAAGTACTTATATAGCACATTCTGGGTGCCAGAGCCCACATTCATTAGTATAACTCTCAGATGATAACTGGAATTATTGGTATTACTTGGAAAGAGATTATAGAATAAGGAAAAATAAATACATTCTAATCACCATTAAATTTATAGCCTCTGTAAGCATTGCAGAATAGCAGAAGTTACAGTGGTACTAGTGGTGGTGATGGTAGTGATAGTAGTATGGTGGTGGTGGTATTTGTGGTTATATGGTGGTGGTGATGGTGATGATGGTGGTAGGGGATGATGGTGGTGATAGTGATGTGGGAATGGTGATAATGATGGTGGTAGTAGTAGTGGTGTTGGTGATGGTGATGATAGTGGTGGGGGTGGTGTTGATGGGAGTGTTGGTGATGGTGGTGATAGTGGTGGTGATGGTGACGATGATGGGGTGGTGATGGTTGGTGTTTGATAGTGATGGTGGTGGTGGCTATGGTGGTGGTAGTGGTGGTGACAGTGGGGTGGTGTGAAGAATATGGTGGTGGTAGTGGTGGTGATGGTGAAAATAGTGATGATGGTGGTGACCATGGTTGTTGTGGCAGCAGCAGCAAACACTTATGTACTACCTACTGCACATCACTGATTTATTACTTGCTGCATGTTAGAGCACTTTGCACATAGTAACTCATTCAGTCTTCACAAAAGGACTGTGAGGGAGATGCTATTATTATACCCTTATTTACAGATGAAGAAACTGAAGCACTAAGAGATTACTTAATTTTTGCCTAAGGTCTCACAGCTAGCAGGACTGGAGCCTGTATCTAAGCCAGGCATTTTGCCTCTGATTCTGGGTTTCTTAACCAGTTACCTACAGTGTCTCTAGGAATGGAGTGAAATCAGCTTTTCCATAATTTTTAAGAAGGAGCTCAAGTCTAGCAGAAAGCTTTCTCCAAGTATCCTAGTGGCTCTATATCCTGTCAGTTTTGATGTGGAATTCAATTAGTTAGTTGTCTAGCTTGGGGCACAGAAAAATATTCTTATTACTTGATGTAAAACTTCAATCTGGTGTCTCTGTTCTGAGGACTAATATTTTCTGTCTATTTTCTAGTTGATTGGCCGGCCTGTGATGGTACCTTACTGGTCTTTGGGGTTCCAGCTGTGTCGCTATGGCTACCAGAACGACTCTGAGATCTCCAGCTTGTATGATGAGATGGTGGCTGCCCAGATCCCTTATGTACGTTCTCAGTCATGGCTCTGGAGTTTGAAAACTAACCCAGGTGCCTCTGTGTCTGGCTTCATTTGTCTAATGTTTGTGAGATTCTATAAAGACATAATGTTCTTTTTCAGACAATATCACAGTTAGCCTCACCCCAGCACAGTAATAGAGGTAAGGGCCCTTGTTTCCATCTTCTAGAGATGATAGCTCAAGACTTACTGTGATTTCCCAGAGGGGGAGATAAGCTGGCTCCAGGGCTCTTTCTACTATCTCATGCTTCCTTCCATTTCTTTCACATGACTTCAAAACATGTAGTCAAAATGTCCTTGGTTCCATAAGAATAAATAATATCCACAGTTCTTTTACTTAATTCCTGAAAAAAACTAACCCCAAACCATCAGACCATTGTATATGTGGATACGACCTCAGTTCCCGCAGCCCTGGTGCTGTAGCACAGTGTCCCATGAGCTCTGAGCTAATCACTGATGGAATACACGGATCCTGGAATGGGTTCCAGAGGATGTACACATGGAAATAAAGCTTATCCTTCACTGGAGGATGGGAGGGGACCCAGTCATCAGGCAACTGATCCAATGTACCATCGCATATCTAATTGTATTCTACATTTCTCTTGTTTTACAGTAGCTCCATTAGTGGAACATAGCGTTTCCATTAGTGGATAGTGAAATGCAATATTTCATTCTCCAGAAGAATGTAGTGTCTGATTTCCCTCAAGATTGGGTATTCCAAAGCAACTGTACATTGTTGCTTTGTTTTGACTTGTTTTGCAGTAGATTTACCATCCACATTGTATTAGCCCTGGGTAGTTAATATTATTTTTTCTAAGCATGAACCACTGATACCAGGGGCAGCCTCTTGAGGGAGGTCATCACAGTCACTCCTGATAGTGGCAGTTTACAAAGCACTGTCCATTCCAGTGTTCGTATTTATCCTCAGAATAGCCATCTTAGAGAGGCATTCTCATCCTATTTTATGCTGACTTTGATTTTTTTCTATCTTATCACTGAACGTTTGAGAAATTAAGTGAATTTCCCAGCACCTGTACCTAACAAATGGCAGAGCTCGGACTTGAAAGCATCAACAAGAAGCTATCTGGAATTCCACCATGGGTGGTGGAGGCTTGTTCTCCTATAAAGCTTGGGCGTGTACAGCAGCAGCCTCTCAGCTCCCCATGTCCTCCCGCAGGACGTGCAGTACTCAGACATCGACTACATGGAGCGGCAGCTGGACTTCACCCTCAGCCCCAAGTTTGCCGGGTTTCCAGCTCTGATCAATCGCATGAAGGCTGATGGGATGCGGGTCATCCTCATTCTGGTTAGTCCTGATGTGAATGTGTGCGGTCTGTTTGGGAGCAGGTATGGGTTTTGTTGGAGAAAGTGTTATACTTTATTTCCATGTTGCAAGTAGATAAATTGAAGTGTAGTAAGAAATGTGTATTTCCCTGGACTCACAGAAACTCTACAGTTCAGGTAGAAGCCAACAAGTTCGCCCTGGAGGAGTTCTCCTTCATTCTGTTTCTCTTCATTCTGTGGCTTTGATTTTTCCCAACTGACTTATGCTTTGATTTCAGGATCCAGCCATTTCTGGCAATGAGACACAGCCCTATCCTGCCTTCACTCGGGGCGTGGAGGATGACGTCTTCATCAAGTACCCAAATGATGGAGACATTGTCTGGGGAAAGGTATAATCCTAAGCGATGATCCAGTAGTCCCTAGCCTGAGGGTGGGTCACTGTTAGAGGGTCACACGCCTGTGTATGTTATTTTTGGCCTTTTCTATTTGGGCTCTGAGGTCAGAAGCTCTCCTTTTCTCAATCAATATTTGTTGATACAGTTAATAACTTTTAAGTAATATAATGTGTTACGGAATTCACTTCTCTTTTACATCAATCCTACATGATAATCAAAGTATTGCTCCTAGGAACATGGTTTATATAATAATTTCTTTGGAAATACTATGTAAGGGAAATTGTCTAGTGCATCGCTACTGAACATGTTTCTCTCCATAGGTCTGGCCTGATTTTCCTGATGTTGTTGTGAATGGGTCTCTAGACTGGGACAGTCAAGTGGAGGTAAAGGGTCTTTGTAAATTTGGGTGGAGTCAGGGTTTCTAGGAAGGGGCAGCCGTTCCTGGGAATGTGGACATGCCTGTACTGTGGACATGGGCTTGGCAAGGGAGAAACACTTAGGGCATGTGTGTTGGATGTCAGTCTGTGTGCCCATTACTTTATAGGTAGTCATACTTTACTGGCCACTGGGATGTAGACATGTATTATTATCCTTGGGATTTAAGACCAGAGAGCTCAGATGACTTGTCCACGGTTTTAGGTGACAGAGTGTTGATTTCAATTCCAAGGCTGTCAGATTACAAAGGCCCAAGAAATTCCCACTGGGCGATACCTCCTAGCAGTGCCATCTTTTCTCTGAACTGGTATACTTAACTGTTGTTGCCTTGGTTATCCCTTTTAAACAGTCTTCTAACCTCAAAGACTGTTTAGGTCTTTTTTTGGTGTATCTTTTTTTTTTCCATGAACACGTTTCTCCCTTTCCACACTTATAATTCCTCCTCTGAGCCCAATCCTTCCTTGGGTTTCTCAACTTTGCTTTTACCTCTCAGTTTCCAGCCTTACTGTAAAACTTGCTCTCTTCTGGGGATGGTTTGTTGCTTGTAATGGATCCAAGTAGCCCATGCTTCTGTACCTGAATTTTTTTCCAGATTCACTAAGCGTTTCTTGCTTGAATGATACATGGCTCCTTACAGGTCTAGGAAGGCTACGGCCCCATCCTCTGGCCAAGATGTGTGTCTCCTGAACTGAGGCAGCCTGTGTGCTTTACTATCAATTGTTGTGACAGTACCCACAGGCAGGATTCTTAGTGCGGGTCCAAGGGCTTCCTGGAGACCAAGTACCTTGCCCTACCTCTGGAGCTGTTCTTCAATAATGCCTATTCTTTCTGGGCAGGAATTGTAGCAGGGCATGTGTAGCCTATGTGACCCCCACAGAAAAGCTGGGGAGACAAGGAAAAGGCCTCTTTTCTAGAACATCTGCCAGGAATTGAAGGGACAAAGAAGCTGACTTGTGCAGTCAGCAATGCGGTATATGTTGTAGTGTCTAGATACTCTCTCAGGATCAAGTATTAATCAGACAAATATCCATGTTGTGGGCACAAATCCCAGCAGCTGTAATTCTGTTAGCAGCCACTCAGAAGTCCAGGGGCAAAGACCTCTTTTGGGAGTTCTTTCTACGTAATGTAAGATTGTATCCCATGGACAGAGGTGCAGGAGAAACATTGATCACCAGGAATGTGACTGGTGATCACCAGGAATATTGGAGTTAGGCCAAATATTCATGCCTTATCCAGATAAGCTGGTTTTCAGGGCAAGTGGTGAGTCCTAGAGGGAAAGGCAGATATTAGACAGAACCACACAATCTGGAGCCAGGGACTGAGGCCTGGCACAGCTCTGATAGGGTAGGGAGAACAGATGGTACTGCAAACACGTGATGCATACTTCTCTGTTGTCAGTCTCTGGCCTCCTGGATCCCAGAGCCAGTTGGCAGCAGTAGCACTATTGATTTAAAATGAGACACACTTGGCACCAGGCTGCTTGGCTATTGGACTGCATGTCTTTATTTACTGTCAGTAGATGCAGTAAAACAAAACAAACAAAACAGAAGCTGGGGCTGGTTTTGAAGATTGGCAAGAACGAGTCAGACTCAGTTCAAGGCTGTTTTCCTTATGTCTACTACTGAACAAGTATCTATCTATCTATCTATGTATATCCATGTACCCATCTATGTATGTATGTATGTATGTATGTACGTATCTATCTATCTACCTATCTCAGTCTATCATATCTATGTATCTACCGATCAATGTATTAATTCATCCACCCACTCTATCTATCCATCCATCCTCTATCTATCTATCTATCATCTACCTCATCTATCTATATCTATCTATCTATCTATCCACTCTATCTACTCAGGTTATATCTATCTTTCTATCTGTCTGTCTATCTATCTATCTATCTATCTATCTATCTATCTATCTATCCATCCAGCCACCCTATTCATTTATGTCTGTCTGTCTGTCTGTCTGTCTGTCTATCTATCTATCTATCTATCTATCTATCTATCTATCTATCTATCTATCTATCATTCTATCCTATCTATGTACCATCTATCTATCTATCTATCTATCTATCTATCTATCTATCTATCTATCTAATCTATCTCCACCTCTATTCATCCACTCACCCTATCTATCCAAATCCCTCTTCTGTCTATCATTTATCTACCTATTTATATATCATCTATCTCTATGTATGTATGTATGTATGTATGTATGTATGTATCTATCTATCTATCTATCTATCTATCTATCTATCTATACTGTTCAAGGGAGAAGACCTAGCTTCCTGTCCTCTCGTCACCTCTCACAGAGAATCACTTGAAGCTTAGTGGTCCAAGCAGCCCACATGGACACAGGAACCTGCCCAGCCAGAGAAGTTCTGGGTCATGGGCTTCCTGACTTTTATCAAGTAGTCAGTATCAGAACCCCACAGTTCATCAGCCAGTAGGGGCAACACTGCCATCCTGAGGCAATTTGGAAATCTGAGGGCAGTGTTGGTTATCACAGGGACACCAGAGGCATTCAGTGGGCAGTGGGCAGGGATGCCCATAGCTCTGATTTCAGGGAATTCTCCACAAAATATCTCTCACCTCAAACGCCAGTTATACCCCTGATGAGAAACACTTCATTAGGGAGTCACAGAATCTGTTAGCTCATAAGAAATTCTTGGTAGATAGGATAATTATAACTATTGGTTGGTACAAAGGTAATTGTAGTTTTTGCCATTGAAAGTTATTAAAAGTAGGCCGGGCATGGTGGCTCATGCCTGCAATCCCAGCACTTTGGGAGGCTGATCACGAGGTCAGGAGTTCAAGATCAACCTGACCACCATGGTGAAACCCCATCTTTACTAAAAATACAAAAGTTAGCCAGGCGTGGTGGCACGCGCCTGTAATCCCACTTAGGAGGCTGAGGTAGGAGAATCGCTTGAACCCGGGAGGCAGAGGTTGCAGTGAGCCAGGATTGAGCCACTGCACTCCAGCCTGGGTGACACAGCGAGACTCCGTCTCAGAAGAAAAAAAAAGGAAGGAAAGTTATTAAAAGTAATGACAAAAACTTCAATTACCTTTGCACCAACCTAATATTTATATTATTAATAAAGACCCACTCGATGAAGCTGGTGAGGATGAAGCCACTGATGTCCAGGTCTGGCTTTACTGAATATAAAACAAACAGCCAACAGCCCCATGAAAAGCAGATTTCTGAGTCCAAAGCTCCAGCAATTTAATTCAATAAGTCTGATGGGATCTAGGAATTGCATTTTGTAGCATGCAATGTGCCACAAAAAGAGTGCTAGGTGATCCTGAGGCCCAGTGTGTGGGTGGTTATATCACTGTTTGAAGACTGGAGAAAGTGAAGGCAGAAGCCACAAAGGCAAGACTTGAATATGCACAGGTGTAAGGTAGAGCCAGCACGTTGGAGAACGGCAGAACATTTTTATGAAGTTGGAAGGGGTCATCCGAGCAGTACTTAGGGAAGTTCCTACATCATGGCTGGCCAAGTTCACCACGTGTACCCCATATGGGATACAATTCTGACTCAGCTGTGGCTGATAATCTCTTTATTCTAATTCTCCATCCCCCACCCATCCCGTCGTTTCTAACCCTTCCTGATCTGGAGCTCTCTGTTTCTGGTGAAAGATTCTCTTTGTCAGGTTTCCTAGCTTCTACCTCCATTTCCTAACAAAAGGCATCCCTGGCATGCCCACTTCTGTCAAGATTCTCCGTGATGTGACCCACTGTCTTCTCACATCCTTGACAGCCAGACCCATGTAGGCTGGTCTGTTTCTGTTTTCTCATGTTCCTTTTCTTGCCCTTTATGTAGACATATGGGTTCCTACCTGCCTTTTGTCTATTGTGTGTAAGAACTGGAGTTCCCCAGACCAAGTCCTCATTCTGTTGCCTCCCCGAACCTCCTCACCAGCATTCTTTAGCTCTTTAACTCTTACAATGGTGTGATTGTCATAAAGGAGGCTATTTACTGAGACATACAAAGGACCATAATGTTCCGTAACAAGCAACATTTATTTGCTGCTTCGAAGTGGTGTGAACCCACCATTAAACAGTGAGTATATATTTTGTGTCAAGTTCTAAGCTAAGCATTGTGCAAAATATAAATGTCACTCAGATGAATATAAAACAAGCTTCTTGCTCTCAAAAGTCTACAATGTAGTTAAGAAGTTGTATCTGGCTGGGCATGGTGTCTCATGCCTGTTATCCTATCACTTTGGGAGGCTGAGGTGTGTGGATCACTTTAGGTCAGGAATTTGAGACCAGCCTGAACAACATGAGGAAACTACGTCTCTACTAGAAATACAAAAATTAGCCAGGTGTAGTGGTGTGTGCCTGTAATCCCAGCTACTCAGGAGGCTGAGGCAAAAGAATCGCGAGAACCTGGAAGGCAGAGGTTTCAGTGAGCCGAGGTAGCACCACTGCACTCTAGCCTGGGTGGGTGACAGAGCAAGACTCTGTCTCAAAAAAAAAAAAAAAGAAGTTGTACCTTTAACCCATCTTGCAGGTTAAAACAAAAACACACCTGTTATTATCTGAAGAAAGATGAAAATAAGGGGAAGTTGAAATGTCCTCTTTAAGTCCTCTCAATTTATCTTCCACACAGCTGTAGTTGTCATGTGATTCTGAAATTGTAGAAAACACTGAGGTGTACTGGTCTTATATCCTGAAATGTAATCTTATTCCTTCCTCCCCTCTCGCAGTGGGAATGACATAGGAGGGAGTCCCTGGGTGTTTCTTCCTAACCTATTACCATGCATCTCATGTCTGCAGTCTCTCCCTGGCTTTGTCTTTGAGGAGTGCATAGGAAATGGCAGGACTGACATTGAGGGTTGGGCATCGAATGCATGAGGTCACTAGTTCGGGTCATTGATTGTCATCATCCATGTATATATGAAGAGAACAGTTTTTGGATGTTTTCCAAATGCCGGGAAGGTGTGCAAATTGCACTAATTTCTCCTCTCATTCTACATTTCTCTAATAAGTTAATAACATTATTTAGGCCCTGTTCAGGCCGTCTGTCACCATGCAGTTGAAGTATTTGTGCGAGTTGCATTCTCAGTAAGTGCCTGTTTGCTGTCTTCTATATTTGTGTGGGACAAAGAAATTATATTTCTTTTTTATAGCTATATCGAGCTTATGTGGCCTTCCCAGACTTTTTCCGTAATTCAACTGCCAAGTGGTGGAAGAGGGAAATAGAAGAACTATACAACAATCCACAGAATCCAGAGAGGAGCTTGAAGTTTGATGGCATGTGGATTGTAAGTGTGTGTGTGTCTCTGTGTACCAGTGACACTTGTCTATCTTTGTGTGCCTACGTGTATGTACCACTGACCTTCAGTCAAGAGGATAGTCATTGTCCAAGGAAGACTTTGGACATATCAGACACTTCCTCCTCTCAGGAGAGGAACAGCCCTGATAGCCCTCACACCTTCTACCAGACCTGACATTACTACTATAAAACCTCTGAGGCAATTGACTAGGAATTTCTTGGAACTTTCACTGCCTCACGCCCACCTTGAGAGAGATTTTTTTTTAACCCTCTAGCCAGTTGTTCTGTAGGGGTGAATTCATCTTTCTAGCCAGTTCTCACCAGGATTTGATGAAGCTCCCAGGGCTGGCATCTATAGGGATTACTGGATGTTGAACAATGTATTCACTGCTTCCTTGGCTCAGAATTGGCAGGACGTAATTATCTTAAAAAGTGAGGTATGTCTGTGTTTGGCATTTCTAGGATATGAATGAACCATCAAGCTTCGTGAATGGGGCAGTTTCTCCAGGCTGCAGGGATGCCTCTCTGAACCACCCTCCCTACATGCCGTGTAAGAATCCTTGGCCTTCTTGATTGGCAGAGCCATGATTGAAAGAAGGATTACACTGGAGGAGCCCGAGGCCAGGGGTGGCCGCACAGCTCAGGGCACATCCTCATGGCTGCTGTGGTTTACTGGGGACCAGAGACAAAAGCTCTGCACGCGCTTTACCCAGCTGGGCATGTGCAAGTGACTAGACTCATTGCACAAATTTTTTGAATTTGTCTAGAAAACACTTACGAGTGGTCATGCCACCAAAGGGTTCTCACAGCTAGGCTTGTTAGTTTTTTAGGCTTATGTGAATTCCATCACAGGAATTTTTTGGTGTCATCAATGGGTGGAAATTATTGGCTTGCCTTTATTGTGGAGCTGATGGACTTTGGAGTTACACTTGGGTTCATATCTTGGTTCCAGAAATTGTTCTCTCTAGGAGTTTTGTGACTTTTCACAGATTATGCGATATGTCCAAATCTCAGTCTGCTAAACTGTAAAAGACAGGTAATGAGATCTTCTTCATAGAATTATGGAAATAATTGGCAAGTCAAAAGCCTAAATAAGAGCCTGTCATATAGTGTTTGACAGCTGTACATTCTTCCTGACACCTCTGCTTTCTTCAGTGAACTTGATGTTGGAAACACTGGAGCCGCCGTTGCAGCTCAGAGCTGGGGGCGCTGTGCTCATGTCTCTGGGAAGACGGAGAGTGACACAGGCAGGACTGAAGTTAGTCTTAAGATCCAGGGCCCAGTCCCTTGAAGAGAAGTCAGGGAGAAACAGAATCAGGGCTGGATTTCACCTCACCAGTTCTTCCTCCTCAGATTTGGAGTCCAGGGACAGGGGCCTGAGCAGCAAGACCCTGTGCATGGAGAGTCAGCAGATCCTCCCAGACGGCTCCCCGGTGCAGCACTACAATGTGCACAACCTGTACGGGTGGTCCCAGACCAGACCCACATACGAGTGAGTCTCTGTCTCCCTTCTCCAGCTGTCACAACCTGTAGGGATTGCCAGTGACTGACATAGCTACCCTACTTTTCTTTTCATTCCCATTCTAAGGGTTAAGAAGATTCTCATGACAACTGTGTAATGATTCTTATTAGATAAACACTTAGTGACATGGAGCCAGGCCCTGTGATTAAAAGGAGGAGGACAGATTTAAATAAGGCATGGTCCCACCAGTGAAAAGCTTAATGATCCTAGTGGGAAAGACTCACATGGAGACATCATAATGATCACAGAGGGCAGCCGGTGGTACAACAGCTTCAGTTACAGGAGGTGAAGGGAACACAGAGGACTGGGCATCTCTCCCCTTTATTTCAAAGTGAATCATCTTTGGAGTTCTTTTTTGTTTTTCACCATTCTTGGTGGAGGCTAATTGGTATTCCACTGAATTAGCACAGTCCTGCTTTGTAAGCTCAATTAATAGTGTGAATTCTTCTAAGGACGATCTTATAATCTTCACTGTGTTCCTCCTCAAATATAGAAAACTAAGTTTTGGGGAAACCAATAGCAAGATTTAGTAATTCCTTACTATTTTTGGGGCACTCCAGTGAGTTTGCTACAGTGAAGTTCTTTGTAAAGCACTGTGAGAACACGTGACTCGTTATCTCCATCATCTGGGATCAGTGGAGCCCCCATTACAGCTCAGAGTCCCGTGTTCCCTCCAATCACGCAGCAAACATTGACTAGGCTCAAGGGCTCTGGGAGCAGATGCTCTATGGCCTTTGCTTCCTGGCGGTGCCCTCAGTTCACCTCCTTTTCCCCTCCAACCAGAGCCGTGCAGGAGGTGACAGGACAGCGAGGGGTCGTCATCACCCGCTCCACATTTCCCTCTTCTGGCCGCTGGGCAGGACATTGGCTGGGAGACAACACAGCCGCGTGGGATCAGCTGAAGAAGTCTATCATTGGTGCGTGGGTCCTTCCCAGGGCCTGTGCCGGTAGGGCAGGGAGTTGGGATCCTTGGGGAAGAGGTGAGGAGGCAGGTCGTGAGAGCGAGCCTGGTGTGACACAGCTGTGCTTCTCGTTGCAGGCATGATGGAGTTCAGCCTCTTCGGCATATCCTATGTGAGTGTCCTTGGGATCCTCCTAAGCACCAAGAAGGTGGGGACATCTTTCAGAAATCATCAGCAGGCTCCTTTTATTTCCTCTTGTTTCAGACGGGAGCAGATATCTGTGGGTTCTTTCAAGATGCTGAATATGAGATGTGTGTTCGCTGGATGCAGCTGGGGGCCTTTTACCCCTTCTCAAGAAACCACAACACCATTGGGACCAGGGTAGGACAGTGGCCCCTACCTCCAGTGTTTCACTTGAAACACAGCCTCCATTTCTGACCTAAAGTTAATGCAGTCTGTATTTCCTGTGATATCTTTAAAATTTTTTTTTTTTTTCTTTTGAGACAAAGACTCATTCTATTGCCTAAGCTGGATCTTGCAGTGTCCCAATCATGGCTGACTGCAGCCTTGACCTCTGGGGCTCAAGCGACTCACCTACCTCAGCCTCTTGAATAGCTGGGACTACAGGCACATACCAACGTGCCCAGCTAATTTTTGTGTTTTGTAGAGATGGGATCTTGCCATATTTCCCAAGCTTGTCTCGAACTCGTGGCCTCAGTCCCCGAAAGTGCTGGGATTACAGGCGTGAGCCACTGCACCCTTATAAATTGTTAAGCCCATGGGTCTCAGTGAGCCATATTCCTCAGTGTTCTTTAGGTTATTATTATGTTTTGTTCTTCTTGTTTGGGCAGAATTGTAAAAAATATACCAAAAAGAATGTCTTACAGTGAAATTTCATCAGCTGTCCTAGGAGAGCATCAGTGAACTTTTCCAGTCTATTAAGAATATTCTCTGGGCCTCATGTGTAGTTTTCTTTTGTTTAGCTGTGAGTGATCTTCAATTGGAGTATGCTTTCAGTGACCTTCTTAAATCCCCTAGAAATTCCAGGGCAAGCTCCCAACACTGTTCTCTTTCTCCTTTAGAGACAAGACCCTGTGTCCTGGGATGTTGCTTTTGTGAATATTTCCAGAACTGTCCTGCAGACCAGATACACCCTGTTGCCATATCTGTATACCTTGATGCATAAGGCCCACACGGAGGGCGTCACTGTTGTGCGGCCTCTGCTCCATGAGTGAGTGTCCAGCAGGGATCCCAATGCCTAATGGATGACTTATTGCATTCTATATGGTGACAGTTGAATTCTTCCAAATTAAAGACATGATTGCCTTTTGACATGAGCTCTTCAGGTGCAGACCATACTTTATTACTCTCTTTAGCACAGTGCTATACATGCCTTAGGTCATTAATAAAAGGTTATTGATTGAATGAGCAAAACTGAAATGATGCAGTATAGCATAGAATAATTTCTTTCTAATTTGGCTGTGCAAAGGCCTATCTATCTTTTGTAGCAGTTTGGTTATATGTAGCCAGATCACAGGAGAAGGATTTCAGGAAGAGATTTGAGGGAAAAGGGCCATCCTTGCATTTGAAGTTTGCCATGGTTGAGAAATGGGGCAAGTATTTTACAAGAGAGAATACATCTACATCCCAGCATTTCTGAAGTTTGAGGCACATCCCATGGGGAAAGCAGAGGCTGGGTGCTCCTGATGAAGCTAGGCCTAGGAAAAAGGCAAGGATGGCTCAGGGGCAGCTGTATTTCCGACTTGGATCTGAACTTGAGGAGCTTCTTCAGAGTGTCGGGCTGGGGCTCTGTTGGGCTCTGTTGGGCACCTTCATTTCCCTTTCCAGGTTTGTGTCAGACCAGGTGACATGGGACATAGACAGTCAGTTCCTGCTGGGCCCAGCCTTCCTGGTCAGCCCTGTCCTGGAGCGTGTGAGTATGGAGGCCTCCGATGAGGGGAGGATCCCAGCTGTGAGGCTTGGGGAAAAGGACGAGGAGAAGAGGCCTGAGCTGGTGGGGGTCCTAAGACATGGTTTCTTATTCTACCTGTGTCTCTTCCTCTCTTTCTGAGCTGAAGTCCATCACTTAGGTGTTCTTGGCCTCAGCTCCTTCATCTTTAAAATGAGCCTAACAATTCTGGTTCATAGGATGATCAAGAAGAAAACACCTCATGGTATATTCAATGACACAATCGTTTCTTCGTTAACTAAAATAAGGAATAGAAGATCAGATGGGGGCAGTATTGTAAAGAATTCATAACAGTCCTCTAGCACTATTACAACTTTTCAGAAGGATTGCTTGGCAATGTGTGTGTACTTGTATTGCTGCTGGCTAACCCTTCCCTTCCTCTGCAGGAGCTCCTCCCAGCAGTAAAAGCCATTTCTTTACTTCTATTGTTGATTAGGCTTCTGATTAAAATACCAGTTAATTGCACCTTCCCAAAATCTTTTTTTTTTTTTTTTTGAGACAGAGTCTCACTCTGTCATCCAGGCTGGAGTGCAGTGGTGCTATGTCAGCTCAGTGCAACCTCTGCCTCCCAGGTTCAAGTGATTCTCCTGCCTCAACCTGCCGAGTAGCTAGGACTACAGGCACGTGCCACCAGGCCCGGCCAATTTAAATTTTTTTTTTTATTTTTAGTAGAAACAGCATTCCACCATGTTAGTCAGGATGGTCTTGATCTCCTGACCTCATGATCCGCCTGACTCGGCCTCCCAAAGTGCTGAGATGACAGACGTGAGCCACCGTGTCCAGCCCGCAAATCTTATGGTACCCACAGAATTTTTTTCTGCCCCAGACACAACCTCAGTTGTTTGTCTCTTTAAGAGGGAATGGCGTAAGCCTATTTCTATAAGCAAATAGTGAATTTTTTTTTTTCCCGAAGTCCTGGGTACCAAAGTGCTTTATGAAAGCCACTTGTTTTGGGGTAGACAGATCTCTCCTGTTTGAAAAAGGAAAAGGGATGGAAGGTTTCCTCAATAGGTGACCTCCTGGGACATGAGGCAAGTGGGCCCAAGGCCATCACAATTATTTAACCTCTTTCCTAAGTATTTTGGTTTCTCTGTCCTGGAAAATGGTGCCACTGCCACACCTTGTTTATGTTTCATTTTAGAATGCCAGAAATGTCACTGCATATTTCCCTAGAGCCCGCTGGTATGATTACTACACGGTAAGTTTTTCTGAATGTTTATACAACACGGGAAAATGGTAGAGAGTACAAAGGCTTTAGATCTGATAGACCTTAGGTCAAATGCTGGCTCTGTAACCCACCTGCTGTGTGGTCTTAGAGAAGCCACTTTAACCCTTGTAACCTCGGTTTTCTCACCTCCAAGTGGAGTAAGACCACTTCCCTCATAGAACTGTTGTGAAATGACACATAAAGCATCTCACTCAGGTTTTTCGTGGGTGTTCTCTTTGTGTTAATTTTTAATATTTTCTTATATCACTGCTATTTACAATGTTTTGTAAAGGCAGATGCTTTTGAGATTGTGTTGCAAACTATAGTTTTTGTTTTTAATGTTTATATCTTTACCTGCTGTAAGTTTGTAAGCATAGAGGCCTTTTTGTCTCTGTCTTTTTATTAAATATCTCCTTCCATAGCATAGATGCTCAAAGAAGGGCACTGCACATAATTACCTAAGGTAAGCAAGTGATTAGGCAATGTGCAAAACACACACAGAGGTATGGGACCCAACCCTTGTGAGTCTAAGCAGTGCAAGTGCATTTAGAAATGAGGAAGCAATGAAGAGCTCCTTGCCGCATAGTTTCTGTGCTATTATGTTCCCCAAAGACTTATCTGGGAAGCCAGGGTCTTCCCGGGCAGCTCTGGGGTGGTGGGCTCTTGCTGGGACCCTGACAAGTCAGACCCTGATTCTTGGGGAAGAATCAAAGAAGGCATTTCCTTGGTCTCTAATGGGGCCTCTTCTGACTTTCTGAGGAGAACATCGTTGAGGGCTGGAAATACAGCAAAGGGGTACAAGCAGGGATACAGGAAGCAGAGCATGTGCTGGCCCCTTTCATCCAAGGGGATTGCAGTGAGATTAGGTGAAAACTGGAGAAGGATGTGCATTTTGTTCCTTCTCTTCTCAGTCCATTGGAGCCCAAGTCCTCTCCACAGCCCCAGACTCCTCTTCCTGCTGCTAGTCTGGATCTGCCCTTAGGGTGGTAACATGTTAAGGCTCTGCTATGTGTGTCCCAGCCAGGCGTTTCCCAGGAAGAGGTGGCCAGCTTTCTTTACGTGAGACTGGCCTTTGTCCTGAGTGTGCATGTTGAGTCTCCCATTCACTAACAGAAGATGTCTTTGGTTGAAGAGGAAAAGACAAAAGAAATCATGGAGCAAGCTATTTAGAAAAAGATGAAATTTTGATGTTTAATTAAAATGAAGATGAATTTCATAGTTAATATTAATGAAGAAGTGTCACCTTAATTAATCTTCCCAAGTTTGGGTAACTATTACTCATTCTAGAGCACAAGCTGGCAAAAACTATGGCCCACAGCCAAATCTGGTTGTTAGCTGATTTGCAAATAAAGTTTTATTGGAACACAGCCATGCATATTTGTTCGCTTGTTGTCAACAATAACTGCTTCTTACCTGTAAAGTAGCAGCTCTGAAATGAGAGGATTTTGCCTACCAGGGGACATTTGGCAATGCCTGGAGATATTTTTGGTTGTCACAACAGAGTGGGGGTGAGGAGGTGATGCGGCTGACATCCGAGGATTCTGCTAAATATCAAAAGGCACAGGATAGCCCCATCGCCAGAGAATTGTCTGGCCCCAAATCTCAATAGTGCTGAGACTGAAAAGCCCTGCTCTAGTTGAGAACATGTAGGATGGAAGCATGGTCCCTTAGGTTCTGATACAGGTGAGAGAGTAGCACCTCTTCCTGTCACACATCAGGCAAATGTAGTTTGTACAGTGGAAGCAAAGGCAAGAGACCCTAACAAGATATTATAGCAGCCTTGCAAGATTTCTTGCAGCACTGGGTGAATGCAGAATGGGTAATGGCAGGTATGTTGCAAAGGGTGATGAGCAGGCATAAGTTCAGAAGGGAGGATGAGATGTCTGGCAGGATGCATTGTTCAGGGAGGGGCCTGTCCTCTCCTTAGTCATCTCTTACCTTCTTCTGCCTCCAGGGTGTGGATATTAATGCAAGAGGAGAGTGGAAGACCTTGCCAGCCCCTCTTGACCACATTAATCTTCATGTCCGTGGGGGCTACATCCTGCCCTGGCAAGAGCCTGCACTGAACACCCACTTAAGGTAAGTGACAGGACTCAGGTTTTCCTTTACATGTCAGTTAGCTCAACAATTTGTAATGAAGTCCACCAAAATGTAAGCATCACTCTCAAACCCACATGCAATTCTACTCAACACTTGTTTTTTCTTTGTTTGCTTGTTTGTATTTTAACCTTTTTCAGACTCTATACTCTTCGACTAATTATTAACAGCTCTTTTATGTCTAAGTGGGTGAGTTGATAGGTCTAAGAGTGTCATCTTTCAATCTCACAATTGAAATGGAAGTCAAAATAGGAGCCACCACGATTCATAATAGTTTTAGTATACTATTGGGTCTGATTGAATATTTCCTAATAAAACTATTGCTGAAAAATTGTTTATTCCTCTACAAGATGTTAAAATTCTAGATCAAAGTCTATGTATAAATTAACCATAGCTAACATCCAGTGAGTGCTTGCCCTGTGCCTAGAACTATATGAATATGGGCATTTCCATGTGGAAATTATCTATTTTTTCTTAGCAAAAGGAAAACATAAATTCTGTGAGGTTAGTACTGTTACCACCATTTCATAGATGAGCAAAAAGGCTAAGTGATTTGCTCAGAGTCACACAGCTACTAAGTACATGAATGCGGACTAAAATTCACATCTCTCTGGTATCAATACTAACATTCTTAGACTCCCTATTCATTTGATTCTAAAGATTTAAATAAAAATGAAGAACTTAGGACATTTGAAAATAGAACTCCCTGTATATGTTTCAGATATTAGGTCACGAAAACAGATTTTCAGCATCAGGATTTTCCTTTCAAAAGGAAAAGAAAGAACCCAGTTAGTCTGGTTGTCATTATTTTAAGAGCCTTAAAGCAGAATCCTCTTGATTCATTCACTAATTCATTTGTTCATGATATGAAGTCATAGAGCCAGACAGAGACAGAATTAGAACTAAGACACAAGTCTCTTGAATTCTAGTATGCAGTCTTTATCCCCCAAAGCACTTCCCTTTGCTGCTTTATGTTTGTATGTAAAGTCTTGGTTTGTGGCTGTGGCTTTACTTTTAGCTAATGCCTCTCTGCCTGCTCACTGCAGCCGCCAGAAATTCATGGGCTTCAAAATTGCCTTGGATGATGAAGGAACTGCTGGGGGCTGGCTCTTCTGGGATGATGGGCAAAGCATTGGTGAGTAGAGGTTGCCTGAGATTCATGCTGATGGCACTGACTACATTCCTGGATTATCTTACAGGCCTGCTTTCACCTTTTCCCTATTATAACAATTTTGCATTTTAAAATATAATCATTTGTTAATTCAAGGGTATAATCCATATTGGACATGATCTTTATTCCTCATGTAAATGAAGCTCAGTTCTGAATCACCTCCCATTATGCAACCTTTGTAATCCACTATAGAAGGTAGCAATATGGGAGCCATGGGGAAAGTTTATTTGTAGCCAGCGGAGATAAACTTTCATAGGATTTATGGTCAAGGACACATTCCCGAATTACATGGTTTACTGTCCCAGTAAGAGGGGTAATACCTCTATCCGTTGTATTATTTATGGGATATTTTCTATTAGGAGTTTATAGGAATTGGTAAACTCTCAGGAGGATTGCTCAAGAAATTATTAGCTATTTCTAGACAAGTGCTATCCAATAGAACTTTCTGCAGTGATGACAATGTTCTATATCTTCTGCTGTTCAATATTGTATCTAGTAGGCATATGAGGCTATCGAGCATTTGAAATGTGTGACAAGTGCATCTGAAGAATTATATTTTTAATTTTATTCAATCTTAACAAGCTTAAATTTAAACGTGTTACATTTTACTAGTGACTGCTATCTTAGACAGCACAGTTCTAAGGGATAGCCAGTGGCAACTGACTGAGTGGTGAGTCATTTAGAAAAGGGCCAGCACAGTCGAGCTCAGTGCCTCACGCCTGTAATCCCAGCACTTTGAGAGGCCGAGGCAGCCGGATCACCTGAGGTTGGGAGTTCGAGATCAGCCTGACCAACATGCAGAAACCCCCTCTCTACTAAAAATACAAAAAAATTAGCTGGGCATGGTGGCACATGCCTGTAATCCCAGCTACTTGGGAGGCTGAGGTAGGAGAATTGCTTGTACCCGGGAGGCGGAGGTTGCAGTGAGCCGAGATCATGCCATTGCACTCCAGCCTGGGCAACAAGAGCGAAACTCTGTCTCAAAAAAAAAAAAGAAAGAAAGAAAGAAAAGAAAAGTGAAAGAAAAAGAAAGGGGCCAGCACACAGGAAAGAGTGTGACAGCCACGAGGGCAGGGTGTAGGATGGGAATACTTGAAACCAAGCTATTGACTAGTTCACCTTCACCGGCTGTGCTGAACTTCATATTCTTCCTAGGCCTGTGGCACACATTTAGGATAAAGGACAAAGAAGGCTTTTCTTTGATCATCTTTGTTCTCTGGAGATCACATTTTTAAATTTGCCTAATACCTCAAGATAAACCCACCAAGACACCAGTGTTGGTGTTTGCATATGTATATGCATATAAATGTGTGTGTGGAGATGTGTACATACAGCAAAAGAAACCTGGAAATTCTGAGCTGGTTAGGAAGATGCTGGGATGGTAGACCACAAGGAAGAGAAGTGACTTAAAAATGGTGTCAGGAAACTGTGTTATATGAAGTGACTCTGTCAGACAGATGTGTCTATACACATTCATTTCAAGCATTTTGTGTAAACTGAGTGTGGGTGCAGGGTTTGATTAGTCTCCATAAAGAGCACTTACATTTTAAAATAGAACACTCAAAAGACAGAAATAAAAACAAAGATAAGCCTTACTCTCTCAAACAAGACAAGTAGGCAATTAGAACAGCATTTATATATTCTATAGCATAGAGTTCTACAGCACAGGTCCAGGCCATGTTTATCTTGTTTTTTGTTTGCAGATACCTATGGGAAAGGACTCTATTACTTGGCCAGCTTTTCTGCCAGCCAGGTGAGTGTGATTGATATGAAGTGAGAATAGGGTTCCACTGGCTTAGGAGGGTGCTGAATATCGTAAGGGCATAAAATACCACCTAGAATTTCTTCATTGCTCATCTTGCTAATTCACATTCTTCTACTTCTCTAGACTTCCGGTGGAAATTTACTATGCTCCCAGGAGGCTTTCTGCAATTAAACCTATCCACATCTCATCAGTAATGATCATTATTCTAGTTTACCATGTTACAGGTGGACGGGCAGTTTCTGTTATCTAGCCCTTGTTCCTGAGTTGCCTTGGAATGGTCTGCACATTTTGGGATTCCTCCACCTGTAGAATATAAGTATCTTAACAGCTGAGACTTTTTGTCTCCTGTAGAGTTCAGGGCAGTGCGAAAGACCCTGTAGCTGCTTGTCAATGCAAAGTGGATGGGAGTTGGCAATAGGCCATAGAGTGATGAAATCATGATTTCCATGATCCAAAGTTACAAGATGGTGACTCTGAAGTTGTCTTACTTTATGACCTACATTTGTGCCTAAAAAGAGGTTAGAAAAATTTGAACTAATTCTGCTATTATATTTTTCTTTTATCTCCAATTCAACAGAATACGATGCAAAGCCATATAATTTTCAACAATTACATCACTGGTACAAATCCTTTGAAACTGGGCTACATTGAAATCTGGGGAGTGGGCAGTGTCCCCGTTACCAGTGTCAGCATCTCTGTGAGTGGCATGGTCATAACACCCTCCTTCAACAATGACCCCACGACACAGGTTTGTGACCAGCAAAAAGTGCGAATGGTATTCTCCACCCTTAATATGCCTAGTGCAGTGCCTGACTGCTTCCCTTCCAAATGATGCCCTCTCCTGCCAGGCCCTCCGGGAATCCCTGAGTTTTCCATGTGTTAGGAATGGACCACGTGGAGATGAATGAAAAATCATGGTTTATCATCATTTGGAATCCATGGCCTGGATTCTTACTTTCCATGTTTGTCTTCTTGTCTGCAAACCTATGTAAAACTTTGTCTTGACTCCCTCACCTCTGCCTCAGAGATCAACTTCCCAAACAGGTTGGAACTATCATATTTTATCAAATATGATACCATCAGTGAAAATTGCTTCATTATTTCATGTGCCACAAAGAAAGAAAAAAGGATGACAAAACTATGATAGAATGCTTCCTTATCACTCAATTTTTTTTTTTTTTTTGAGACGGAGTCTCACTCTGTTGCCCAGGCTGGAGTGCAGTGGCATGTGATCTCAGCTCACTGCAAGCTCTGCCTCCCAGGTTCATGCCATTCTTCTGCCTCCCAAGTAGCTGTGACTGCAGGCGTCTGCCACTATGCCCGGCTAATTTTTTGTATTTTTAGTAGAGACAGGTTTTCACTGTGTTAGCCAGGATGGTCTCGATCTCCTGACCCTGTGATCCGCCTGCCTTGGCCTCCCAAAGTGCTGAGATTACAGGCGTGAGCCACTGTGCCCAGCCTCAGATTTTTATAATAAACTTATAGAAAGTTTTTGAAACTTCTTTAGCCATAAAGTTTTACCTATATATTTCAATATTGTAAGTGATAATATGGAGGAAAATGTTGAGTGGAGATACATTGATGATTCTGCCTCAACGTAATTTAAAAGAGGTAGACCCTAAATGTGAAGAAGCACTAGAAATAGCTTAACCAACTTGTATCGTATTTAAATTGTACTATTTAAATTCATATTAAACTGTTTTATTATTTAGTTTATTGTATTTATTATTATTTAGAAGAAAAATATGTGTTACAAATTGGTTAAGATATTTCCTCTGTACTGCAAAAGGTGTTGGTGATTCAGCATTTTATAAAAATTCTTCCACTAGTGTCTATGAAGTTTTTTTCCTGAGCCACTAACACACTTTATATACATTTTCATCCTAGTGCTTTCTTGATCTTACTAAATATTCCTTCCTGTAATAATCCTTAAATGTTTTCAGCCCATCCATTCATAACACAGTAATAGCAATGAAGCTTACACAGGCACAGACAATAACAATTATGCCATGAGTGCTGCTTGGCTCACAGTAATTCTATGGTTGTCGATTACAAGACACGCTCTTGTCAGATGAATGTTAAATATGTGAAAAATCTGTACCTTGGGATTAATGCTGTGTAGTGGTCCTGACACTTATCATCCCGATGGTAAATGAAACTTTCTTCCTTGTGTGCTTACTTATTATTTTTTTTCCTGAACTTTTTTCTTTCATAATCCTTCCTGATGATTAAGCCTGAAACAAAAGTTTTCTTTCAGTTTTGCATTCTTTACAGTTATTTCCTCATACTTGTGGTTTTCTTGTCAACAACTTCCCCAACTATACCATAAAGGACTTTGCCCAATCCTGTTGCTGACCAGCTCAGGGACAGACATGCAAGCTGATGAGGGCACATGCAGTGAAAGCTTCTTGACAGCATCTGCCTAGGAAGAAGCAGGAATAGTGGACTCTTGCTGGGCAAACACTGGGGTGCTATAGTGGAATAGGAGAAGGAGGAAACAGAAGGATGGTGCCAAGGAAAATCAACACCTCAGTAGAATGGAAAAGAGGGCATTCTCTCCAGTTTGTGCAGTTGTTTCTCTTCAGCGGTTGCATATTGAACATTTTTTTTTTTTTTGACTGAGTCTCACTCTGTTGCCTAGGCTGAAGTACACTGGTGCAATCTTAGCTCACTGCAGTCTCCGCCTCCCAAGTTCAAGTGATTCTCCTGGCTTAGCCTCCCTAGTAGCTGGGATTACAGGCACCTGCCACCACGCCTGGCTAATTTTTGTATTTTTATTAGAGCTGGGGTTTCACCATGTTGGCCAGGCTGGTCTCAAACTCCTGACCTCAAATGATCCACCCACCTGGGCCTCCCGGAGTGTTGGGATTACCGGCGTGAGCCACCGCACCCGGCCCATATTGAATTATTTAAAGGCCCATCTCTACCACTGAATAATCTTTGTACTCTAAAAAATTAGAAAACACCCTTCTCATCTGAAACTTTGAAGGCAGTCTTTTAACTAGACAATACAATGTAGAAGTATTAGGGGGTTATTTGGACTGGATACTTGCACCTGATTTATTTGCATGCAGGAAATTTCAACACCGGATGCCCAATTCTTTTC
This sequence comes from Homo sapiens, assembly GCF_000001405.40. NCBI lineage: Eukaryota > Metazoa > Chordata > Mammalia > Primates > Hominidae > Homo > Homo sapiens. The sequence goes on from NT_187562.1 coordinate 67,678, forward strand.
CTTTGGTTCCTAACAGGTATTAAGCATCGATGTGACTGACAGAAACATCAGCCTACATAATTTTACTTCATTGACGTGGATAAGCACTCTGTGAATTTTTACAGCAAGATTCTAACTAACTATGAATGACTTTGAAACTACTTATACTTCATACTCATAAAAATTATTGTGTGTTGCTAATTTGTTCATACCCACTATTGGTGAAATATTTCTGTTAATTTTGTTATATGTTTTTTGTGTGAACCCTAAAGGTTAAACCTTAGCCCTGTGGGATAGGCAGTTAGGGAGGTGTGGAAAATCTATGCATTACCTTAATGTCTCTGTGTGGTTAGTATGGTAGTGACTGTTCATCATATGACATTTACTGAAGATGAACTGGGTCCATGATGAAGTGTGTGTATGTCCACGTTTGTAATCATAGAATGGACCCCATTCTTTTGTTAAATACACAAGAGAAAGCTTTCTGTGACAGTTCCAGGTCTTGAAGCTAATCAGCATCTCAAGAAAGTATCCAGAAAGAACATCTGCTAGTTGGTTATAGGCGGTGGGAGGAATAATATACCTAATTGGTTATAGGTGGGGGGAGCATGATAAGCAAAGAAAAGGCAAACACAAGGAAAGATCAGATGAAACAGAAGATGATAGTAAAAGTGATCCTAAGTAAGAACATAATGTAAAATTGTCAGCAGCCTCATGGGGAGGAAAAAGGAAGAGTCAACTCACTTGAAGAAGAGGGTCTTGAGAAATCCTTAGCATAAAGGGCTACTGGTGAGATTGAGATCTGAGCAGGCAAAGCTCAAAAGAGAGTTTGGAGGTTAAAAATAATTTATTTTTGCAGTAGTGTGCTTTGAAATGTGTAAATCTTATTTCTAATGTATACAACCACATTTCACATAAAAATATGCAATTTATATGCCAGATAAAAATAAAACAAGTGAATTTGCAAGTGATTTTGAATTTTGTGCTATTTTGACCATGAGTAATCTCTGTTTGGGGTTAAGGTTCTTGTTTAGCAAACTCTTATGAATTTGTCTTTCTGGTTCTCTTCGGCATCACAGAACCTACAGCCAAATCCACCAATAGGATGATAACCTTTATAATTATCCTTTTTCTTACATCTCTGCAAGGAGTCTTTTATAAGATGTGGGTTTGTGGAAGGGTCTATTGATTACTATTTTAATCATCATAGCAGTTGCTATATTTAGGAAAATACCAACTCCAGTAAAAATAGGAGTTGCAACCTTCTTGCTTAAAATTCTATAGGGTTAAAATGTGAGATAAGGAAATTATATATTAATGTTCAACAGGAATATTAACTTTTGATGTTACCTGAAAATGAGTTGAAAATGAATGTGTGTGGAATGAATGAACCTACTTCTCTGTGTTTTCTTCTTTTCTTATAACCAGGAAGCCATTCATTCTCCCTGCACACTCATGTGTCAGCACCTGCATAAGGCTAGAGACAAACAATATTGTTAAATCATCTAATTATCACAATACGGGGCATTTGGATGAGGGCCTGAGCTAACTAGGAAACTGGTGAAATATGGAAAAGCAGCCATGGGAATCCTTTGATCAAAAAGGTGGGAAACTTGTCAGCTTTCCTCTAACAAACTCAGGAAGGCCACAAAGATGAAAACGTTATTTACTTGATATTTAAAAAATATTTAATGTTACCATCAAGGATATGTTGGTGGAATTTGGCTCTGGCTGCCACAGAATGCTTAAGGAGAGGCATTCTGACTATATAATTCTGATGGCTAAGGCCCTAGTGAGGCCAGTGGGGTTTTGGAGCACACGAAGTGTCAGGGACCCCACTGACAGCCTAGTGAAACCTACGGAATTCTTCCTCACAACATTGTTTTTAAATGCATCAAGCAAAATGCATGCTATTTCAAAGAAAACTTATCATATTACGATACACTTATCCAAATATTAAAGATGATATAGTAACCCATGAGATGTGTTTTTTTCATTATCAAATTAAATGAAAAGATCCAACAGTGGAAGTAACAATGCTATAATTTCAATGTAATGATCAACATCAACAATATTTTGAGATATCCACTACAATTTCATAATGTAATATGGAAAGATCTGTGATTGCATTATTGACAAACTCATGTGCTATGAAAACTACTGTGTTTTGTTGTCTACATTCATAACCTAACAAAATGCTAAATTTCAGCCAGAAATGTGTGAAAAAGAGATTATCTGTTGGAACCAATATGGCTTACCGGAGTTAACGCAGAAAGAGCTTGCTGACGTCACAGCCTGAATTTCCACCACAGGTTCTTACTAACTCCCTCCCAAATTTGCACATGAGACCCATGATGAGGCATGAAGAGATAACTGTGCATGCCTGAGGACTTTCTAGATTTCCTCTTTCTTTTACCAATCACCTGCTAATCCCAGAATCCACCCCCTAAGTCTTTTCTGATAAAAATACTTCCTTAAAGCCAGCACAGGAAGACAGGTTTGAGCTGGACTCCTGTGTCCTGTGAGTCGACTTTGCAATAAAAGCTTTTCTTCGAAACCCTTTATCAGAGTATTGGCTTCTAGCGCATCGAAGAGTGAGCCCTTTCGCTCAATAATACCCCCAGAGGTTGTTCCTCAGATCACAGTCTGAGAACCACCTCTCATGGAACCATATCCATTTGTGGCCATCCCAGAGCAGCCCCTACAACATGGACCTATGCTTACAACTCCTGGCCAGCTATTCAGGAAGAGGCTGGGGGCCTTCCTTTTCCACATATGCTCTGTTTTTTAGATCACATAATTTTGCTTTCTTCATAGGTGTGCCAAAATAAAAAAAAAAACACTCTCAAACTCTTTCACTTAAATAGGAAGACATCTATTCCTTTCTTATTAATGTTATAACATTAAATGTCATATATACCTGCAAAGATAAGGTTATGTTGGCCGTGGCAGATGTCTTCAAGATCTCATCAATATTTCTTTGTTCTTGTCATAGCGGCAGAGTCACTGAGAGTTTTGCATCTGGCCTTGGAGAAAGGTGTTCTGGAAGTTAAGGGTGACTCATATTACTAGTTTCTGATCTGATGATTCCAACCAGCAGCTTGCTGTGACAACTGTTTGAGTTCCGCCAATAGCTAACTTTGCCGTGCCTTGTTACCGATAGACAACTGGAAGATGTCGGGTCACGTGCCTGTCTCTACCCTTCAAAGTGGCTCTGTTATTTTCTCATTGGTCAACACCAGTATGGTGATTCAATATCTTCCAGTTACTAGTTAGCAAGAATGGAAGGTGAAGGTAGCTATTTTCTGCACTTTAGGAAACAGGTTATAGATTAGCTGGGCCTGTTGGTTACCACTATTAACATAAATGAAGTCACAAATGTGCATGGCATGTGGGGAGTTAAAGGTAAAATATCACACAAAAAATAGATCTTATGTAACAATAAAATCTCCCTTCTTGACCTTTTGCCAGGATGTCTTCCCAATTTGAAATGAGATCTTGGTACATTTCCCCTCTAACAAAGGCCACCTTGTACTGGGGCAAATGAAAAGCTGAATATGTCATTCCAGCAGTTCATAAATGCAGAAACCGAGTCTCTCTTTCTCTCTCTCTCTCTCTGTCCCTCCCTCTCTCTCTCTCACTTTCTCTCTCTCTCTCCGTGTGTGTGTGTATGTGTGCTTTTCCACATACTGAGCATTTGAAGCAAACACAAAAGATTCACTACTGTGAACACTGTTATTTACAGTTCTTAGGTGCCACCAAAAGAGCTCTCTGTACCCTCATATATTACTGGCAGGAATGGGGGTGTAAAATGGTGCTGCCACATTAGAAAGCAGTTTTGCAGTTCTTCAAAAAGTTAAAGACTTGTCACATGACCCATGATTCCACTCCTAGGTATATTCCAGGCAGAATTTTAAAACGTGTCAGCTCATAGCAGCATCGTTCATAACAGGCAAAAAGTATCAACAACCTAGATGTATATCAGCTGATACATGCCTAAACAAAATGTGGTCTATCCACGCAGTGGATACTATCCAGACATGGAAAGGAACAGACACTGATACCTGAAATGGTGTGGATGAACTTTGAAAATATCATGCCAAGTAAAAGAAGCCAGACACAGATGGCCACATATTGTATTACTGCATTTATATGAAATGTTCACAATAGGCAAATCCATAAGGACAGAAAGTAGGTTAGTGGCTGCAGAAACAGGGGGAGATGGGAATGGGGAGTGACCACTAATTATTTTTGGGGGTGGCAAAAATGTTCTGGAATTAGATAGTGGTGATAGTTTCAGAATTTTGTAAATATATTTTTAAAAACACTGAATTGTATACTTTAAAAGAGTGAATCTTATGGTTTGGAAATTATATGTCAATTTAAAAATCCACTTTAGCTGGCTTAAGAAAAATTTTAAAAAGATATTGGTGACTCATTGAAACTCCGGTAGGACTAGAGAGTCAGGTTTGTAGGCCATGTGGCTAGGGACAAGCCCCAGGTTACCCTGTAGCGGTTTCTACTGCCACTGCCCTGAGCACATATCTGGCAGCTCGCAACCCCAAATACTGAGCATAGGATGCCACTAGGTCTCTTGTCCCTGCTGCCTCTGAAACGAGCTATGCTTCCAACATCCTGGATTTTACATGGTACCTCCTTATCTACACCTTCTTCTGGATGTAAGTCACTCACAGGAATATCTCATTCACAAAGCTCCAGCCACTTGCCTCTACCTTGGATGAAAGAAAGGCTGTGAAAGAGAATTTCTAGCTGTTTCTTTGGGGAGGCAGAATTTGGAGAAAAAGTCCTTAAGTTGATTTAAGTAAGAGGTTTTCTTTTTCTTTTTAAAGAAAGATCCTCCGTTTTTAAATTTTTTTCAACTTTTATTTTAGATTCAGGGTCTAAGATTCAGGGTGCATATACAGGTTCATTTCAAGGGTATATTGTGTGATGCTGAGGTTTGGGGTGTGATTGAACCTGTCACCTAGGTAGTGAGTATAGTACCCAATAGGTAGTGTTACTACCTTTGTCTCCCTCCCCACCTCCCCCATCTTAGCAAGAGGTTTTGAAAGATGCTGAGCCATCGAAGAACATGACAAATGTCCACTAGAGGCATCTTCCCACTTTAGGTTTGTATACATTCTTTCTCTTTTATTTTTTTTGAGATGGAGTTTTGCTCTCGTTGTCCAGGCTGGAGTGCAATAGGGCAATCTCAACTCACTGCCAGCTCCACCTCCTGAGTTCAAGCGATTCTCCTGCCTCAGCCTCCTGGGTAGCTGGGATTACAGCCGCCTGCCACCATGCCTGGCTGTGCAGATGGGGTTTCACCACGTTGGCCAGGCTGGTCTCAAACTCCTGACCTCAGGTGATCCGCCCACCTCGGCCTCCCAACGTGCTGGGATTACAGGTGTGAGCCACTGCACCTGGACGGGTTTGTATAATTGCTACTTTAATGGTACTTCACTATTTAGAATAATTGGTGGAAAGGATCATTTGAATTAATGAAAAGCTGAGTTATACCAAGAGAACTCTGGAGGATGAAAATGGAGAAAAGAACAAAGTGATGAACTAAGAGCTAATCCTTCTTTCACTTACTTATTAAATAAATAGCTATATATTTAAAAAGAACTATGGATATTGGGCAGAGTGCTAAGCACAGGAGATACAACAGTGAAGAAGATAGACAAGACCCTAGCTCTTGAGCCCTTTAGGCTACATGTATAGATGAGGAAACATAACGTGACAAGTAATCAGATATGAACAGGGATACAGAAGAGGGACAATGAGTAGAAAAAAAACCACCTTCCCCTTTTATTAACAAAAGGAGCTTTCATTCTGTGTCACATGGAGAACAAGCGTTCTTTTATGACCTATTGGAATATGCACTCCCCTCCTCCAGTTGCTGTCAACTTTATAAGGCAATAAATTAATTGTGGCAGAAGCTGGCTACCTCAGCCCAGTTACCTTTGCTCAGTGCTCCCTATGAATTGCTGAGGGAGAGATACAGCATAGAAAAAAACAAGGTGATGCGGTGAGTACGCTTCTCCATGCAAGCAGGGCTTTGAACAAGGGCAGGAAGGTCCCTTTCTTTTTGTGTGATTTTCTGTCTGCTGCTCTGTTAAGTGATCTGGATGCCCATGTTTTCCTTCTGGACTTAATATTTTCTTCCTTTTCCATAAAATATGAGGAGTGAGGATGAGATAGTTGATGGAGAGGAGAGACTGTGTGTGTGTGTGTGTGTGTGTGTGTGTGTGTGTGTGTGTGTGTGGTGTCAGTGTTTGGAGGACAGGTTGGGGGAGGTCTGGTGTGAGATCCTCCTCTCTCACTGGGAGAAATTAAGGACAGAGGAAACAGATGGGATCCTTCTGGAAACTATCTCAAGATGGCATGGATTTGGAGGAAGGTGAATTCCTCCCAGCTTTGGGCAGGAAGGGTTTCTAAGTAGGCAAGAATTTCTACCTTTAGGAATCCCCATCCTGTCCTCTGCCTGAATGACAATAGCTCCTAAGGCAGGAAAATACCCAGGGTTATTCCCAGAGCGTTCCTGTACTTCCTGAGCTAAGGTGCTGAACCTGCTCCCTCAGGAGGATTGAGGAGCTGTGGAGTAGGTCCCTGCTGCTGATTTTTAGAAGCTAGAAAGAAAAAAGTCTCCCTGTGGAGAGAAATAATACTTGCAGAAAGAGACCAATTGATGAATAATGCCTTTGCTGTGGTATTGAGTTGTGGGCTGTATGTATAAGAAACGAAGTTTGATACCATAGCACTCTTAGGGTAGGTCCTTCCTACTTCTTTCTCTACCTGAAATTCCACCATTGGAGACCGATCCTCTAAGTCTTTAAGCTCTGCAGCCTAGGATACATTGTCGAGAGAGTATTCAAGTACTATTTTAAAAAGTAGCGGCTCTCGGTGTTTGTCTCAGTTCCACCACTAACCGTGACTAGACAAAATTTCTTAATATTCATCTATAAAATGGAAATCATGATATCTGTCTGATCAGCTTCAATGCAGGGATTTTATGAGAATACAGTCATATGATATATATTTTATAGGGATTAGAGTATATCTTTTAAATAATTTAGACTAAAAGAGAGACAACTGATTAATTTAGGTAAATAGTAAAGAATAGTTAATAAACCTCAATTTTAATCCCAAACCTCGTGTCTCCAAGGGCTAAGGGTTCTTCCTAAATGCCTGTTGGCAAATTACCTGTAGGTCCTAGTTCCTTACCTCTATTTCAATATTAAAGTGCTTCTTTTATGGAATTATTACACATTAACCTAAAGGCTACTGTAATTAAAAATTGAAGCTATATACCTATATAAAAATATTTGTAGAAATGGTCGTGGCATTGGGGAGGAGTTGAGAAGAGCAGGGAGGCAGGGAAATGAAAAGTAAGAGGAGATGCAAAATCAACATAAAAATAAGAGAGAGAACAGTCTTTGTCCCTGCTGACTTATATTTAATAGCTTGTTGCTGCATAAGTGCTGGTTTAGTATGGTGGGAATATGGGGAGAGGAGACGCTGAGCAGCTGGGGTTAGGACGTGCCATGAAGACCTTTGATCACAAAGCTAAAGGGTTTTTGGTTTATTCAGAGATCCATTAAAGGCTTGAATATAGGAGATCCAAATGACCCTGTTTGTGCTGGTCACTTGGGTAATGACCCAAAGATACCGGGAAAGTAGTCTGACTGAACTGTTAACTGGCTGTGAGAACTAACAGAATGAGAGGAATTAAAAAAAGATTCCTAGGTTTTTTTTTTATAATGTGATTCTATTCCTCAAGTTATTAATTATTTGAAGAACAGATAATTTGGCCAAATTGGCAGGAACTGGGAGTGAGGTGTGGGGAGAGATGATTTCATGTTTAAACATGTTAAATCTTATTGAATCTGTGGGACATCCAATAGGCAGTTGAATATATGAATCTAAATCCCTGGGCTAGAAATACAGGTTGGATTGCCATCACATGTCATATAAAGTCACATGAGTGGTGGAGATTACCCAACGTGTCTGCGTAGTTTAAAAAAGAAGCCTATACCAGAATTTGGGGGGCATCAACATTTAATGAAATAGGGCTGAGCGTGGTGCCTCACGCAGGTAATCCTAGCATTTTGGGAGGCCAAGGCGGGCGGATCACCTGAGGTTAGGAGTTCAAGACCAACCTGGCCAACATGGTGAAACCCTGTCTCTACAAAAATATAAAAATTAGCTGGGCATGATGGCGGGTGCCTGTAGTCCTAGCTACTCGCGGGGCTGAGGCGGGAGAATCACTTGAACCTGGGTGGCGGAGGTTGCGGTGAGCCGAGATCGCGCCACTGCACTCCAGCCAGGGCAACAGAGCGAGACTCCATCTCAAAAAAAGAAAGAAAGAAAGAAGGAAAGAAAGAAAGAAAGAAAGAAAGAAAGAAAGAAAGAAAGAAAGAAAGAAAGAAAGAAAGAGAGAAAGAAAGAAAGAAATAGGAGACTACAAAGAATATTGAAGATAAGCCAGAAATAGAGGTGGAAAGCCAAGATTCCTATCAAGGAATCCATATGTGGAAAGTTTCATGGAGGAGAAAGTGGTTAAGTGATTAAGACAGCGCCCATTGTATTCAGCCACTATGTCACTAGTAACCTCGGTGGGAGCATTTCCAGTGGAATGCAGAAAACACAGCCAAGCCAATAACACATGAGGAAGGGAATACAGAAAGTGTGGAACTATCGTTTTGGAAGATTGGCACTGGAAAGAAAAAGAATGTTATTATGCTACCTGCAGAAGCACACAGAGTCATTAACAGAGTTTGGGGTGACTTGGGGTATATTTATGAAGGAAAGATATTCAGAGAGTGAATTTGATAATGCAAGACAATAAGAGATAATTGGTGGAATGAAATTTTTGAGAAATTCAACAGCTGTGAGATCTAGATAACAGATACAAGGATTATGCTTAAACAAGAAGAGGAAAAACTGTTTCATTGAGAATAGAGGGGGAAAAATAAGAATTTACCTAGATGTGAATAACCTTTGTGGAAACGCTTGGGTTGAGAAGCAGAGAGAGAGAATAGTTTCTGCAAAATCATTATTTTTTGGGTGATATCAGAGATGATACTGCATGAGAATAAGAGTGTAGGTAATAGAGTCAGGCCTGAAAAGAAGGATAGAAGGAACAATTTTTTAAATTACAGGCACGGTGGCTCATGCTGTAATCCCAGCACTTTGGGAGGCCGAGGTAAGTGGATCATTTAAGGTCAGGAGTTCGAGACTAGCCTGGCCAACGTGGTGAAATCCTATCTCTACTAAAAATACAAAAAGTTAGCCACACGTAGTGGCATGCACTTGTAGTCCCAGCTACTCAGGAAGCTGAGGCAGGATAATCCCTTGAACCTGGGAGGTGGAGGTTGCAGTGAGTTGAGATTGCGCCACTGCACTCCAGGGTGACACTCCGTCTGCAAAAAAATAAAATAAAATAAAAATAAAATTACTGCTGCGAAAAGTGAGAGGCACTGTCAAGACCATCAGTCGGCTTGCAGGCCCAGTTTATTTAGGAGATTATGAGCCTCGGTGGCATCTCCCTTGAGTTACGTGCGGCAGCACAGAAGGCAGATGTTTGGATGGATAGTTTCATCCTGCAGATTCTGTTAGCAGATAGAGAGCGAGGAAGATGAGAGCAATGGCAAGTTAAATAATCAATACTGAGGCCTAGGTCAGTTAGGGTTAACAGCTAGGAAGGGCTAAGAGATTAAAAGGAAATGGAAAGATAACAGCTGCCTTGATGTGATAAGATACTTTTTTAAAATAAAGTAAGGCAGGCTGGGTGCTGTGGCTCATGCCTGTAATCCCAGCACTTTGGGAGGCCAAGGTGGGCAGATCAGCTGAGATCAGGAGTTCGAGACCAGCCTGACCAACATGAAGAAACCTTGTCTCTACTAAAGATACAAAATTAGCAGGGCATGGTGACGCATGCCTGTAATCCCAGCTACTCGGGAGGCTGAGGCAGGAGAATTGGGTGAACCCAGGAGGCAGATGTTTCGGTGAGGCGAGATCGTGCCATTGCACTCCAGCTGGGCAACAAGAGTGAAACTCCATCTCAAAATATATAAATAAATAAATAAATAAAATAAAGTCAGACAATGAGACAGTAAAAGGACATTGCTCATTTGCATATGGATTTACAATTTCAAAAGTGTAACAGTTCTGGGGATGATAAATTCCAGGGGCTAGCAAACATTTGAGGATGATGGAGATGGAATGGCGAAGAAGGCATTGCAGCTGAGGGCTGTCATGGATCTGTAGACATGTAATAATGTTAGATTTACTATAATTAGAGCAGAAAAATGAGAACACATCCAGTGTCTGATGTCATTTTTGTAGATGAAGAAATACAGGTCCAAATAGGTAAATAGCCCATCTGTTAGTAAGAAAATCAGGACAAGAATTCAACCCCTTTGATTCCCAGTTCAGTACATCCTCCAATATAGAAAATATTTTAAATCTTGGGTCAATAAATGATCTTCGGGGTTACTGGGAGCCACGAAATTTATGTGAGTTGTTTGCTGTGAACCTCCCAGCAAGACTTATGCTGGGTATCAGGATCATTTTTGTTACCAGATCCTTGAGAGTGTCAGTGACGTTTAAACAGTCTCAACAGTGACTTCAGCATCATGTCCAGGGCAGTTGAAAGAAGAAGACTTGGATTCCAGTTTTGCTACTTTCTCTCTCCCTGAGCATACCTTCCTGTCTACTACATTAGGTGGATGTGAAGATCAAAGTGAAATCTAAAGGGTTTTGTGAGCTACCTCAGCCCCTCATCTCTCTTCTGTGTGTTATTCCACAACATTTTCCCTTCAGTTCTTCATGTCTGATATACTTTTCCTTGGACAATCCTCAGTTCCTCTACATGCAAAAAAGGCAAGAGCTCTACAGGTGTTGGATGTAAAGCTAGAGTTAATTAGGGACACTGATAAGTGGAAACAAATATTCTTTAGATTATGTAAAGAGGATGCTGATAATCAAGGTCATCTTGCAAACAATTCCACATTTGGATACAATGATTATGTATCCTCTTAGATTGGTGGGGCCTTGTGATTTGTTTTAACCCAATTATCTGTGTCTATCTAGATGGCGAGGAAGCTCAGTGTATTGGAAGTCCTTCTGATCATCTTCTGCTTAATTGTGGTGACCATAGATATCCTCTTGCTGCTTCTTGTGTTGGAGGAAACTTCAGGTAAGGGAGATGCTTGTAGGTTGGAAGGCTGGGTAAAGGAAGTCTCCTGTAAACGCCAAAGAGATTATTTTATTCTTTTACTTTTCAATATGCCACTACATTGCAGTATTCAAAATTCACTTCCATGATTAGTTTAAGTTCAACTCCAAAAGATAAGTGTTCTTTTTCTGCACTGAAACCTTGAATGTTAGTGACATTTAGGGTCTCCCAAGCCCCATTTAGTGCAATTTTAACAAGATGCAAAATTAGGCTCACCAGATGCCTGCCCTTCAACCCAGAGTCATGAAGTCGTACTGCCTTCAATGAGAAAGGACTGTTAAGCTAACAGTGCCCAGCCCCATTATATTATGGAAAAGGAAACTAAGGTTACAGGGAGGTGGTGGGATGATTAAGTTGGCCTGGTTATACCAACATACATAGCTATAGTTTCTTCATAGGTGCCTTTGAAACCGTTCTGTCTGTCTGTCTCTCTCTCAGGCACCCAGAAGCATCAAACAGAATGCCTTCTCTTTCACGCACATATTATAATTTAAATAATAAAATGTGTGTAGTTCAAAAATGTATTTTCAGTTAAAGCTGAATTTGGGCTTTGTTCTGCTTGACAAGCTCACTTTACAGATGTGAATTGAACCTACAGTGAAAAGAAGCTGTCCTGATGGCAGAACCCTACCTGCTCCATCTCTTTTCACCTCTCTCCACAGTAAACATTAAGACACTTTCTAGGAACTATTACAACTTTGAAAGATGATCTGAAAACCATTGATATAAGCCATTTTGAGATTATTCCTACTTCTCCCCTCTAACACATTTTTCGGGTAACAAGTCTCCTGAGATTGCTATCCAGTGTATATGACTAATTGGTTTATTTTATTTGATATAAAACTAGATCTTCACACCTGCATTCACCTTAAACCACATTCTGATTTATGCAGAGTAGTTCTGCTTTCAACTGTTTTTTTTTCTTCTGTTTTTTTTTTGAAGATGTATTTCCATGGGTTGAAAGGGGGGCTTTAAAATCAATTTGTTTTTATTGTGGTAAGAACAGAACAGAACATCTACCCTCTTACTGGATTTTTAAGTGTATAATACAGTATTGTTATCTATTGAAACAATGTTGTACATCAGATTTCTGGAACTTATTCATCTCGCATAACTGAAATGTTATACTGGGGATTAGCAACTCCGCACTCCCTCTTCCCCCTAACTCCTGACAACTACCATTCTCTTCTTTGCTTCTGTGAATTTGACTATTTTAAATAATTTATGTAAGTGGACTCCCAGAGTATTTATCCTTTTGTGACTGGCTTAATTCACTTTGCATAATGTCCTCAAGGTTCATCCATGTTGTTGCATATTGCAGGAATCCAGTTTTAAGACAATTTTTTATTGAAATATATATATATGTACACAAACAAATGTAGAGCCGTAAAGATAGTGATAGTGAATATATTTGGGGGCTTTGTTTTGAATCAAAACGAAAGCACTAAGGGGCACCTGCTAATACCCACGGTAACTGTTTCCTCCAAATTCTGCTGAAATTCTGGATTTTAGATGGTTCATGGAGTCCATGAACCAGTCCTACTTCTGCTGTTGTCATGGGGAGAAGATTCCACAAAGTTGATAAAGCCTAAAGTAAGAATAGCCAATGTTGAGTGAAGATGTGTATTTCCAATGGGGCCAATAATATCTTCCTGATATGTAGCCTGAGCCCTCTGGTGTCTTTAAGCAGCTGTGCCTACAAATAAGAGACTAAAGAAAAAACAGTAAGAAAAAAGACTTTCCCAGCGATTTATTCAGGGCTTCCCTGGTAACAACAACAAAAAAATGTTGGATCTCTACCTGACAACATATATAAACATTGACTCAAAATTGATCAAAGACTTAATATAAGAGCTAAAACTATAAAACTCTAGGAACATGTAAATAAAAATGTCTGTGACCTTGGATTAGATAACAGTTTCTTAGATGATACCCAAAGCACAGCAAACAAAGAAAAAAATAGGCAAATTGGACTTCATCAAAATTGAAAAAAACTTTGTGCTTTGAAGCACACTTTGAAGAAAACTATCAAGAATGTGAAAAACAATCCACAGATTCAGGGAACATACCTGCAGATGATGTATCCGATGTTAGGCCCTTATCAGATATATCATTTGCAGATATATTTCTTTTTACATCCTAAGATAATACATTGGAATATAAGAGAATATATTCTCTTAGGATGTATAAAGAAATACTACAAATCCAAATTTAAAAAAAAAAGGTTTCTAAATGAGTAAAACATTTAAATAGACATTTCTCCCAAGGAAATCTATAAATGGCCACTAAACCCATGAAAGTATATTCAACATCATTGGTTATTTGGGAAGCGCAAGTCAAAACAATAACATATCACTTTCACACCCACTATGATGACTATAATTAAAAACAGATAAAAACAAGTGTTGTTGAGGTTACAGAGAAACTGGCTTCTACATGGCTAAGATGGTGTGGTTACTTTGGAAAACTTTGCCAGTTCCTCGAAAAGCTACAGATAGAGTTAACCACATGACCTAACAATTCCACTTCTAGGTATATAACCAAGAAAACTGAAAACATAGCTCACAGAGAAACTTACGCGAATGCTCATAGCAGGATTATGTATAATGGTCAAAAAGTAGAAACAACCCAAATGTACATGAACCGATGAATAGATAAACAAAATGTGGTATATCCACACACAAAAAATGTGATTCAGCCATTAAAAGCAATGAAGCACTGATACATACTACAACATGGATTAACCTGCAAAACCTTATGCCAGGTGAAAGGAGCCAGGCACAAAAGGCCACACATTTTATGATTCTTTTTATAGGAAATGTTCAGAATAGGCAAATCCATAGTGATAGAAAATAGATGAGTGTTTGCCAGGGATTGGGAGAACAGGGGAATAGAAGATAGCTGCTAAAGTGTATGTTATTTCTTTTTGGAGTGATGAAATCGTTCTGGAATTCGACAGCGGTCACAGGTTGTACAACTTCATAACTAAAAACCATTGACATATACTTTAAGAGGATGAATTTTGTGGTATATAAATTGTATCTGTTTAAAAAGCAAACAAAGTAGAAATAAACGTGTTTAAACTTGGAGAAGTGTTAAACATCATGTGCAAATATAGATACCAGTTTGGAGAAGTGTTAAACATTGTATGCAAATGTAGATACCAGCTACCGGTGATCTGTTGTGTGGAGAATTGGCCAAAAGTCTGTAACTTTGCTGGCTTCCTTCCTGGAGCTGTGATTACACTACACATTTTCAACTTTATCCTTTAATTCCTATGCAGATACTTCATTTACTCCAGAGTGCCCAGAGATTCCCCAGTCGGAAAGGATAGACTGCACACCTGACCAGGAGGTGACCGAGGTCAGAGAAATAAGGTCCCTTTTGGTGGCCTACAGGGTGTTATTGAAAAGAAATGAATATGTGAAGTGGGGAAAGGGTGGGGGTGGCATGGCTTCTGGGCCTCTGATTTGTTTGGAGTTCTTTCTTTCTTATCTTATTGAAATAACAATATTAAGATCGTGAGGGAAGCAGGGTTGAAAAAAAGGAAGAGTAGGAAAAGCTAACAAGAATGTTAATCTGTGGATTATAAAGTCCAAGGTGGAGGGCGATTACAGGTGTTACTAAATGTACCTTAGGTGTGATTCCAAGGATAGTGGTAGAAAGGTTAAATGTTTGTGGGCTAGACTATGTATTCTTTGAGAATAGAGGCCATTAAGCACATGCAAATAGGGAAATCCATAGTGATAGAAAATAGATTAGCATTTACCTGAGTCACTGGCTGAGTCACCTACGGAACTCAGGCAAATTGTTACAAGAGCCCTCTGGATTATGTTATTGGCAATAGAGGTCCCAATGGATACGTGCTAAGGAACACAGGTTTTCTCCCAGAGTAGCTTCCATAAAATATCAGCGACTTGAACCCTGATTAGTTGTGACTTAGGACTTTTTCATAAAGGTTGTATGTATTTATATATTTAAATTTTATTTCTTGGCCCCATATTCTAAATTCTATATCTTCTTGAGATATTAATTAGGACAGTATTGAATTTTAGGTTAAAGTTTAAACAATATTCACATTTTGATAGTTTTGAATCTTCTTGTTATAAAAACATAGAAAGTGTCTCCATTTCAGTTCTTTTCATATATACATATATTTCTTTCTTTTCTTTTTTTTGAGACAGAGTCTCACCTTGTCTCCTGGCTGGAGTGCAGTGGCGCGGATCTTGGCTCACTGCAACCTCTGCCTCCCAGGTTCAAGCAATTCTTGTGCCTCAGCCTCCCGAGGAGCTGGGATTACAGGCACCTGCCACCATGCCCAGCTAAATTTTGTATTTTTAGTAGAGGCAGGGTTTCACCGTGTTGGCCAGGAGGCCTCAAACTCCTGACCCCAGGTGATCCACCTGCCTCAGCCTCCCAAAATGCTGGGCTTACAGGTGTGAGCCACTACGCCCGGCCCATATATGCATATATTTATTTCTTAACTGAGTTTTATGTTTCTCTTATATGTTTTATTGCATGTGAATTATGATGTTTTCCCTACGTATTTCACATCCTTGGTTTCTACTGTAAATATAATCCATTATATTTTGTAAGTTGTGCTTCTTTTATTATAATGCTTCTTTTCTTACTATTATTTTATTTTTATATTTATTATTTTTACTTTATATTATGTTTACACAGTATATTTATATTCTATTTATTATATAATTGATCAAGTTAAATCTCATATTGTTTATAAAAAATGTTTTGTAGTCCCTCCTCTGGATATTAAGTATAGAATTATATTATAGGAAAATAAGGATAATTTTTCTTTGTATTAATATTATCTTATACATTCATATGTCTAATCGTATTGTCTATTTCTTCCAGAATAATGTAATTAAAGTGATGATGGTTGGCAACCCTTATTTTATGCTTGACTTTAATGGAAATTTGGGCAAAGTATCAAGCACAAAGTTAGCTATTGGCTTAAGAGAATTGTTTTATTGATATATGTTAGGAACCATCTTTATATTCTTATTTTAACTTTTTTTTAAAAGAAATGGAAAATGGATTTTTTCCAACAATTTAGTATTGAACTTTGCAAACAAGTTTACAATAATACTCATTACCTCCCACTTAAATTTCACCATTAATATTTTACTTTGCCTTCTCGTATTTATCACTTATCCCACACTTCATTCATCTATTAATCTATCTGATTTCTATGGATTTGAAAGTAAGTTCTAGAAACCAGTTCACTTTTTCATAAATTTCTCACCAAGTATATTATTAGCTACAGTCCAAAGTTTGATTATAGTTATTTATCTTCAGATATTACACTTATATACAATGCAAATACAAAGAGTTGTTATTAATACATTTTGCACGATTCTTTGGCACACATTTGTTGAATTATGGCAAATGACTACACATGTGTAAGCCAAACCATTCTATACCCAAAGATACAGAATGTTACCATCACTTCAGAAAGTTATCTTATGACATTTCCCAATAGTTATTCCGACTTGTACCCCTTAACAGGTAATCACTGATATGATTTATCTCCACCTTAGTTTAGTTTTGCTTGTTGCAGAACTTCATATGAATGGAATCACATAGCGTAGTGTAAAGCCTCTTTCATTCAGCACATTTTTGAGATTCATCTTTATTGTTGCAAATATTAGATAATTCTTTGTACCACTGAGTGATATTCCATTGTATGAGTATGCCATAGTTTAACCATTCTTCCCTTGGCATATAGTAGGATGTTGTCCACTTCATCCATATTTTCAAATTTATAAACTTTGAGTTCTATTAAATATGTTTTTGTTGTTGTTGTTGTTGTTGGATGAAATCTCGTTCTGTCGCCAGACTGGAGTGCACTGGGGCGATCTCGGCTCACTGCAACCTCTGCCTCCCCGGTTCAAGCAATTCTCCTGCCTCAGCCTTCTGAGTAGCTGGGACTACAGGCATGCACCACCATGCCCAGCTAATTTTTGTATTTTTAGTAGAGACGGGGTTTCACCATATTGGCCAGGATGGTCTCTTGACCTTGTAATCCACCCCCTTCAGCCTCCCAAAGTGCTGGAATTACAGGGGTGAGCCACCGCGCCCGACCTCAAAATTATTTTTATGAGATTTAGCCTATTGTTAGGTATAGTTATATTCTTTTTTTTTTTTCTGTATCCACCCTACTCTTGATAGGCAATTGTGAGTTTTCATCTAGAGATTTTTTTTTTACAGCACGATTCAAAAAAATTTGCATCAAATTTTTGGGTATCTTCGGGTGAACAGTTGGAATAATTTTTATTGGCTCTATACCTAAGGATGGAACTTTCAGTCTATAGGATATGTACATGTTTAACTTTAGCTGACACTGCAAAATCATTTTTCAAAGTATTTGTATCAATTTGCATTTCTTTTAGTAGTATACAGGAGTTCATTTGCTCTACATCCTAATCAACGCTTGGTGTTTTCTCCTTTTTCAATTTAACCATTCTATGGTTTTAATTTTCATGTTTCTCATGACTAATAAGGTTAAATATCTTTAGAAATGCTTATTGGCTAGTTGGTAATCATATTTATGGAATGTCTTTTTAACTTTTTGCCTTTTTTTCTACTGAACTGTTCATCTTTTTTATTGCTTTGTAGTAGTTACTTATGTATTCTGGATACAAATCCTTTGTTAGATATATATCTTAGTCTATGGTTTGTCTTTTAACTCTCTTAATGGCGACTGTTGATGACAAATAGCTCACAATTTTAAAATAGTTCACTTTATCACTTTTTCAATGGTTGGTTCATTTCATATTCTATTTAGTAATTCTTGCCTACTCCGAGGTCAGAAAAATATATTACTATCTTTCCCTTAAAAGCATTATTGTTTTATCCTTCAAATGTAGGTCTTTTATGAATATAGTACTGATTTTTGTATATGGTATCAGGTAAGAGTCCAGAAACTTTTTTTTTTTTTTTTTTTTTTTTTTTGAGACGGAGTCTTGCTCTGTCTCCCAGGCTGGAGCGCAGAGGCGCAATCTTGGCTCACTGCAACCTCCACCTCCCAGGTTCAGGTGATTCTCACACCTCAGCTTCCTGAGTAGCTGGGATTATAGGCACCCGCTATCATGCCTGGCTAATTTTTTGTATTTTTAGTAGAGATGAGGTTTCACCATTTTTGTCAGGCTGTTCTCGAACTCCTGACCTTGTGATCCGCCCACCTCAGCCTCCCAAAGTGCTGGGATTACAGGCATGAGCCACCACACCTGGCCCAGAAACGTTTTTTTTCTTGAATTTTTAATCGATCCATCACCACTTATTGAACTGACCATCTTTTTCCCTCTGCATTTTAGTGACACCTTTCCTGTAAATTATGTCTTTATAGGTATGGATCTGCTTCTGGAATGTATTTTGTTGAGTTACTAGTTTGTTCTTTTGCCAATACCATACAGCCTTAATAACTATTGCTTTATGATAGGTCTTAATGTGTGGTTGTAGAAGTCCTCCAAATCATTCTTACTTTTCTTCAAGATTGCCTAGCTTATTCTTTGCCCTTTAGGTTTCTGAATACATTTTAATTTTAATGTCTCTCATACCAGCCTGCCAGTTTTCTCACAAAACTTACTAGAAATTTTATTGTGATTACATAAAATTTACAGGTTAAATTTGGGAAAATTACCATCTTTACAAGGGTGAATATTTCAATTCCTAAACATGGTATATATCTTTCTATGTACTGAGATTTTAGTTTTGAAATTTTTGATATAGAGCTTTTGCACATGGTTTTGCTACTTTTTTCCTATTTGATTCTATTCAAATCTTATTCTTAAATTTTAATTTTCTGTTTCTCTTATATATATAGATTTAAAATTGATTTTTGAATACTGATCTTGTAACTAGAAATCTTAAATTTACTTATTAATTGTCCTAGTTTGTAGACTCTTGTTTTTTTCTGACATGATAATGTTACCTGCAAATAATAACAGTTGGAAGTTTTTTCCAATGTGCATTCCATTTTCTTCCATGTCTTTTAACTCATAGGTTACAAGATTCTCTTTTCTTTCTAAATTGTCAATATAGTTTGAGACAGTTTATCTGAAAGGCAACATGCAGCTATGGTAGGTTTTAGAAAATGGAACTTCCTGGAGACTGATTTTAACTAAACCTAATAAATAACATTGAATAAAATACTAATTATAGAAGAGGAATTTCCTGGTTTTGGAAGAAGTTGGTTACATATCATTTACAGATTTTCAGCATCTATCAGAGACTCTATTGAAGAAATCCCTGCATCAAATGAAAGTTGTAGTAGATAATTTGGGGTCTGGGATATTGGTAATGGTTGAAAACTGAAGTAGGGATGTTAGAGCAGACCACTTACTTAAATGTTTATTGCTTTTTATAGAGGTCTGTGGACTTTGAAACAATTTATGACAATGAAACTGACCTTTTGAATTAGACTGACCCCAGTTTCAGAGGGAGCAGAGCTACTTAATGTCTGCCTTAGGAAAATCAATTATCTACAGGCCACCCAGACCCCCAAATTCTTTCTTCACTGATCCCTTCCAGCCTTTTTTGTTATCTGAAGACAATGAGACAGGAATGTCAATTAGATTTATGGAGAGTTAATAAGTATATTTAAAAAGATTGTATGGTTATAATATAATTACTTTGTTTATAATAGGTATGAAGCACTGACTTAAGTTGTATTTACATTGTGGCTTTTCAGGAAAATGACATCAGATGTTAGCATCTGAAATACTTGTCAGCACTACGCCTTTTTCAAATGAGTAGTGTTGTGACATATTCTTGTTTTTGGTGTCACAATCCACACTGAACACAGTCCTTTAACAGGAAAGATTCAGACATTATAGTTATGTACAGAACAAAATGAGAAAGTATTAATGTTTCCTGTCTATCTCCAAATTACTCCCCCCAGAATCACCCAGAATCAAATCAATGGCTTAGTGTATATCCTTCTCTTGATCTTTATAAGCTTTTGCATCTATATATTTATTTTGTTTTAACGAAAATTTGATTATACTATATATTTTTCCAACTTGCTTTTTAAATTTAAGGCATTTGAATTTACCACATTATATTTTTAAAATAGGTTGCTTCAGTTGAGATTACCATATGATTTTCTTTTGTCAGTGTTGTGAATTATGTTAAAATATTTTTTAATTTGGAACCATTTTCACTTTTGCTTAATGAGACCTATTCATATATTGTGTATTAATTCTTTTAATATATGAACGAATTCAAATTGCTAATATTTTATTGATATTTCGCACATCTATGTTTTTTAAATGAAATGGGCCTATGTATTTTTATTTACTTGTTTATTTGGACTGTCCTTTTTCAGTTTGTTACCAGAACTATTCTAGTTTTATAAAATGAATTAGGAAACTTTTCACCTTTTTCTATATTCTGAAAATACAGTATATATAATATGAGGATATTTTATTCCTCAAATCATTTGGGCAATTTTTTTTTTTTAGGGAAAGATTCTTAACTATCTTTCACAATTTTTCATGGTCACTGGACATTTCAGGTTTTCTATCTCCTCTTAGACAATTTTGATTATTTAAATTTTACTGTGTAAAGATTTATTTAATTTAGAGTTTCACATTCATTGGCTAATATTTGTTATGAATAAGTTTTCTCATGATTCTTACTCATTCTTTATATCTGTTGTCATTTTTTATTCTTGTGTTAAGCCTTGTTTGTTTCCCTTTTTTGTCAAAATAAGACTTTAAGATATTTCTATTTCCTTGATCTTTCCAAAGAAACCCTTAGATTGATTGATTTGCCAGACTAATAACAAAACTTATCCTCACACTATAGTAATATCAGTGTGGAGTTATAACAGGAATTGACATATAAGCCATTTGAATATAATAAGAAGTCCCAAAATGCATATTCACATGCTTATATGTATGCACTTAAATTTAGTTTATAATGAAAATGACACTGCAAATCAGTGGTGGAAACAAGCTGGATATGATTAATGGTGGTATCTGTCTTCCTGTCCTTGCAGACAACTCTGTGCCACTGGAATCTGGATGAATTCTTTAAACAGAGCAGGCACTCAATGGATGTTTTGAATTGATGAATGTAGTTACTTGCTTCTTTATAATTACTGTTTTAGTTTTTATTATTTTACACACTTTTGTGGGTGTATTTTGTACTTTTCTAGTGTCTTGGGTTGTACATTGAGTTGTTAATGATCCATGACATTTTATTTGCTTTTCTTTCCCTAATTTGTCTTCTCCTTTCTCTTTCTGGAGTCTTCTTAGTTGAGTGCTGCTATCTGAGTCTGTCAGTCACTTCATCTACTCTTTCTTTCATATTTTCCATTTTTTTTATATTATTTTCTGGGATAATTGAATTTGATTTTTAAAGTTTTTTTCATAACACTTCTCTTTGGTTGTTTTCTTTTGTAATTCAGTTTAAATATTCAGGAGCTTTAAATCTTGTTCTAAATCTTAACAGTACACATTCCTCATTTTTTTAATGGAAGTGATATGGTTTGATCCTGTGTCCCCACCCAAATCTCACCTTGAATTTTAATACTCCCAGTGTGTCAAGGGTGGGCCAGGTGGAGATAATTGAATCATGGGGCACTTTCCCCCATACTGTTCTTATGGTAGTGAATAAGTCTCATGAGATCTGATGGTTTTATAAAGGGGAGTTCCCCTGCACAAGCTCTCTTGCCTGCCGCCATGTAAGACATCCCTTTGCACTTCCTTCATCTTCCACCATGACTGTGAGGCCTCCCCAGCCATGTGGAACTGTGAGTCCATTAAATGTCTTTCCTTTATAAATTACACAGTCTTGGGTATGTCTCTGTTAGCAGCATGAGAACTGACTAATACAGTAAATTGGTACCAGGTAGTGGGGTGCTGCTGTAAAGATACCTGAAAATGTGGAAGCGACTTTGGAATTGGGTAACAGGCTGAGGTTGGAACAGTTTGAAAGGCTCAGAAGAGGACAGGAAGATGTAGGAAAGTTTGGAACTTCCTTGAGACTTGTTGAATGGCTTTTCTCAGATGGAGATGAGGAACTTGTTGGGAACTGGAATAAAGGTGACTCTTGCTATGTTTTAGCAAAGAGACTGGTGGCATTTTACCCCTACCCTAGAGATCTGTGGAACTTTGAACTTGAGAGAGATGATTTAGGGTATCTGGCAGAAGAAATTTGTAAGCAGCAAAGTGTTCAAGAGGTAACTTGGGTGCTGTTAAAGGCGTTCAGCTTATGTATTCATGAAGATATGGTTTGGAATTGGAACTTATGTTTAAAAGGGAAGTAGAGTATAAAAGTTCAGAAAATTTGCAGCCTGATGATGCAATAGAAAAGAAAAACCCATTTTCTGAGGAGAAATTCAAGCCAGCTGCAGAAATTTACATAAGTAACAAGGAGTCAAATGGTAATTGCCAAGACAACGGGAAAAATGGCTCCAGGGCGTCAGAGGTCTTCAGAGCAGTACCTCCCATCACAGGCCAGGAAGCCTCGGACAGAAAAATGGTTCCATGGGCCAGGCCCAGGGTCTCCCCTGCTCTGTGCAGCCTAGGGACTTGGGGTCCTGTGTCCCAGCAGCTCCAGACATGGCTAAAAGGGACAAAAGTACAGCTCGGGCCATGGCTTCAGAGTGTATAAGCCCCAAGTCTTGGCTGCTTCTACATGTTGTTGAGCCTGTGGGTGCATAGAAGTCAAGCACCGAGGTATAGGAACCTCTACCTAGATTTCAGAGGACGTATGGAAATGCCTGGATGGCCAGGCACAAGTTTTCTGCATAGGTGGAGTCCTTATGGAGATCCTCTGCTAGGGCAGTGCGGAAGGGAAATGTGGGGTCAGAGCCCCAACAAAAAGTCCCCACTGGGGCGCAGCCTAGTGAAGTTGGGAGAAGAGGGCCACTGTCCTCCAGCCCCCAGAATGGTAGATCCACTGATGGCTTGCACTGCATGCCCGGAAAAGCCGCAGACACTCAATGCCAGCCCATGAAAGCAGCCAAGAGGGGGGCTGTACATGCAGAGCCACAGAGGCAGAGCTGCTCAAGGCTGTGGGAGCCCACCTCTCACATCAGCATGACCTGGATGTGAGACATGGAGTCAAAGGAGATTATTTCAGAGCTTTAGGATTTGACAGCCTCATTGGATTTCAGACTTGCATGGGGCCTGTAGCCCCTTCATTTTGACCAATTTCTCCCATTTGGAATGGGTATATTTACCCAATGCCTGTACCCCATTGTATCTAGGAAGTAACTAACTTGCTTTTGATTTTACAGGCTCATAGGCTAAAGGGACTTGCCTTGTCTCAGATGAGACTTTGGACTTGTACTTTTGGATTAATGCTGGAATGAGTTAAAACTTTAAGGGACTATTGGAAGGGCATGATTATGTTTTGAAACGCGAGGCCATGAGATTTGAGAGGGGCCCGGTGCAGAATGACATGGTTTGACTCTGTGTCCCCACCTAAATCGCACCTTGAATTGTAATTGAATTTCAATTGTAGTTGTAATTGTAATTGAAATTTCAATTGTAGGCCAGGCGCGGTGGCTCATGCCTGTAATCCCAGCACTTTGGGAGGCTGAGGTGGGTGGATCACCTGAGGTCAGGAGTTCGAGACTAGCCTGGCCAACATGGTGAAACCCTGTCTCTACTAAAAATACAAAAATTAGCCAGGTGTGGTGGTGGGAGCCTGTAATCCTAGCTACTCAGGAGGCTGAGGCAGTAGAATAACTTGAACCCAGGAGGCAGAGATTACAGTGAGCCGAGACTGCACCATTGCACTCCAGACTGGGCAACAAGAACAAAACTCTGTCTCAAAAAAAAAAAAAAAAAAAAAAAAAAAAAAAAAAAAAAAAGAAATTCAGTTGTAATTGAATTTCTCACCTGCCACATTGCATTTTATTTTGCTGTTTTATAAACAGATTTGTAATTTTTTTCTTAAAATCATTTCTGTCATTTCATGTAAATTTAGTTAGGTGAGGAAGGTGAATGCCTGTGTTTATTCTAACACAGTGGTCTCAGTTGCCATTTGTTTTATTTATCATAACAAAATAATTTTATGTAAATTAACCTGAAAATTATAAGACCTTTACAAAATAAATCTTGCTAAATAACACCAAAAGAATATTTATAATCAAACCACTCTGAGAAAGAACCACATGTGATTTGTTTTTGCCTTGGACATAGCAGAGATATTGTGAATTTCTATGTTACCCTCTGTCCTAGTTTTATTTTAATCGTCTCTAGTTTTCTTAGCTTCACTTTGCTTACTTTTTGGAAATGCATTTCTTCTTTTGCTGTATTGTTAGCCACTTGCATGACTCTTTCTCATGGGAAAGTCCAAACTTCTTGGACTGGCTTCCAGCCCACTCTTGGTAAAAATACTATGTGATTTCCAGCTTCATTCTCATACTTAATGTTTTTGGCACAAGAAATGTGTGGTTTTTCTGAGTCTGTCATGCACTGCTGCTTTCTCCGCCAGGAATACTGTTCCTCTGTCTAACCTCCCCTGGTGCTTCATGATGGGACTTACCTTTCACTTACCTGGAAGCTCTCCCTACCCCACTCCACGCCTACTAGGCTGGGTACAGTGACTGTGTGTTCCCTCAGCTCCTGGACACACTTGGTGGAGCCCTCATATCATCATACTGTATGTAATTGCTTTCCTAATTGTATGGATTTGCCACTAGACAGTAGTTTGCTGAAGGCACAAGCTATGTCTTATTTATCTGTATTATCAGTTCCATGTCTGGTAGATAATAAATACATATTGGACAGTTGGATAGATTCATGAATAAATAAAGAACAAATAAATTAATGAATGTAATTATAACCTATCTTAAATTCTCCTTGGAATAAAATGGGTTATAAATAAATAGACAGATAATACTTTCCTTCCCTCAGTTTATATACTGCTAACTCTGTGTCATTGTTACAGGATATCTGCAGATGGCAATATAAGTGCTGCTGGTCGCCTGTGGCAGATGCCAATGTCCCTAGGTGCTTCTTCCCCTGGAACTGGGGCTATGAAGCCAGCAATGGCCATACAAATACAAGCACAGGTGAGCACTGCCCTGATGTTGCGCCTGGGAACAACTCCTTATGGCCCAGATACGTTAACTGCAAAATAAAATAAAAGCTAAAAGTCAGGCAGGCGTGGTGGCTCACGTCTGTAATCCCAGCACTTCGAGAGGCTGACGTGGGTGGATCATGAGGTCAGGAGTTCAAGACCAGCCTGACCAATGTGGTGAAACCCCGTCTCTACTAAAAATACAAAAATTAGCTGGGTGTGGTGGCAGCTGCCTGTAATCCCAGCTACTCAGGAGGCAGAGGCAGGAGAATCATTTGAACCTGGGAGGTGGAGGTTGCAGTGAGCCGAGATCACGTCTTGCACTCCAGCCTGGGCCACAGGGCAAGACTCCATCTCAAAACAAAAACAAAAACAAAACAAAACCAAACACTAAAAGTTAGTCTCCTTTTCTCTCTCTCCATATCTTGCCACCCCTAGGATTTACTGCCCAGTTGAAAAGGTTGCCATCACCATCTCTGTTTGGAAATGATGTCGCCACCACCCTTTTCACAGCTGAATATCAGACATCCAATCGGTTTCATTTTAAGGTTGGTTTGGGAGTGACTGCTAAATACATTTCTGAAGAAAGCAGTGTGCTCACATTGGGCTTGAAGTGTGGAGGCAGAAGGTACCTCTCTCCCTCTCTGCAGGAATCTCTGGATGGCATGGGCAGGCTAATTTTTATTTGATGGGGCACATGTAATTGGGTGATTTCACAAATCAGAAGCCACAAGGTGAAGAATTAGAAGCTATTCTCATGGGGTGTCATTTGAGATGGAACATCTTTTGTAGCTCTGTCTACAAGGAAGTGGTCTTATCTGCAGTTGTCCCTTCTGTTTTTCTTTTGACAGATCACTGACTTTAATAACATACGCTATGAAGTTTCCCATGAAAATATTAACCTGGTTGATGGGATTGCTGATGCCTCCAATTTGAGCTATTACGTGGAGGTTACTGATAAACCTTTCAGCATCAAAATAATGAGGACAAGCAACAGAAGAGTCTTGTGAGCTTTTCAACCCTCTTGGTGCATCTTTGAACACACAGTTCTAATATTACTCATTCTGATTTACTGGGGGTGGGCAGTGAAATCAGTACAACTAGAGAAAATGTTTGAATATTAGAAAAATGTCCAAGGGTTTGCTGTAAAATAACAGTGTTAGCCTATCATGCTCGTAAAACAGAGAATACTAAAAGGTAATACTAAAATGTTTGCTAAGTTATATAATTTTATATAATTATATAATACATAATTATATGTAATTTAATATAATTTATATAATATATAATTACATATATAATTTATATAATATATAATTATATAATATAATAATAATATATTATTACTATTAATATAATTAATAATATTATAATTATATTTAAATTATAAAATTATAAATTTCATAATTTAAAATTAAATTAAATTATAAAAATTTAAATGTAATTTAAAATATATAAAATATATAATTTAATTATACATTCCATATACTTTATATAATTTAATCAACTATATAATTTATATATTTAATACATAATTTAAAATTAAATTATAAAAATGAAGAATATAGTTATAATTAAAATATAATAAATATATTAATTATAATATAATTAATAATATTAATTAATATAATTAATATTAATAATATTAATAGAAATATGTAATAACATATAATATATAATATATAATTATATAATATAATATATAATTACATGTCATATAATTATGTATAATATAATATATAATTATAAGTAATATAATTATATAAATATATAGATATTATATATTAAATTAAATATAATATATAATATATAACATATGTATTTAATATACAAATATGTCATATTTATACGTTAAATATATTTACATATTATATATGCATTTATATTAAAATATTTAACATATATTTAATATATATTAATTTATATTTATATTTAATTTATATTTTCATTTAATTATATTTAGTTTTAATTTAATCAGTTTAATTATATTTAATTTATATTTAATATTTATTTAATAGACATTAATTTATATTTAATATAAATATTTAACATATTTAATAAATGTTAATTTATATTTAATATAAATATTTAATACATGTTAATATACATTAATATATTAAATATAAATATATAAATATATATTTTACATAAGATAATTTTTTAATATAAAATATTTATATAAAATTTAATAATATATATTTATATATTTAAATATATAGTATATTTAATATGTTTATTTGTATAATATATTTATACACAGAAATATACTTGTGGTTTACATATATTGTAAAATAGGGGATTTTATTGTTTTAAATTATTATTCATACTGGAACTCAAACTTCATTGTCTATCATTTTAAATTATTATTTACTGTGAATTTTACTATCAAGCAGTGACCAACAGTTTCAGCTTAATTCACAAACTGTACTGGAGTAAACAGAAGTATTAGTGTCTGTAAAACCAGTATTCACATCCCGGTACCAGCAGATCAACAGTCAGCTGTGTTATATATCAGGCAAAATACCTATCCTCAACAGTATCAGTTTCCTTGTCCAAAAAAAGGGACTCAAAATATCCACTTTTCCTAGGGGCAATGAGACTTTGTTTATAAAACACCCAGAGCGGTGCCTGGTATGTAGTAGATGCACATTAAACATGAAGTCAACTCTGCTCTCTTTCCCCAATTGTCCAACCTGAGCTCCTGGCATCCTGGCCCTAATGCTGTCTTCCTCTAGAATTAAAGAACCAGAGGTGCCCTAGAAAGGCCTTCAAAGGTAGCAAGAAAATTGCTAACGCCTGAAACAACAGAGGTCTAAGTGTATGTGGAAAGGAGAAGATAGCTTCCTGGCAGAGGAAAGAGTGTTTTTCGGTGATTCTTGCTCTACTTACCCCATGGCCCAGGTTGGACACGAGCATCGGGCCCCTCCAGTTTGCCCAGCAGTACCTGCAACTGTCTTTCCGACTGCCCAGTGCCAATGTGTATGGGCTGGGAGAGCATGTGCACCAGCAGTACCGCCACAATATGACCTGGAAGACTTGGCCCATCTTCACCCGGGACGCTACCCCCACCGAGGTGAGGTGGCTTTCCTCCTGAGTATCGCCCACAGTAAGGGATACCCTCCTTCCTTTCCTAAAAGTAGCCTGCAGGAATACATCTATTTTACTTTGCTCACTTTAGATGTGTTAGTGTTGAGGAATATTTGTTCTTGAGGCCTATAAATTCAGGAATATAGCAATATTAAAAATAAAAAAAATTAAATTAGAAATTTTCTAGCAATTCGAAATGCAGCATTTTTTAAACAAATTTCACTTTTAATGGGAAATACAATTTCATGATTATATTAGAACCTAGTATATACTTCTGCCAAATTACTATGTCTTGGTTTAATAACTGAGGAAAGGAAGGCTTCAGTAGGAGCCAAGCTCAGTAGAACTTGGTGGACTAAAAATGTCTCTTTTGACAGCTTTCATACTGTTCTAGGTGTTTGCTAGTGAAAGTGTGTTTCAGAAACGTCAGCGTTGGCATTACCTGGGAGGTTGTTAAAAATGCAGAATCTCAGGCCATAGCCCAGACCCACTGGATCCAAATATGCATTTTTGCAAGATCCCCAGGTGACTCACATTCATATGAAAGTGGGAGAAAGACTGCTCTGGATTAATGCCTCTCAGCTTATCTGGAGTGAAGGACTAGTTTCTTAAAAAAAAAAAAAAAATCTAGCACTGGCAATAATTTTGTAAAATACAATTAAAATATATTACTGAAAAAATGAAATAAAAAAACTCAAAGACATACCAAAAAAACCTAAATTTTCAGTTGAACAGACATAAAATATTACCCTTTTCAATTGCTATAAAAGAATTTCTAAACTTTGACTTTTGGTTTTTGCACTTGTCTTGTGGCTGACTGATAACAAAGGGTTTGAGGAAGTATTGTTCCATGGACAAAGCTTTGAGTCACATAGGTTTGTAGAGCATGTCTTGAAGCCTCCATTGTGCTGATGATATTTCTTGGATCCATGCAAGAACTGCAAGTTGAAGTATGGTGCAAGGGAGAGAGCTGACATTTTGCAATTCGTATTTGGCAGGAGATGAACAAAGCAAGTAGCACATTAACCTGTAGCCCAGCTACCAGCATCGGATACAATGGAGGGAGTGAACTTGCTGAGCAGAGCAAAGACAAAAAAGCAATAGCTAACGCATGTAATAAATGTTTGGTCAAGGACCCTGGCAAATATTGAATACTATGAATCGTACTACGTTTGACTTTCTATAGCTGACATTCCTAAATTGTATAGTCACAAATTAGATGTAATGCCTTCCTGTTTTTCTTCCTTTCTTTTTTCTTGCCTTTCTCCCCTGTTTTTTTCTTTCTTTAAAATGTATTTTAAAAATTTTGTCTGTATGCTATCCAAGTGTGATGCCATTAGTTTTCCTGGCTATAATTTTACATCTAGCTGAGGCTTATTGATCTTCTCAATTTTGCAAATTATGTTGATTCTTTCTTTTCCCTCTCCTGGTATTTACCATTATCAGTATTATTGCCTTATGCTTTGGCTAAGATGATGATACTGTCACACAGGGAACTTGTAAAACGTTCTCCGTATTCTAATCTCAACTTCTTTTATTCTTACAGCACTTAGAGTTACACACACACACACACACACACACACACACATTATCTCTTCTTAGGTCAGTGCTCATCACAGCTTCGTCACAGATTTCAATATTTTTTCTTTCTCTTTCTATCAGTTTTAAGCTTTTTTTTAACCACTTAAGTATTATATGGTAACTACAGAAACATTAGAAAATACAACTAGGTGTAAAAAATTCAAAATTACTCATAATACCATCACTTTCTGCTAATATTTTGGTATACATCATAGCAAATATGTTTACAAAATAACTTGATTGAGTTATAATTCATAGGCCAAAAAATTCATCTGTTTTAAGTGTGCAATTCAATGACTTTGAGCACATATACTGAGTTAGACAAGCATCGTCATAATCCAGTTCTATAGCTTTGACATCACCGCAATAGGATCCCTTCTGCCCTTTGAGACTTAAACTCCAGAGCTTGCTTCAGCCCTAACCAATTACTAACCTACTTTCTGTCCCTATAGATTTGACTTTTCTAGATATTTCATATCAATGAAATCATACAATATATGGTTGTTTGTGTCTGTTTCTTTCCCTTAGCATAACACTTTCAAGGTTTATTTATATTGCAGTGTGTATGATTATTTTACTGTTGTTGAATGGAATTCTTTTGTATAGATAATACCATATTTTGTTTATTCATTTTCCAGTTGATAATATCATTACAATGCCTTTTTGATACAATGTTAAACTACATGAAGTGTTGACCAAGTATATGTTATAGATGGCTTTTGAATTTATTTTAGGGTGAATGAAAACTTTCTCAACACATAACACTATGACTTTTCTTCTGTTTTGCTGATAGGGCATGATTAATCTGTATGGAGCTCATACATTCTTCTTGTGCCTTGAAGATGCCAGGGGCTCCTCTTTTGGAGTATTTCTGATGAACAGTAATGCCATGGGTAGGAAGCATCTTTTTATCTTCTGTAGGTAGGAATACGTTTTAGGATTCTGCTTTTATAAAAAATTACTTTTATGGTGAGATCAACTGTTGAACAGAAGGCATTTTGAACCTACAATACTTTTATTGAAACTGGAACCTGAAAGTAGGTTAATCTGTCTACAAATCCAGGTGATACTTGACATTGTTTTCATTGAAAACCACTTCAGGGGTCTTCTTTGGTATAATGTTTCCCCTCATAGTCTGTAGAAAATAGGATCCACTGATAGACGCATTCCAAAAATATCTGTAGATTTCAACGTGTAAATTGTGCTTTCTGTCTGTAGGCAACAAGGCTGTGTTTTGTAGGCTGTTTCTCACAGCCCACCCACACTTTCCCCACTCCAAATCTTCCTTCTCCAGCTTCTGGATTAATGGTACTCTCATAAGCATTTTTATTTATTTTTAAATATTTAATTGTAGTCAAACTCATCTAATAAAATTTTTATAACGTTTTTTGAGTGAAGCTACTCGCAAAACCCAGAAGCTTGTATTTTTATGTGGCCAGGTTAAAATACAATTTGTTCTTCTTTATCTTAAAAAAAAAAAAACAAAACTCAATTCTTCATTGGTGTCTTACACATTCAATACTTTGATAAACTCCAACAACGATCCTCTGATAAAAAGACAGTGTGATTTTCATCCCTTTCAAAATGAGACTGAGACTCTTTTAGGTGGCTCAACTATTTCTACTGCAGAGAAGAGTTTACTTCCAACCATAAGATTCTAATTAATCTCATTATAATTTTTTCAGAGGTTACCCTTCAGCCAGCTCCTGCGATCACTTATCGCACGATTGGAGGCATTCTTGACTTTTACGTATTCCTAGGAAACACTCCAGAACAAGTGGTTCAGGAATACTTGGAGGTATGTCTTTGCATTTAGATAGTCATTATTTACTGCTGTTATCTCATATACTCATTATAAATTAATAAAAGAAAAATAAAAGGTATTAGTAAACTGTATGGATTATAAATGCTGGGATAGTGAGTCTTTCATCTATTGTTTATTTATTTTGATGACCTTTATTGGGTGCTTTCTGCATTCCAAAGAGACACTGTGCAAGGCTTGAGAAATGCAAAAAGAAGTCAGACACCATCCTGCTTTCAAGTAACTCATAGTCCATTCATGTATCCCACAAATCAGCAAAGCTTATTCATTCAATAAGTTAAAATTCAGTGAAAAGGAACTACCTGAATAAACTTTGCTAGCTATTCACATTTGACTCAAATTATAGAAAAGGAAGACGCTTGAGGTTGGCTGCAGTGGCTCATGCTTGTAATTCCACCACTTTGGGAGGCCAAGGTGGGCGAATCACTTGAGGTCAGGAGGTTGAGACCAGCCTGGCCAACATGGCAGAGCCCTGTCTCTACTAAAAATACAAAAATTAGCTGGGCATGGTGGCGTGTGCCTGTAATCTCACTCCTAATCCCATCCATTCTTATTCCTTTACCCTTTGCACACACCACTATCTGAAATTATATTAGGCATTTATTTATTTCCTCTAAGCTCTCTGAGGGCAGGAGCTATGTTTGCTCTGTGCCACTATATTCCAAGTGCCCATATTAGCCCTTGCCACACTGTGAACAAATATTCAGAAAAACACTTATAGAATAATGAATGTCACCAGTTTCCCCTAAGATGACACCATTACTGAAACATTTTCTGCAAATTTTATTAGTGTCTGATCTGATGTTGGGAATACATTTATGTACTTAGTAAAGAAGGATGTGATTGTGGAATTTCACAAATTATTCTAGCAGATTACTCTTAGCTCTGACGTTTTCAGCTCTGGGAACTTCACAGAAAATGAAATGGGGCTAATGTTATTCTCAAAGCCTACACACTTACTTATCTTTTCAGCTTGTTGGACGGCCATTCTTCCCTCCCTATTGGAGTCTTGGGTTCCAGCTTAGTCGCAGGGACTATGGTGGCATCAATAAATTGAAAGAAGTTGTAAGCCGAAATCGTTTAGCTGAGATACCATATGTAAGTCGAAACTTCTTTTACCATGCAGTTGACACCAATTCCCATTTTTATTTTTTGCATTAAATTCAATGTATTAGGAAAAATGTAGATAAATCATTAGATTGATAGACAGGCACACTTGCTGGCAGAAATTTGCATGTTAAGTTATGTATCTGAGCATGAAAAGTATACTGTTAATGAAGCCTGATAGAGGTGGCTTTGAATTTTAGCTTTACCTCTTCATAGCTCTGTGCAATGTTGCGCCAGTTAATTAACATCTCTGAGCCTTAGTTTCCACCTTTATAGAATGAGGATGTAAGACTTACTTTGGTGGGCTGGTAGTAAGGAATGCCTTATACTGTGCATGTTGAAGCATCTAGCACTGATGGTGAACATCATCAAAGTTAGCTATTATGTTATTAGAGAAAGCAACACTGGAGGTGACATGAGGAACAAGAGCTGATGATTATAATGACTTACAGTAAATGAGTTTCTCACGGTGACCTCATATACTCCTCCCAGATCTGATAAACTCTAATTTTGAAGCTTCATGGTTGCATCAGTGTTTATGATGTTCAATGTCCACCAGTAAGTCAAGATAATTATTAAGTGTGTAATATTTGATGATCTTCTCCAGGAGATGCATAACATGTGGCTAATGAATTTATCAAAACAACTTATTGGGGGTAGCTCTTTGGGATTTTGAAACTTTGATGTAAGAATATAGTGTTGGCCCAGTGCGGTGGCTCATGCCTGTAATCTCAGCACTTTGGGAGGCTGAGGCGGGCAGATCACTTGAGGTCAGGAGTTCGGACTAGCCTGGTCAACATGGTGAAACCCCGTCTCTATTAAAAATACAAAAAAATTACCCAGGTGTGGTGGCACATGCCTGTAATCCCAGCTACAAAGCAGGCTGAGGCAGGAGAATCACTTGAACCTGGAGGCAGAGGTTGTAGTGAGCTGAGATCGCGCCACTACACTCCAGCCTGGGTGACAGAGTGAGGCTCTATCTCAAAAAAAAAAAAAAAAAAAAAGAATATGATGTTAACATCTGAAGGAAGACTGAACATATGGACATGGCTTTGGCCTGCTTTCAGGGTTCTTCAATGCCCTCTCAGAGTAGTGATGAGGGCAGGCAGGGGGATCAATTTTTCCTGTAAAAAAAAAAACAGATGGTCAATGTGTTTTGGTGTCAAAGGGGAATTGATTGTGTTTAATTTTACTTCTCCCATATCTATTATCTGCAAACATCCAATTCCAGGAAGAATTTTCTTCCGCAAATAGAATCTTTCCCTACATTTGTTTGTGGAGGACACGTGGGTCCTAAATGACTGCTCAGTATTAGAACAGTTGATGCCACTTTGGGCAACAGGCCATAAGCCACATTTTCCTTCAGGCCTGTAAGGTCGAGACTCCTACTGTATGATACTTGAGGAACACTTAGAAGAACACTTCCTTTGTCTTTGAGGAAGGTGGCAGATTGGGGAAAAAAAGAGCATCTGAAGCCAAAGAGCCTGTCCCCAAAGCCCTCATCAGCCCCCCTACCTCCCAGTGCATGTATTTTGGGAAATGTCACTGAACTCCCCTACATTTCAATTTGCTCACTAAGAATAACACCTGCTCCCTAGGCTGATATGCAAACACAAGGAAAAATGTGTGCATGAGAGTTTAGTTGATAAGGCTTTATCTTTTTGTCATTGATCTGTGTTAATCATTACTCTAGCACTTTCGTAGGGCAAAAGATCATTTTCTCCTCATATGATATATTCTGGCTTGATGCTTGGGTTAAGTTAGTACATGGTTATAACATTAATAATATGATTCATTCAAACAACCATTTAAAGAGCGTCTGTTTTATGTCAAGCATCCAAGCTCTCAAGTTAAAGAGATGAACAAGATGCAATTCCTGCTCTCAAGTCCCTCCCAATACCTTATGACATGCACCTGTCAGGACAAGGAGGTAAAACAGCAACCAAACAGCAATCATGTCTTTCAAAGATAGCTTATTTTCTCCTAAGAAGTAGCCAAGCCCTGGAAATTCCAGGATCATTAGAAAATATGGTTTCATTTTCAATGGTCAGGAACCAGAGCTGTAATACTTTCCATCAGCACAGTGCTGTTTCCTAGGTTCTGATTGACCAGAGCTCTCTTTCAGGATGTCCAGTACTCTGACATAGACTACATGGATGGAAAGAAGGATTTCACTGTTGATGAAGTCGCTTACTCTGGTCTCCCAGATTTTGTCAAGGAGTTACATGACAATGGACAGAAATATCTTATTATTATGGTATGTTCAAACACTTGTTACCTTATTTTTTCCTTTGTAGTGCAAAAAATTTATGAAAATAATATTTATATCGTATTTCTTTATTAGAATCCTGGCATCTCCAAAAACTCTAACTACGAGCCCTATAATAATGGAAGCCTAAAGAGAGTGTGGATCTTGGGGAGCAATGGCTTTGCTGTTGGGGAGGTAATTTCTTAAGAAAATCAAAGTAAATTATGATTGTTTTGGGGAGTTGTACTTTTGGTACGAAGATGAGTGAAAGGCAAGTTACAATATTGTTACTGTTTTCATGGCTTTAGAGGTTTCTTTTATTACTATTTTAAACCAGTAGATATAATAATAGAATGATTAAAAACCTGAAGAATTTAAAAAGCTAGCCTTGATCCTCTAATACCATAGATAATTGAGAAGCAATATATAACTAGAAGAAAAATCAGTTACCTAAAGCCCTCCCACCTCCAAATTTCTCTTTCCCAAGACAATAAATTCAACTACAAAAATATAGCAAGATGCTCATAGATTAATGTGGAACTGATCTCAGCTAATATATTTTATTTTTTTTAAGTTTTAATTTTTATTTTTTTGAGATGGAGTTTCACTTTTGTCACCCTGGCTGAGTGTAATGGCATGATCTTGACTCACTGCAACCTCTGACTCCTGGGTTCAAGTGATTCTCCTACCTCAGCCTCCCGAGTAGCTGGGATTACAGGCACACGCCACCATGCCTGACTAATTTTTGTATTTTTAGTAGAGACGGGGTTTCTCCATATTGGCCAGGTTGATCTCGAACTCCTGACCTCAGGTGATTTGCCTGCCTCAGCCTCCCAAACTGCTGGGATTACAGGTGTGAGCCACCATGCCTAACCTATATTTTAAATTTACACAAGACTTATAGATAGAGCATAGTTTTGATTCTGAGGTAGCAGACTCAGGCAGTGGAATAGGCTGAGCTGGGGCCTATATTCAGGATAATTAAATTTCTGAGAGTACTTTAAATCAAATCACATAGGCAATTTCAATTATATGTAGGGTCAGCCCTAGATGATTGGATTCTGTAAGATTTACTCAAATTGTTGCTTCATCTAGAGAGTTCACGTGACTGCAGATCTTGTTGCTCCTGAGTAGTTTATTTTGCGAAACTGTCTTTTCAGGGTTATGGATGATCCCTTACCAAAATCTGCCCACTTAATTCCTTTCATTGACTCTTTCGATGCTTAATTCTATTTACTTTTTTTTCATTGATTCTAACTTTTCATGAAGCAGTAGGAAAGTTTTCTTCCTTCTGCACACCAAGTCTTTGCTTTTACTGTTTCGTTAGAAGCTAGTTTCTAAAATATTAGATAAGCCCATATTTATATACTGCATTTAGAGTCCATAGTCAAATAAAAATTATTTTGCTCACCTAAAATTTTATCCACACTTATGAGTCATTTCAATAGTACTCATATTTGAGTGATATATAATTAAGAATTTGCATATAATTACAAATAATGAATTAGATAGTTGACTTCATTGACCAATAAATGGCATGAATCATTTAATCTAAGATGTTGGCAGAGATAGCAGTAGTGGAGGTGCATAGTGGTGTGTGTTTTTTTTTTTTTTTTTTTTTTTTGAGATGGAGTCTTGCTCTGTTGCCCAGGCTAGAGTGCAGTGGCACGATCTCAGCTCACTGCAACGATCTCAGCTCACTGCAACCTCTGCCTCCCAGGTTCAAGCGATTCTCCTGCCTTAGCCTCCCAGGTAGCTGGAATTACAGGTGCCTGCCACCATGCCTGGCTGATTTTTGTATTTTTAGTAGAGACGGAATTTCACTCTCTCGGCCAGACTGGTCTCGAACTCCTGACCTCGTGATCCACCTGCCTCAGCCTCCCAAAGTGTTGGGATTACAGGCGTGAGCCACCATGCCAGTCCAGTGGTTTGTTTTAAATGCACTTAGTTGAATAAAATTTGCTGGCTCGCTCTAGGTTGAATGTTGCTGTAGGTGACTGTTTTGTGACACCACCTGTTTCCTGGGGTGCAGAGTTAACATCTAATTGTTAGTTGATGCCCATCGCCTAAAACAAAGAGCCAGGAGCTCAATCCATTTACTGTGGGTATTTCAAGCTCCCATCTTGAGTTTTGAGAAGTATCCACATTTCAAAATATGTATTCATTATGTTCCCGGAGTGTAAAGTTGTTCCTAAATTACAATCTATAAATTTATAGGGAAAATGAGCAAAAATTTTTTACAAAAACTGGTATCCTTTTAATTAAGAATTTTCAAAAATTTGGCTATGGTTATATCTTTGTTGTGGACAATCTTTAAAGCTATTGTTTGATAGGCATAGACAGAAAAGGGAGGTAGAATTTAAAAAATGACCTGAGTAAGAAGCGCAAACTTCATTCAACCATTTATAAAATATTGCTTATATGCCAAAAATATCAACACATTATTTATAATCATACTTATTCAAAGTAGACTTTATGTGACCTTTAATTAACAACACTTGAAAAAAGTTCATTCTCTTGAAAAATAATATATAGACTTTCTAGTATTTTAAACAATTTGTCTCCCAACTGGCCTGACATAATGCAGTTGTACTTTTTAAATTTTCTTTTGCACAGAAAAGGACTTATGGTGGCTTTTCATTGATCTACTCTGTTGCTTTTCCTTTTATTGTTTTTTCCTCTTGTTCCTTGTATGCATTTTATTGTTTAGTTTTTGTTGGGGTAGTCACACATTTTATTTCTAAAATGACAGCAAAATGAGGCTCCTAGTAGAAGAAATCACTGTCGGTCAAAATGAAAAACCTTCAACCAAGCTGATTGCCACTGCCTTCCTCTGTGTCCTAGGGATATCCGGGACCGACAGTCTTTCCCGATTATACCAATCCAGTATGCACTGAGTGGTGGACAGATCAGGTCGCTAAATTTCATGATCATCTGGAGTTTGATGGAGTGTGGATTGTAAGTTATTATTCCTGACTCAAATTTCCTTTGGAAACAGATAACGCCAAATTTTCAGATGAGTTTTGACCTTGATGTCAAATAAATGTCAATAAAAAATAGTTTGCTTTATGTAGTAGTATTCAAAATTATTTTACTTAAGGCTGAGTCTATATCCAGTGAATTAGGCTCCTAAGAGCCTTAGGTTCTTATCCTGCATCTTTCATCAACTGGTTATTTCATTTTGATAAAGTTTTTGCTTTCTCCATTAACTGGTTGTCAGCTTAAAAATACTGTTTTATTAAAACAGTATTATAATTGCTACTATTTGTAGCATTGATTCATAAAAATTTAAATTAATCATTAGAGAATAATTTAATGAGGGTCTCGTATTTTTATGGAAGAACAATAGGAATTTCTTCAACAAATGTTCTCTGAGTGCCAATGTGCAAGGCATTGGAGCAGCCATTTGGGAAGCACTCTGATGAATAAGATGTGCAATGATAAAGAATATTTGTTTGTTGCCAAGATTAGACATCACTTATTTTTAATTCATGTAAGAAAATAGATTTGATCTTAATTATATTCTCTTACTGTTCCTCACTCAGAGGAATAAAGGATAGGGACAGTTAACAATAGAAATGTTAGTTTATCTTAGGTTCTTAACAATAACAATAAATATTTACAATTTGTAAGGCAAGGATCAACCTTTGAAATGGTATTTCTGAATTAGCTGATTGAAATCAATTTATAAAAAGTAAAAATGTGCCCACTGTCATTTAGAAGTGGAACATACCTTAAAAATATATAACCTAATCCAATGACTCAATTTTATAAAAGATGAAACAGAGGGTAAGAAAAATTAGGGAGATTATTTAAAATCCAAAAAGCAGTTGATAAGGGACCCAGATATCCTGGCTCCTAGTTCAGTAAGCGTTTCTCAACAGCTAAATGTAGCTCAATCGCATTTTACACTTTGTGTGTTTTGTGTCTTTGAAGGAAATGAATGAAGTATCTAGCTTACTCCAAGCTTCTAATAACCAGTGTGAATCCAACAACTTGAACTTTCCTCCTTTTCTTCCTAGTAAGTTTTCACCTGTTTGCTATGACGTAGGAATAAGCCATGTTTAAAACACCCTCAGTAATACTCAGTGTGGTCGGGAGCAATTTCACTTCCTAGTCCAAGGGGTCTCCTAAACATCCTGAGCACTCCTCTGCCGAAGTCTCTGCAGCAGTGTTGGGTCTCTGATTACCCTTTTGCTGTCATAACTCCAGGGCAAGCATGTGACAAAGTCTGAGCCTGCCTACCTCCCCTGGCTGCCCTTCCAGTCTAGAATTCAAAATGCTTTCATCCTGTTCATTTCCCCCAAATCCCTCAGGTGTCAATTTTAAAATCTATGAGAATTTCAGGACACTTCAGGATACAGACTACCTTAAACTGAAGTAAACCTGTAATCTTCTTAACTGTTTTCTTTATTCTTTACTTCCTTCTTTCCTCCTTACCCTCCCTTCCTTCCTTCTTCCCTTTTTCCTTTTTCTTTTTTCCCTCCCTTCCTCCCTCTCTCTCTGATCATTTACAACAGTTTAAAGCATCAGTGGTGCCTTCAAGGTCCCATTTATAGGTCCCATTTCTAGTCAAGGTCAATTTTCCAGTTTCTGATTTTGAAAGAATATGTGTGGAGGTGGCGGGTGGCAGTGGCAGTATAGAATACACTATGCTCTGGCAACATATAAACCCCAATATCTCAGTGGATTAACACAATAATCGTTTACTTTTTGCTCACATCATACTCTGATGAGGGATGGGTGACTTGAATCCAAGTGGTGACTCGGATCTATGTCTGGTTCTCCCATCTCCTCAGAGACCTTTGTTTCTGGCTTCCTGGGTGAGGGAGAGAGAGGGTGGAGAAGATTTTATGCGCAGGCCTAGAAGGAAGGTGTACCCAATTGGCCCACATTTCTTTGCTAGAATCTGGTCATGTAGCCTCAGCTTAACCTCAAGGGAAGGTATAATCTTCTTATATTTCCAGAAAGAGAACACTGACATGTTGGGCACCCGAACAGTCAGTGTATTCTGATTTGCCCACTTTACTTATACCCCTGAGACCAAGGTACAGCTGTTTCTTTAACTCCTTTTGGTCACTTAAGGAGTAAATAATTTTTTGGAGGAAGTCTTTACCTCTTGCAACATCTACTGTTTGCTTTTTCGACTTACTCTTTGTTCTTCTCTGCTCTGTCTGGATTCCCCCATTTTTTTTCCACTCTGGATTAGTTTATCATGTTTTTTTTTTTTTTTTTTCTTAATTTCTCAATCCTCTTTTTGGCCAAAACTAAATTTTGTTTTTGATTTTTTTTTTTCCCTATGGAAAACCTCAATCCTATCACTTTCTGCTTGCTTGTGGTGGACACGGCCACTTTTGCTCATAGCCAGGCAGCCCCTCCCCTTTCCAGGATTGCATAGTGCACATTAATTAGCATGAGAAAGAGCACTGAAGTGGTTGTGAATCTCATGCCACACACCAAGCTGTGCAAGAAATAGAATTTTCTTCCCATCTTACATTTCAACTTAATTTCCAGCTCCAAACCTTGATTCTGTTATACTGCGTAGGAAAAACTCAACCTCAGTCTTTCCTGGTCCCACCACTTTCTGGAATTGTGCCTCACACTCAGGTCCTAGGTATGGGCAAGACTTTGTGAAGGAAGGTAGATACGGCCCCAGTGAAGAGTTCACAAGGAGAGGAAGTGGCAGAGAAGACTGGCCATTTCAGGCTTGAGGAAGGGAAAATGCAAACAATAATTCTCAGAGGTAGGATTTGAGTACTTACACATCAAACTGTCAAACTACCCAAATGTCCAAATGTCACATCTTATTTTTTTTTTTTTTGAGATGTAGTCTCGCTCTGTCACCCAGTCTGGAGTGCAGTGGCACGATCTCGGCTCATTGCCACCTCCGCCTCCCGGGCTCAAGTGATTCTCCTGCCTCAGCCTCCCAAGTAGCTGGGACTGTAGGCGCACACCACCATGCCTGGCTAATTTTTGTAATTTTAGTAAAGACGGGGTTTCACCATATTGGTCAGGCTTGTCTTGAGCTCTTGACCTCAGGTGATCCACCTGCCTCGGCCTCCCAAAGTGCTGGGATTACAGGTATGAGCCACTGTGCCCAGCCTCTATTTTTCTTTTAAGTGTGACTGTATTATAAAAAAGAAAAAGTTCCCTTTCTCTGCCTTCATACCTATACATTGTACACTCAATTTCTCTTGATTAAATTTATGTAGATAAACACTATATGCTTTATACTTAGGCTCAGATCCACTGCGTTTGCTCTGAGCATGTTTCTCAGTTGCCTCCCCTCACCAGGATTCTTTGTGAGCTCAAGGGAATGCAGATTAATTTTAATAATCCATCTCCTTGGAGGTCTCAATGTTAGCCCCAGGCAGGAAATAGCATTTAGGATAGAATTTAAAATCTGGAATGGATTTGGTCAGGTGGAGATTGGTGGGGAAGGTACAGTAATCAGGAAGAAAATAGTTGGGCCGCTAATTTGTTAAAGATGGTTAATGAGGAAGTGCCTCACTAATGAGTATTTCCCTCCAGGAGTTCTGGATCACTTACTTTTTGCAAGAACTCTCTGCATGGACACGGAGTTTCATGGGGGCCTTCATTATGACATCCACAGCTTGTATGGCCACTCCATGGCAAGAACCACAAACTTGTAAGGACTTGGTTTTCACCCTAATTCCAGATATGTGGAGGTGGGAGGTGGAGGTGGAGGTTTTTCTTCTGTTCTATATGTAATATATTGTTCAAATATTTTTTGCATTTATAGAAATAGAAAAACTGTTCTTACAGAGTATTTAAGAGTTCCTCTCATATACACCCTGGTTTCTGTACAGGATTATCTTTGATTAGCTTATGGCTAAGGAGCTTATTTCAAGGATACTAGCAGGCAATACTATGTAAGGCATTTAGAGTCCTCAGCTAGAAGTCAGCTCTTGCTTGGATCCTTTTACTGAATGCACTAGGATTGCTTGATTTTAGCAAATAAAAATACAGGACACCAAATTAAATTTGTGTGGGACATTCTCATACTAAAAATTACTTGTTGTTTATTTGGAATTTGAATTTACCTGTATTTCCTTTATTTATCTGGAAATGCTACACCATATCCTTCTATTTCCTTCCCAATGTCCTGCTTGTCTACCTCATAATTCTCCCTTCTGCCCTAAGACACACACACATGCACACACACGTGCACACACAACTATCACCATCACCACCACCATTACCTAACACCATCACCATTGTCATAACCACACCATTACTACCACCATTATTGCCATCACCACCACCATCACTACCACTACTATCACCATCACCACCACCACAGTTATCACCACCATCCCCCCCACCACCACAATCACTATCACCATCACCACCACCCACCATGACCACCATTCACCATCACCATCATAACCGCTACCACTACCATCACCACCACCACTACCATGACCACCACCACCATCCCTACCACCACCATCACCATCATCACTATCCCCATCACCACCATGACTATCACCATCACCTTTACTGCTGTTGCCACCACCACCCATTATGAAAGTCTACCAAGGAGACAAATGTGTTCTGCAAATCATAACATCCTTTATATCTTGTCATGTAGATTGTTTACTTGTGACTTAGTAAATTGAGAAATAACTCCTCTTCTCACTGTGTAGTTTCTTCTGTGGAAGATGGTACAATACAATCATTATACCTAAGAGAGCAAGAAAATTTGGGGCCAGGCTTAAGATTTTAATTTGAATTTGCAGCACAGATGCGGAAACTAAAGAGCTGCTGTGGATCCTCCAGTGGCTTAGGAAAGAGCATCTTTGTCTTTCTCGGCTTCTTTCCCCCTGTTTTGGTGTTTCTAGAGCACTGTTGTGCTCTACAAGACAGGGAGACTTTGATGGGTTTATGGGGCCTGTCTCAGTCCTTTTCTTACTTGACTTCTCTTTCTCCTTGGTACTCAAGGCCATAACCACTCCTTTAAACTTAGCTCCTTCAGTCCTTAAGATACTGCTCTGCTGGCTTGGTGCGGTGGCTTACGTCTGTAATCCAAGCACTTTGGGAGGCTGAGGTGGGCAGATCACCTGAGTTCAGGAGTTTGAGACCAGCCTGGCCATCATAGTGAAACCTCGTCTTTACTAAAAATAGAAAAATTAGTCGGGTGTGGTGGCAGGCGCACCTGTAATCCCAGCTATTTTGGAGGCTGAGGCAGGAGGATCGCTTGAACCCGGGAGACGGAGGTTGCAGTGAGCCGAGATCACGCTATTGCACTCCAGCCTGGGCAACAAGAGTGAAACTCCGTCTCAAAAAAAAAATAAAAAAAGATACTTCTCTGCCTGGTGCCTCTGCTCTCTTTCCAGCTGTTCCCTCTCATCTGTGTGCCTGGATCTTTTCCATCAGCTCTTTCACTATTGATGATTCTTAGGAATCCATCCTCTGGCCTCTTCTCTTTACAGTCTATGCCAACACATAGGTAATTTATAAGTAATTTATTTCTTTTCATGGTTTTCACTGTAATTAATTCTAATGATTTTAAAATCTATAATTATACCTGAGATGTTTACCTAATTTTTAGACACAAATATCCAAAACAATCTTCTGACGTTGTCTACTTGGATGTTTTGTTTTTTTTTTGAGACGGAGTCTCGCTCTGTCGCCCAGGCTGGAGTGCAGTGGTGCGATCTCGGCTCACTGCAAGCTCCGCCTCCTGGGTTCACGCCATTCTCCTGCCTCAGCCTCCCAAGTAGCTGGGACTACAGGCAGCTGCCACCACGCCCGGCTAATTGTTTGTATTTTTTAGTAGAGACGGGGTTTCACAGCGTTAGCCAGGATGGTCTCCATCTCCTGACCTCATGATTCACCCGCCTTGGCCTCCCAAAGTGCTGGGATTACAGGCGTGAGCCACCGCGCCCGGCCTTACTTGGATGTTTTGTAGTACCTCAAATAGCATTCACCTTGCTCTGTTACCTGTTTTCACCTAATCTTCCCACTGTAGCTGATCATTTTTGAAGCTGTTAAATTCTTTTTTTTTTTTGAGACAGAGTTTCGCTCTTGTTGCCCAGGCTGGAGTGCAATGGCGCGATCTCAGCACAATGAAACCTCCGCCTCCCGGGTTCAAGCGATTTTCCTGCCTCAGGCTCCTGAGTAGCTAGGATTACAGGCATGCGCCACCACGCCCAGCTAATTTTGTATTTTTAGTAGAGACGGGGTTTCTCCATGTTGGTCAGGCTAGTCTCAAACTCCCGACCTCTGGTGATCCGCCCACCTCGGCTTCCCAAAGTGCTGGAATTGCAGGCATGAGCCACCACGCCTGGCTGAAACTCTTAAATTCTGTATCTTGGTTGGTAGCAACAGCATCCCTATATCCCAGACTCTCAAGTGAGAAGCATGAAGCCATCTTTTATGCCTTTTGTGCCCTCACATACGATCAGTCCTTGATCCTTTTGATGTTACTTTTGAAACATTTCTGTAACCACCTCCATTTTCCCCCCTTAATACTTCTTAATTAGGTTATCATCATCCCTCACACAAATCATTACACTAGGCCCAGAACTAATCTCCCTGACTTTACCCTTATCTCCCAGTAACCTACCCTCTACCCTTTCTACTTGAAGCATAGTCCAAGGAACAGCTGCATCAGCATCACCAGAAAACATTAGCATCTTGGACCTCAACCCTGAACTTAGTAATCAAAACCTGCATTTTATCAAGATCCCTGGGTGTATTGAACGTATGTTAAAATCTAGAAAGCACTGCTGTACATTCCTGAGAAAGTGACCT
The DNA here is from genome assembly GCF_000001405.40 of Homo sapiens. NCBI lineage: Eukaryota > Metazoa > Chordata > Mammalia > Primates > Hominidae > Homo > Homo sapiens. Next base: position 112,585 of record NT_187562.1, read on the forward strand.
TTCTAAAGCACTGTTTGCTCATTTCTCTCCCCAGTGTAAAATTATTTGTGCCTTGCTATTTTTTATACAGTGAAATTCTTAGCATAACCTATAAGGTACTTTATAATCGAACCCTTTCTTACAATTTTTCTCTCACCTTTGCATCTTCTTGTTCCCAAATCCAAGTGCTATTCATTCTTCCATGCCTTTCATGTGCTATTTGCCGTGCACAAGATGGCCTTCCTTACCCTGTCCATTTTGCAAAATATGCTTATCTATAAAACCTCATCTCCAATCTCAATGCTGGGAACTTTCCTGACAGTTCTAGGAAAAGATTATTTCCCATTTTCTGTGCCACATTTGTTCATATTCCAATATGCTTAGTATGCAAAAAACATGGTATCAAATTTTAGATGCTAATTTTCTCTCTGCTGGACTGTAAGCTTTTTGAGGGCAAAGTCAGCCCATATCCTTAGCCTTATCAATAGAGTGTGTACTGAAGACACTTTGTTGGATAAATGCCTGGCCTGAGAGAGAGAGGAAGGGCAGGACCCAGCACCTAGGGGACCTGATGACTTCGAGGCAGAGACTGGGTCGGTGTTATTTTCCAGCACTATTTTGTCCTCATGACTTTGCATTACATTAGATTATCCAGATGAGAGTTCTTGTCCAGAAAATGTAAAAGTTTGTATTTTGGTTAAAAAAAGAAAACCTCTAGGAAGAATGACATATATTTCTGATTCATTATCTTCTCTTTGTCTTTTCTCTCTCATTCTATTTTTCCTGAGAAATAAACTGGATAAATAAGACTCAATTTCCTCATCTCTGAAATGAGACTCGGATTGGTATTCCCATAATCTCCTGTTCTGATATAGTTTTATTCTTAGATGCTTCTATCTAAGAATGAGAAATGGGAAACAGAGTGAGTAGTCAGGGTAAGAAAGAGTAAGAAAGGGTTGGAGGAGGGGAAGAAAGTTTCAAATTACTTTTTTGCCCGTGACTCCATGTGGTAAAAGTGCTATAAATCAAGAATGGGTTGGTTAATATATTCTAATAGTTATGGTTAATAGTTAAAAGGTAATTGTGATTGAGCAAATAGTAGGTGTCTTTCTAATTTCTCTGGCCAGGCATAATGGCCTACGCTCCCAGAGGACAGTGGAGATAAGTGGAACTTGGTCTTTGGGCATGAGGCAGAGTGGATCAAAAAATGGATAACATTTTCATTCAATGGGATCTGGACATCAGAAGAACTAAAGTAATTGGTCTGATAAATATTTGGCTCAACCTTAAATGGAAGTATAGTCTGGGGACAGTGGGCCAACCAGGAATAAAATTATCCCCACCTCTAGGCTGAAAGCCGAAGGAGACTAGAGTCTTTCAGTGATCACAACCTGATTATAAATTGGCCAGACCTGGGGGATAGAAAAGAGAAAACTAAAAGACAGAAAATACAAAGCCTCTGAGTAAGACTGTTCCTTTAAGATGTTTAAAAAAAAAAAAAAACCCAGCAGTTATCTAATCTGTTTTACCACAGTACCAGCCTGCCTCTAAATAAACTGGAACCACAGATATCTTCAACCCTGTTTTGGTTTCACTCTGTGTAAGCTGAATGTGTTTCTTTCATGATTGATTACTGCAGAGTATAATAAACCTGCAGCCAGTGGTAATAAAAGCAAAGTGTCGGCCAGTCTACATTAAAGTAGAAGTGGGGATAGGAGTTGAGTGAGTCCTCTCCTCCAACCTACCCCTATTTTTGACAGTAAATTGTCAGAATGAAGCCCTTTACTTTCTTAAAGCAGTTTTCCGTTTCAAAATTTTCTCCCTTTTGCCATTATAAGCCATTCAGTATTTATAGACTCTCCAAACTTCCCAGGAAAATGAAGTGAGGAGGCCTTGGTGACTGTGATAGTGTATTGAGGAATTGCCTGGTGCCTGGTGATAAAGACTTGCAGAGAGAGGTTTTAGGAAAAGATACACTTGTCTCAGACCATGTATTAGAAAGCGGGAAAGAAGAGCTTGCCTGCGAAGAGCTGGCAGAAACTGTGGCGTGGCTCAGGTCTTACTGTCCTTTAATTGTATTATTGTTCAATTTTATAATTCTAATGGAAGATGTGGGCTTTTTACCACAGGGGGGAAAAAAGAAAAGAGGAGAGTCATTTCAATAAAATGCCTATTCAAAAGGTGTCCAGAATAAAAGCTAGGCAAACAGCCCACATCCAACCATAGGTCACCCCACTGTATGTTCATCTGTGCCCCTGAAGTAATTACCATTCTGAATTCTGTGCTTTTAATTTCTTTGCTTTTATTCCTTTTTTTTTTTTTTTTTGTCTGAGACAGAGCCTTGCTCTGTCGCCCAGGCTGGAGTGCAGTGGCACGATCTTGGCTCACTGCAACCTCTGCCTCTTGGGTTCAAACGATTCTGCTGCCTCAGTCTTCTGAGTATGAGTAGCTGGAGCTACAGGCGCACACCACCATGTCCAGCTAACTTCTGTATTTTTAGTAGAGATGGGGTTTCACCATGTTGGCCAGGTTGGTCTCGATCTCCTGACCTCGTGATCCACCCGCCTCAGCCTCCCAAAGTGCTGGGATTATAGGCGTGAGCCACCGCGCCCGGCCTGCTTTCATTTCTATATTGTTTTACGTAACATGTAATATTTTATTTATAATACAATGAAAATAATATTTTCTATGTTAGTTGTTTTTAACTTTATAGAAAGTATCAGATGCGATCTTTTGAGACTTACTCATTTCAATGACTCTTATTTTGCATAGATTAAAATTTGCTAACATTGAGAATTGCTAAGAATAAGTCTGAAGTTTCAGAGGAAGCCAGGGATAAGTTCTGAAGTTTCAGAGGTGTACCAGCTGGTGCATGAACTCTCCTCTTAGTCCAGCAGAGGGTGCAGAGCTCCCATCGGAGCAGGTGCTGTGCTGTACAGGATTATGCATGGCAGAAATTCATGGAACCAAAGGACATTAGAAAAAAGATGGGACAAGGAACTCAAATCATGGTTCCAATATACTGTTGACCAAAAGGACCAGACCACAACCAGATCCAACTAGACAGAGAAAACAAAATCGGGGAACGGAAGCCTAGAGAAATTGCTATGGGGGCTAGAATATAGAGGTTTGTACTGTCTTATATGAGATCTGAAATCTTACCCCAAAATGGGAAAGAAGCTCTTAGATAGTACTAAGTTTATGACACCTGGTTTATGACACCCTCATGTTGTTTTCTCAGTTTGGTTAGAAAGTCCATTGCTGCTCTTATTGTAAGGTGAGTCCTAGACATTCACAGCCCACCTCACACTCCACTGGATGTATTCCTTTCCAGAGCCCTGGAGACCATCTTCATGAATAATAGGAGCTTCATCTTATCCCGTTCTACTTTTGCTGGATCTGGCAAATTTGCTGCTCATTGGCTGGGGGACAATGCGGCCACATGGGATGACCTCCGATGGTCTATCCCCACTATCCTTGAGTTCAACCTGTTTGGCATCCCCATGGTGAGCCTTATTTCCAACCAGGGAACTTTAACCCTTTGTCTGTTGACATTCTTTTAATTAGCAGTCTTAGAGATTATCTGAAAAACCAAGGATCATGTTCCAAGGTGATATGTATTGGAAAGATCAATTTTTATGTGTTACGTGAGCTGCCTTCTGAAGATAGAATGGTAGTACTTTATCACTGAGTTGTCATCCATGGAATCTCTGAAGATAGGAAGGAGACAGCATGAATAAAATGTATTAGTATCACAGGAAAATTCCATCAAGAGAGCATTAGTAAATAAGAAAGTATGAAATTGGGAACTGAATATTAAGGAACAGCCTCAACACAAGGACCATTGTTTGCACTATCAGTAAGTCCGTGATGGATTCTATCTTGTTTCTCTCCTTTGGCTGGGAGTGTGCCCTGTGACTCTGGGATCTCCTTAAGCATGGGATGATGTGACAAAGAGGTTCTCTTTTCCCTTATCATATAAATCTTCACTACATGCTTTCGCCTCTCATTGACCACAGTGCTTGTATGTGTGCTAATTCTCCAGGTAGGTGCCAACATCTGTGGTTATAACAACAATGTCACAGAGGAGCTCTGCAGAAGGTGGATGCAGCTTGGAGCATTTTATCCACTACCAAGGAATCACAATGGGCCTGGGTTCAGGGTAAGGTCACCAAAAGAAGTGATGGAAACTTTTTGGATTAGCTAATCTACTGGCTCTTAAAGGGGATTTGAGGAAAATAGTACTACAGGTTGGCACTAACTGCAGCAGAAGGATAAAAAAGTCTTGTATCATAGCCTTAAAAAGCAGGGTATCAATCAAGGTGAGGGTGCATTGGAAGGGATATGTATATACTGAAAGATTTTATTCTTGGAAACTCACCAACAAAGTGAGAAGATTTGTTAAAGTTTCTATGGTGCTGCCATGACTTCTGTTCTATCCTATATAGGATAGGACAATTGGAATTTGTTGGTATTTTATTTCAGTTAATACAAGGGAAATCCCTCATAGGTATGGAGGAACAAGGAGAAAGAATTTAAAGAGGCTTAGGCCAGTGATCTCAACATTTCTTTCCCCTTGTTACAACATTCTACCTTTCTATGAAGAGTTTGGAGGACTTGCCAACTACTTCTCATGACTCATTCCACCTTTAGGCTCGTCTACCCAAAATAGTATTTTCGATGGGCAAGTACATGGAAGTGGGTTCAAAGTCCCCCCTAAGGAGGTGTTTATGATGGTAGCAGAAGCAAGTAGGGTGAGATGTCCTTTCTTTTAATAAAGTAATCTTAAGTTGAAATATTTCCAATTGAGTGGTTTAGCTCTTAATAGGTTCATTAGAATAACTTCCTAATGATAATTTTAGCTCCAATTCTTGACTTTGTCTTTAACCCAGGAAGGATTAACAGTCAAACCTTCAAAGTATTTTATCCCTGGGCTTTTCTGGCCACTTGTGATCTAGAGAGAGATGAACTATTTCTAAATGTCTTAAGCAGGTGGCTGGGAGCAGGTGGGTGGGTGCTCTTCATGAAGCTGTGTCCTGGAAGACTTACATAGGTAAGAACACTCAGATAACCCAGGAAGCTAGGTTTAAGCACGTATGTCCTTTTGATTAAACTAGCTCTATTCAATAAAATTATAAGGAGAGCCACATATGTCAGTTTAAATTTGAAAAGTACAAAAAGGCTGGGCACGGTGGCTCACACCTGTAATCCCAGCACTTTGGGAGGCCAAGGTGGGAGGATCACCTGAGGTCCGGAGTTTGAGACCAGCCTGACCAACATGGAGAAACTCTATCTCTACTAAAAATACAAAATTAGCTGGGTGTGGTGGCGCATGCCTGTAATCCCAGCTACTTGGGAGGCTGAGGCAGGAGAATCTCTTGAACCGGGGAGGCAGAGGTTGTGGTGTGCTGGGATCGCGCCATTGCACTTCAGCCTGGGCAACGAGAGCAAAATTCCGTCTCAAAACAAAACAAAAAAAAAAACAAAGTACAAAGAAACAGGGACATTGTTTTAAAAATACTTTATATAGCTCAATGTGTATCTATATGTGTGTGTGTGTCTGTATATTACATAGCATTATCATTTCAACCTGTGTTTAATACAAAATATTATTAATGAGCTATTTTATATCCTTTTCATTCTACTAGGTCTTCAAAATTTGGTATGCATTTTACACTTGTAGCATATCGCAATTTGTATGCTAAGATTTTTTGTATGCAGTTGAAGTAAAATGCAATTCTACCAAAGCAATAAAGTTGGTTTAATGGAAAAAAAATTTACGTTGATTCAGTTTTAAGATTTATATTTAAAGTAACTATCATCAAATAAAATGGAAAGTTTACTTCCTCAGTCTCAATAAACATAGTTCAAGTGTTCAATAGCTTCATGTGGTTCATGGCCACCATAGTGGACAGCACAGCTCTGGGCTTTTGTCAGTTGACAACCAGGGTGATGGAGGCTGTGGAGTGTTACTCTCTTTAATGTTTGGCCTCAGAGTTTTCATGAGCCCTACACTGGGTGCATAGAGTGGTCTCATGGAGTCATTCTATTTAGAGGGGGAGAAATGGGCCTCTTAGGGAGCAAAAGAAAAAAAAGTTCAGGTAACTTTATCCAAAACTCAGTCTCAGTAACGCAGTATAGGATGACAAGTCAAAAGATGACGTGTATGTCTTTCACATCTTCCAAATTATATGGAAAATGAACAAAATGAATGCCGACCATTGACGGAAAATTTTCATCTCTGGGTCCATGGAAAATTAGATTTTTCTTCTAATGGGTTATTTTTTTACTCTTGGATAAAATCTGCTAAAAACCATCGTCATAATTTATTTGCACAATGTATGTCAAAGAACAAATAGAGGTCACTAATCTTTGGGATAGGGAAAATAAAACAAATGTTGATGGTGGAAACATTACAGATAAAACTGGACAAAAAATGTTAAAATTAAAATTCATACAAGCACATGGAAAGGAAATGATGGATTACAGACCATGGTGGCAGGCAATGTGGCTTATAAGGCAATGGATTTTTTTTTAGTAGTAGTACAACTTATATTATTTCCCAAATAAAATATGAGAAACCTCAATATGTAAAATAAATTGGAGCAACCCTGGAGGGAGCAAGTCCCACTTTATCTCCATGGCAACCCCTGTGGGACTTCCATTTCACTCTGGGGCTGCTACAAACTGCCTCAGAAGACAGACACCAATTTTTTTTTTTTTTTTTGAGACAGAGTCTCATTCTGTTGCCAGTTTGGAGTGCAGTGGCACGATCTCAGCTCACTGCAACCTCCAACTCCCTGGTTCAAGCAATTCTCCTGCCTCAGCCTCCCGAGTAGCTGGAATTACAGGCACGTGCCACCACACCCAGCTAATTTTTGTATTTTTAGTAGAGACAGGATTTCACCATGTTGGCCAGGATGGTCTCCATCTCCTGACCTCGTGATCTGCCTGGCTCGGCCTCCCAAAGTGCTAGGATTACAGGTGTGAGCCATTGCGCCTGGCCGATAGACACCAAATTTAAACTCTGCCACTTGTTTGCAATTCTACATTGGGAAAGTCATATAATCCTTGATATTGTTTTCTCATGTATAAAATGAAGGAGTAGGATTAGTATCTTTTCAGTTCTAGAAATGCTTTGATATTCTCCAAGTTGGAGGAAGTGGCTAGTTTCATCTGGGAAACTTATTGTAAGAGAACTTCTGAACTATGATGGAAAGAAATATTCAGCCATTCCTTCCATTTTCTCCTAGGACCAGGATCCCGCTGCCTTTGGTGTTGATTCCCTGCTGCTGAAATCCTCCAGACATTATCTGAACATCCGCTACACCTTGCTGCCCTATCTCTATACCCTTTTCTACCATGCTCACACCCGGGGAGAGACGGTAGCAAGGCCCCTTGTACATGAGTGAGTTTCCTGATTCTCAAAGACTCCCTTTCTGATTGTAGTTTCACTTGACTTTGTTTGTGGTAGCAAGGTTAGTTAGGATCTTGTTGTTACATAATGTGCCATTGTCCTGTATTAGAGACTTCACCTGCCTTCACTGTGCTACCTCTTTACTAGGTTCTACCAGGACTCAGCCACGTGGGATGTGCATGAGCAGTTCTTATGGGGACCTGGACTCCTCATCACGCCTGTTTTATATGAAGTATGTTTATCATCTAAACAATGAAAGGGGGTATTGCACTTGTCCTCATGGTTCTATAGCTGGATAAGTTGGTTCCTATCTATGACTGCATTTATATCAAAATATGAATATAAATGAGAGAGCTCATGAAAGTTTAGAAATTTTTTAAAAAGTAGTAAATCTTGGTCCCATTGCCCCACCAAACAAAACAATTTTCATGTTGTAAAATTGCCTTAAAATTAAAGCCTAAGTCCTTAGGCATATGGCTGCAGCATTGACAATGGCTTTAAATACTTTGGGGTGTATGTGCTGAACATCTGTCTATAGTTTCCTTTGTCCAGAGCGGGTGTGCTCTTGGATTGGGTTAGGCTGGGCTGCGAAGAGAGAATACCTGTGGAGAAGAAAAGGGAGGGAGAGAGGAGTGCTGGGCAAAGGGAAGGCGATGCTCTGAAGTCCAACTATGAAGGACCATGTGTATCCTATTAAGTGTGATTGGGAGCAGGGGTAAGTGGCAAAGTGTGGGACAAGGATCAGGAAGGATTATGCTGATCTGCTTGTAAACATGAAATATTGCCAGTGTAGCCATGTCAAAGGCCCTTTGAGCTGTTGTTATAGCCACACTATCTGATGACAGGTCCTGCTAACCAACCAGTGGCCCTGCTGGGAGGCTTTCCTGGGGCCTGGCTGGCTCACTGTCCTCCCAACTGTCAAATTATGTGACTAACTCAGTGAATGGACTTTCTCTGCTTCTCTTAGAAAGTGCAGCAGCATTGAGCAAAACAAATCATTTTTAGCTACATTCTGCTTTGGGTAAATTGCTCAACCTTTATGTGTCTGTGTTTTCCTTTGTAGAATGGGATGATCTCAACCATCTCTCAGGATTGTTCAGATAGGCACATGTAATGATGCCTGGAGGTGTTTTGTAAACTGTAGAGAGGGGTATGCTAATGCTACTCATTATTGTTGTTTACCTAGGGTGTGGACGAAGTGAAAGCATACATACCTGATGCCACCTGGTATGACTATGAGACAGTAAGTAAGGCAGCCCTGGTTGGCTCACAGACCTGCCTCTAGCAGAGGGCAATTCTAAAGCAGCAGTCTTGGGAGCTTGCCATAGAATAATAGTACAAGATTTATAGTTAGTTGATTGTGGTCCTTTTTCTGTGAGAAAGGCATCTTAGTTGGTTCAGGATGGTGCAACAAAACACCTTACACTGGGTAATTTATAAACAACACAAATTTATTGCTCACGGTTTTGGAGGCTGGCAAGTCCAAGATCAAGGTGCTGGCAGATTCCGTGTCTGGTGAAGGCCCTCTCTGCTTCACTGATGGCACCTCCTTGCTCCTCCCTCATGACTTAATCACCTCACAAAAGTCTCCCCACCCCTTAATACTATCACTCTGGGTATTAAGTTTCAACATATAAATTTTGAGGGTACACCAGCATTCAGACCATAGCAGAAGGCCTTTCCAAATGTACAATGAAATAATTTGAATAACTGGAGTAGGTTTATGGAAATTCATTATATCAACCTGGCTATTGTGTAGCTATCAAGACTGGGCTTTGTCATTTGGCTGTGGTAGCCTAGCAATTGAAGCCCAGGTGTGGAATGACAGCTTGATGTAATGTAAATAAATAAAGGGGATTGGAGTGTCAGCTCTGCCCTCTACTACCCATATGCTTTCAGCAAGTCACTTCACTTTGGGGTTCTCTGTTTGTCTCTTCTTTAAAATATGTCAACTGAATGAGATGATACCTAAGGCCCCTCCTAGCTGAAACAGCTTATTACCTGATCTATCTTTTGTTGTTGTTGCTGATTAGGGAGTGGCCATCTCATGGAGGAAACAGTTGGTGAATATGCTTCTCCCAGGTGACAAGATAGGACTTCATCTGCGAGGGGGCTACATATTTCCCACTCAGAAGCCAAACACAACCACAGAAGCCAGGTAAGCTCCTTACTCTTCTAAGGTATGACTATTCTGGTGCTCTAATGGAGCAGGGCATTATGAGAAAGACAAATAGGGATTTTTGTGGATGAGCCAAGGGATAAGTCACCCATCAGTAATCTTCCCCCACTCCTTTCAAAATTGATCCAAAATTGGCATCTTAGTCCCTATTTAGTAGATGGTAGTCTGCTAAGGACATCTGCAGAGTGTTTCACTTTGGGATTGAATCAGATTATAGGACTAGTCAAAGTAATCACTGAGGAGGATTTCCCTATGGCCAGAAATTGTCCTTAGGTATATTCCCTACCGTGTGAGAGAATTTGAGTTAAATAGGAGATAAAGGTTATCACGTGGAAGCCAACACCGTTTGGGGGTCAAGAGCTCAGATTCTACAGAACCTGGGTTCAAGCCTTGGTTTGGGCTACATACTAGATGTGTTTACCTTGGGTAACTTACTTCTCTGTGCTTCTGCTTATTATTGGTAAACTGGAGATGATGATAGTTTAACTTTGTAGAGTTATTATGAGGGTTAAATGAATTAATATAAATGATAATGTGTGCGGGACACTTAGAAGAGTGCCTGGCACATGGTAAACACCTAATGAGGCTAATTGTTGGTATTATGTATTGCAACCCAAACAGTTGCCTGTAGGAACTGCCTCTGTCCACCCTTCCCTTTATGTCCACTCACTATCAACCCCTGCTGCCTGCCCACACCCAGCTCCCATGTGTCCACCCAATATCAACATCTACTCAGTTTCTGGTATAGACTCTTGGATTATCTGTCCCTGGGGGATGAAGGTGGCTGGTTTCACATAGTTCCATCTCATCTACATTCTCTGAAACTGGGAAGTACTCTTTTACAGCCGGAGGAATTCCCTGGGACTCATCATCGCCTTGGACTATAAGAGAGAAGCAAAGGGGGAGCTGTACTGGGATGACGGTGTATCTAAAGGTAGACTTTCTCAAGGCACCATCCCTGTGGATCACTGTGGTTCTCCCTGAAAATTAGTCATCATAGGCTGCCCAATATGGCACTAACCCTATTAGCACTGTCGTTTACATCTGTAGCTGAGAATCAACGGGTTAAAATCCATTCTGAAAATTCCATTAGCCAGGCACAATGCATTAAAATAGACTTCAAATGCACAAATTATGTGTTACTGACTCTACCAAAGCAACTGGCATTATTTCATTTAGCTTAATTATTCTCTTCCTTGGATATTAATTATTAATAACAGATAATACACTTTTTAATAGCTTTGGAAAATACTGCTTTGGTTTGTGGAAGAAATATCTAATTTGTATTGTATGTCTTTTCACTGTAAGGTTTCCATGTAAACACCTCACATGAACTTATGTGATTATATAAAAATCCTGTCCTACATGGAATTAGTATGTATTGTGTAGGCCTTGAGGAACTCATGATCCAGCAGGATAGATACAATGCACACATAGATAAATACAATGCAAATCAAAATGTTTTACATGCCAGCGAAATGGTACCACAGACTGACATGTGAATTTAGAGAAAATGGTCCAGGAAATATTTGCAGAAGTTTGAAAAAAATGCACAGAACTCAGATGAGCAGAACTAGATGGTTGGTAAAGGAATTCCAGATGAAATGAAGAGAAGAGCAGGACTCCCTGGCTGATTGGCTTCCCATAGTAACCGGTACTCCTCTTTCTTTTTTAGATGCTGTGACTGAAAAGAAGTATATTCTATATGATTTCTCTGTTACCTCTGTAAGTATTTTGTTTGAGGAACACACAGCATATGTTCCTTGCTGGGAAGGCTCTTTGAGTTTTTAGTTTAATATAGACACATGGTTATGTGCAGCAGAGACAGGGTTTTACTGTCATGATTCCAAAAAGGAATCAAATGAACATGAAAGTGTTTAATGTGTGTCAGGCTTATAAGCTGCTACAAAACCAATATGAGTTCTGTGCAGAACTTTTTTTTTCCTGGAAAAAAAAACATTACCTTTGAGTTTTATGTGATGGGTGCTGGCTTCCAAGATGTGCCTTTTTTGAGGTTTGCAAGTGTATATGAGGTGTGAGTGGGTTAGTGAGTGGTATGGCACATTTTTAAGGTTCTTCCATAATGGCTGTCCTTTGTAGCACGTAAAACTTGGCCTTTGGCACGGGTATAAAGTAGCGGCTTTTAAAGGCTGGAAGATACAGAACATCACTTGCCTCATATCTATTTCCCAAGGGGACTGAGAGAAGAAAAAGCAGCAAGGCCAGCAGAAAATGAGGGAATTCTGACTTGATTTTCTTAGAAGCCTGATCATATATGGGCAGAACTTTCTTTTGAGGCGGTCTCTCTCTCTTTCTTTTTTCTCCTTTCTTTTAAATGTGTATATATGTATCTGTACCTATACATATAAAAATGGATCTACTTTAAGATATAGAATATATATAATTTATATATAAGGTATAAAAAATATATATCTTAAAGTAACTCTTTTATTTTGAGATAATTAAAGATCCCCATGCAATTGTAAGAACTAGCACAGAGTTCCCATATACCCCTTTGCCCAGTTTCTCCTATGGTAACATCTTATAAACCTATAGCACAATTTCACAAGCAGAATGCCGGCATTGATGCTATCGAGATACAGAATATTTCATTAGCACAAAGATCTTTCCTGCTGCCCTTTAATAGCATGTCCACTTGCTTCTTCCCCAATCCCTCCTCAGCCCCTGGCAACCAATCATCTGTTCGCCATTTCTATAATTTTGTCCTTTCAACAGTGTTCTGTAAAGAGAACTAAACTGCTTGCAACCTTTGGGATTGGCTTTTTCATTCAGCATAGTTCCCTCAAAACCCATCCAAGTTGTGTGTGACAACAGCTTGCTCCTTTTCATTGCTGAGTGGTGTTCCAAGTTATGGAACCTTTTAAAAATCACTCACTTGATTAATAGTATCTGGGATGGCTCCAGTCATGAGCTGTTACAAATAAATTAAAATTGCTACTAACACTCATGTATAGGTTTTGGTGTGAACATAAGTTTGTTTTTTTGTTTTGTTTTGCTTTGAGAGGGAGTCTCACTGTGTTGCCCAGGCTGGAGTGCAAGGGCACGATCTCAGCCCACTGCAACCTCCGCCTCCTGCGTTCAAGAGATTCTCTTACCTGAGCCTCCTGAGTAGCTGGGATTACAGGCATGCACCACCATGCCCGGCTAATTTTTGTATTTTTAGTACAGATGAGGTTTCACCGTGTTGGTCAGGCTGGTCTCGAACTCCTGACCTCATGATCCGCCCGCCTCACCTTCCCAAAGTGCTGGGGTTACAGGCGTGAGCCACCGTGCCTGGCCATAAGTTTTTATTTCTCTTTAATAAGTGCCTAAGAGTGCAGTTGCTGGGTCTTATGGTAATGCATGTTTAGTTTTATAATAATCTTCCAAACTGTTTTCCAGAATGGCTGTACCATTTTCACTTCCACCAGCAACATATGAGTGATCTAATTTCTTTGCATCATGGCCAGCATCTGATGTTGTCACTATTTTTTTAGGCTTTTCTGATTGGTGTGTAGTTACAGCTCATTGTGTTTTTAATTTGTATTTCTCTGATGGCTAATGATGTTTAACATCTTTTCATATGTCTATTTACCATCTATATATTTACATTTTTAATTTTGATGAATCTAATTTATCATTATTTTCCTTATAGATTGTGCTTTTTGATGTCAAGCTTAAGATCTCTTCGCCAAGTCCTAGATTCTGAATATTATCTCCCATTTAAAAAAATATAGTCTTACCTTTTACATTTAAGTCGTGATCTATTTTGAGTTAATTTTTATATAATATGTAAGATTTAGGTTGGGGTTCAACCTTTGACCTGTGTATGTCCAGTTGCCCCAGCACCTTTGTTGAAAAAAATCTGTCTTTGTAAAAAATCATTTGGGCATATATGTATGCGACTTCTAATTTTTTAAGTTATCAAACTGCTACTTTTTTCTTCAGTCTTAATTTCTACCTTCTTCTTTGTCATAGCTCAACTGTGTCACCTTTGTTCCCTAAATAAGTTATTTAATTTTCTGTGTTTCAGTCTCCTCATCTGAAAAACGAGGGTAATTATAGCTTCAACCTCATAGCCTGCCGTGAAAACTGAATGAAGTAATACATGTCAAATGCTTAGCACAGTGCCTGTCACATAATACACACTCAGATTATTCTTAGCTCTTATCATCATTATTAGTAAAATAAAAGGAAGAAAATTACTTGGGCCCTTTTGGTGTATATGTGTATGTCTTTATCTTTGTGTGCCAATGAGGCTCTTATCTTTTTGTTTACTGTGTGAGTACCTATCTCGTCTGCTTGAAAATTCTACAGTGTCAGGGACGTATTTTCCGATTAATAGAATCAGTAAAGAACCAGTGAACAAAAGCAAAGATGAAATATTACTTAAAAATTTAAGATTGATAAGAGTCTGAGTGAACGAGTTCCCTAGGGATGATGACCTAGCAACATTTGAAACTGCAGAGAAAAGGAAACAGCTTGGATCACAGAAATTGAGACATTGACTGGTATTTGGGGATAATAAGGGTCTGAAGTACCTGGTTTCCAATCTGACTTTTTTTTCCCCTCCCAGAACCATCTACAAGCAAAGATTATAAATAATAATTATATGGACACTGACAACCTCATGTTCACAGATATCACAATCTTGGGAATGGACAAACAGCCAGCTAATTTTATCGTCCTACTGAATAATGTTGCCACCTCCAGTCCAAGCGTTGTCTACAATGCTTCCACAAAGGTAAGAGATCCTTCCATTCTGCAGGGCCCTTTCCAGAGGCCTTGGCTCTGACAGCCAGCCCTACTTTGCTCTTTTAACTGTGGGCAGTCAGACACAACTGACTTGCTGGGAGGTCCAACACATCACAGAAAGGATGCAGGAGAAACGTGTGCATGCTAAAGAAAGACCTCTCTGCTTTGTTTGTATCAGGGCTCTGAAGAAAATAGCGGGAGTCGGAACCCCGAGAGAAGGAAGTTCTTCTCTGGGCGCAGTTAAAATGAGACACTCTGATCCCAGCTGTGACATAGTGAATAGATTGTGCAATGGGTATTTACACATTGGTCCTCTCATTGAAGGGAGAATCTCTTTGAGAAACAGTTGATATTTGTCCTTACCGTTTTAGGCTATTTTCATACCATTAATAAAATGTGAGTGGAGTAACGCAAGGAGAAATCCAGTTTTGCTCTTACTGAATGATTCCCTTACACTGTTAGTTGAATATTTCAAGTTCTGGGAAATTTGTTATTTCTTAGATCAGCCCCCTTCCATGTTGACAAGACCTATAGCATAGAATAAGAGTTTGATTTCTAGAGTTAGGCAGAATGGGGCTCCAATCTCAGCTCTTAGGGTATTAGGTGTCTCTGTATCTTAGTTTTCTGTTCTGTAAAATGGAGATAGTCAAAACATTCACAGCATGGAACTGCTGTCTAGGATTAATGGAGATCATGCTTATAAAGTGGTTATCACAGTGCTTGGCTTGTATGAATGCTCCATAAACTTTAGCTATTGTTGTTATTACTACTTTTATTAAATTGGTAAGCATCACACCCAGAGGACAGTAAGCCTAACCATGACAGTCCTGCCTGTGATCTGCACTCATTAGCATGATGAAAACTCTTCCCATCCAACACTTCCACAATGACTCCATGAAGTGAGAAAACCCAGGAATCAGCCAAGTTCTGAATATCTCATGGCAAAATGGTTTTGGAGGAAGGAATAGATGCCCTTGTCCTGACTTCCAGACTTCCAGCCAAGAACTCTTTCTGGGTGGCTTTCCCTCCCTTCCTTTGTCACTGTGACTGTCTCTTTCCCCAGGTGGTAACCATCACTGATCTCCAAGGACTGGTACTGGGACAAGAATTCTCTATTAGGTGGAATCTTCCTGTCAGTGACCTGGAGAAGTTCAACTGCTACCCTGATGATCCAACAGCCTCTGAGGAGAGTTGTAGGCAGCGGGGGTGTCTTTGGGAGGTAAATGACCAGAAACAGATTACCTCATTGATTAGGAAGTAATTAGGCACCTAGAAAACACTTTTCAAATGTCTGTGGCTTGAAGAAAACCAGGACCCTGTGCAACACGCCTTTTGCCAACTCTACATGATAGGTCATCAGTATTTTCCTCAGACATCCCAAATCAGAAGAAACTTATTGCCATTCTCATTGCCACTCCAACCATATCATTAAAAACCCAATTTTAAACATAATAATGTACATTGGGTATGCATTATGCATTGTCTATTTTAACCAATCTTGTTTTGTCTGTTGGAGAACACAAGCAGGAAGGGTAAGGTCAGGCTGTTCCTGTCTATTTGAACAACAGAGAAAATGGAAACTAGGAAGCCAAGTGATTTCCTCTAGATTACATGGGAGGCAATAAGAACACTGGGAGTAGAACCCTGCCTGGAGGCTCCTGTCTCCCTATCAAACTTCCTGGTGCTCTGTCACGGTTCACTCATTATAGAAGGTCAGTGTGTGTGTTTAAAAAAATGGATGTGTTCATTTGCTAGGGTTACCATAACAGAGTACCACAAACTGAGTGGCATAGAATGACAGGAATTTATTCCTTCAAAATTCTGGAGTCTAGAAGTGGGATCATGGTGTCAGTGGAGCTGGTTCCTTCTGAGGACCTTGAGGGTATTTCTTTGCTTGTAGATGCATCATCCCACTCTCTGTCTTCATAGTCACATGTGTACATGTCTATCTCTGTGTCCAAATTTTCCTTATTAATAAGGATACCAGTAATACCGGATCAAGGCCTATCCCAATGACCTCATCTTAATTTGTTCATTGCAGAAACCCTACTTCCAAATAGTCACATTTACAGGTATCAGGGGTTAGGACTTAACATCTTTTTTAGGGGACACAATTCAACCCATAACCATGGACATGGTATTAGAGACTTAGTCTGTGTTAACCAACTTCTTCAGTAATGAGAGCCTTAGTGTTGTATCAGAGGCTGAGCAAGACTTTCTCCTGTTATTCCAGGACACATCTACTCCTGGAGTGCCCACCTGTTACTATGACACCATCCCTAATTATGTTGCTAGTGATATTCAGTACCTGAACACCAGCATCACTGCAGACCTTTCCCTCCCGATGGCCCCTGAGTCAGCTGCTGCTGCCGCCTCTGATTCTCTCTCTGCAAAGATCAGCTTCCTCCACCTGAAAGTGATCTATCACACAGCAACCATGCTGCAGGTCAAGGTAAGGCCCATGTTGCAGATTCTGGTTCTCAAGATGGAGTTTTTAATTTACAGTGCTGTATGGATAGAAGTCATTGAAACAATTAAAACATTTTTTTTCTTTTCAAGACAGGATCTCCCACTGACACCCAGGCTGGAATGCAGGGGCACAATCTCAGGTCACTGTAACTTCCACCTCCCTGGCTCAAGCCATCTTCCCACCTCAGCCTCCCAAGTAGCCAGGACTATAGGTGTGCTCCGACACACCTGGCTAATTTTTGTATTTTTTGTAGAGACGGGGTTTTGCCTTGTTTCCCAGGCGGTCTCAAATGTCTAACCTCAAGCAATCCACCTCCCTCTGCCTCCCAAAGTGCTGGGGTTACAGGCATGAGCCACTGTGCCTCGCTGAAACAGCTTTTCATCCAAATCCCTCATGTTATGGATGAGGGAGCTAAGGCCTGTAGAGAGGTAAAGGTCGGAAAGTAGACGGTAAAGCCAGGATGTGGCCTTAGATCTATGAGGACCATGAATTCCCTATAATGATGAGTATTCTAGGTCATAAACATCATCAAAGAATCATCATTTAGCCCTGAGAAAAATGGATCTGCTTTGTGGCAAACTCACATGAGAGGCATTAACTTAATTCTAATATTAGAATTATTTTCTCTAGCAGTAGTTCTCAAACTGCAGCATGCATCAGAATCACCTTCAGATCATTTTAAAACCCAGATTTCTTGCCCTCACCCCTAGGGTTTCCAATTCAGTAGACCTGGGCTGGGGCCTAGCCTGAGGATTTGCATTTCTTTCTTTTTTTTTTTTTTTGAGACAGAGTTTTGCTCTTGTTGCCCAGGCTGGAGTGTAGTGGTGCGATCTTGGCTCACTGGAACCTCTGCCTCCCGAGTTCAAGCGATTCTCCTGCATCAGCCTCCCAAGTAACTGGGATTACAGGCACCCGCCTCCACGCCCAGCTAATTTTTTGTATTTTAGTAGAGATAGGATTTCACCATGTTGGCCAGGCTGGTCTCGAACTCCTGACCTCAGGTAATCCACCCACCTTGGCCTCCCAAAATGCTGGGATTACAGGCGTGAGCCACCACGCCCGGCCTCGAGAATCTGCATTTCTAACAAGCTCCCAGGTAAGGCTGATGCTGCAGGTCAAGAGACCAAACTTTGAGATCTACCGCTATGCACATTTAAAAAATACGTCTACTGGAAACATAATGTGAGCCACACATATCTTCCAGTAGATGCATTTTTAAATGTATATTTTAAAAGGGAAATTAATTTTAATAATATTTTAACCAATGCGCTAAAATATTATCATTTCACCTTGAAATCAAAATTTAATGGAGTTACTTTGCCATCTTCTAATTATTCTAAGTCTTCAAAATCTGGTGTATATTTTGCATTTCTAGTGAATCTCAATTCAGACTAGCCCATGTCAGGCACTCAAAGGCCATGTGTGGCTTGTGGACAGCACCTTGGACAGCTCAGCTGTAGCCATTGCTTTCCACATTTTAATGTATCATGAATCACTGGGGCAGCTTGTGAAAATATAAGTTCTAATTCAGAAAATCTGGGTTGGGGCCTGAGGTTCTGCGTTCCTAACAAGCTCCCAGGCAATGCTGCTGCTTTGGGTCTAAGAAACATAATTTCCAAGCAGGACTTTAGAAAACCTTCACCTGGCAAGGTGTGGTGGCTCACACCTGTAATCCCAACACTATGGGAGGCCGAGGCAGGTGAGGTCAGGAGATCAAAACCATCCTGGCCAACATGGTAAAACCCCGTCCCTACTAAAATACAAAAAATTAGCCAGGCCTGGTGGTGCGCACCTGTAGTTCTAGCTACTCAGGAGGCTGAAGCATGGGAATCACTTGAACCTGGGTGGTGGAGATCGCAGTAAGCCGAGATCGCACCACTGCACTCCGAGCTGGCGACAGAGTGAGAATCCATCTAAAAATAAAAATAAAAAAAAAGAAAGAAGAAAACCTTCACCTAAGCACAAATTTGGGACTAATAATATGACAAAGAGGATAGTCACTCATAATGTTGTAACTCCTTGTCCTTCCATAACATTTTTCACTCCTTTTATTCTTCCCACACTTCAGTCCTGTTACATAAGTAGGAACAAGGGGTGGATACAGAAGAGAAACTTTAGGAATGGGAAAGCTGTACAACATCTGGAAGCTCAAACAGTGAGGAGATCTCAGAGTCCATATGAAAACTCAATTCCCTAATTCCTAACATGCATGCACACACACACACACAAATTTACACATTTCTATGCACATACATGTCTGCATGCCACACACTTACAAACATATACACACACATTCTATTTATGAAATTCTATCCCCTTCTATCACAGATTCTTTAGAAGAAGAGCCCTCCTTGGCTTTGAATGGGTTTTACTGAGGCAATTTTTGAACTTCAGCATCTGTATGGGGCACAGTGGGCAGGCAGGCCTCACATCCATTCGCTTGGGGATGTTTGATGCCTACTGATATGGTGCAAACTGGTCAAAAACATGGAAACTGAATTATATGGGGTGGCATGAGGGGTTTTAGGTCTGAGACCCTAACAGAAAGTTTTCTTCTCTCTTCTTGCCAGATCTATGACCCCACTAATAAAAGGTATGAGGTTCCAGTACCACTGAACACCCCTCCCCAACCAGTTGGTGACCCTGAAAACCGTCTGTATGATGTCAGGATTCAGAACAATCCTTTTGGAATCCAGATTCAACGCAAAAACTCCAGCACTGTGATGTAAGCACTATTTATTTGATTCTAATTAGAGTAGTTCTAGATTTAATTACAGCAGTTACAATTAATTCAAGTGAAATATTAATCTCAGAGACTCTATGGAAATAGGTGTGCATTTGTTAGAGTATATCTATTTTTCCCATGCTTTAATGGATAATTTGTTTTTGGTTAGTCATTAACAAAAATAATCAATCAAAGTTTAAAGAAATGAAGTATTGTTTGATTTCAGAGAAAGAAAAATACATGTTCTACTTACTGTTCTTAAGTAGAACAGAAAACTCTAATAAGTACAGCAGATAACCTAAGATACAAATGAGTTCCATATTATGTCTCATTAAGAAATAATAAGAGGCAGGAGAGAGGGGCAAAGGTTAAAAAGGAGAAAGAAATAGCTTCTTGTAACGTTTGCTTCTGTGGACACAGAAGCCTTCAAGCCTTTTCACAATGTTAAGCATAAAAGGAATTGTCATCTCCCATCTCTTGTCCTGCTGCTGAATAGAATGAAGTGAAAGTCTGGATTTTGCCTGGGGTGAGGTTCCCTATCCCAGTAGAAGCTGTCACCTGTGTGTGCACCTTTGCCTTCCTGTGTATGTCTTCTCTCTTGGGCTGTGTGAGTGATTTCCTCTCTGTTGCCCTCTTTGGTAAGAAGTCCTTTGGCCAACTCAAGAGAAGTTGTTCTAAGAGTTTCATGCTTTTCTATTGGAAAGTTTGCTTAAACTCTATTTGTTTATTTATATATTTACTCAAGCTGATATTCCAGGCACTGAGAACTTGAAATAAATAGAAGAATGAGTTATGGCCCTTGCCCACAAGGACCCAGAAAAGGAGCTCTCAGTCTGACAAACCACAGAACAGAAATCTAACATGGAACTTTGGTCCTGAGTCAGGGCCATTGTTATGACCTGGGTCATGTCACAGTATTTGAACCTGGATCTAAATGTGCAATAATTAAGGAGGCTTTGGAATCAACTAGACATTCCAAACACGTTCCAAGTAGCTCTGGCCAGTGGTCTCCAGCTCAGCGTGATCTGCTTTTGTGTTGCAGTTGGGATTCTCAACTCCCTGGCTTCATCTTCAATGACATGTTTCTCTCCATTTCTACGCGTCTGCCGTCCCAGTACATCTATGGCTTTGGGGAAACTGAGCACACGACTTTCAGAAGAAACATGAACTGGAACACATGGGGAATGTTTGCTCATGATGAGCCACCTGCGGTAGGGACAAAGGAATAAGTTTAGCAATCAGTTTCTCTTTATGTAAATCTCTTTTAATCCTTATGCTTATATATGATACCTTGCTCATCAACCTCATCTTATATTGATAAATTCCGCTCTCAGTTGTAATAGAGCACGTGTCACATTCTTTTGTCCCTAAAAGGCATATATATATATATATATATATATATATATATATATATATATATATATATCCACAACTGACAGAGGGAAATATGTATATATTTCCCTCTGTCAGTTATGGATTTTATTTATCTCACAAACTTTTAGTTAATATATTCTACTTGTCAGGCACATTGCTAAGTGCTTATCTGTACATTTAATAAGACACTGTCTTTGCTCTCCAGAGACTTATAGGCTAGTGAGAGAAATAGACGCAGAAATTGTGATAGCACAGTGGAATCACTGAATTATGTAATAATACATAATTGAATTATATAATAATAAATGAGGAAGGCATGAAGTGGGGAAGACACAGCTTTTAACTTGGAGTAGAAGGGAGAGTCAATGAAGGCCCAACAAAGGACATGACATTGAGCTGAATCTTTAATGATGAGTAAGAGTTTGCTGTTTGGGTTATGGTATGAAAACAATATCTTGCATTTTCTTTTTGTTTATTACCCTCGTGACTCCCAGTACAAGAAGAATTCCTATGGTGTCCACCCTTACTACATGGCACTGGAGGAGGATGGTAGTGCCCATGGAGTGCTCCTGCTAAATAGCAATGCCATGGGTAAGGCATAGGCACAGCTCCCATGCACCACCAGAAACAGCTGTGACCGCTCTATTTTGACCTGGTATCAATAGAAATAGAGACATTCAGGGGGCAAGGGAAATGGAACAAATAAACTGACTTTCCATTTATTCACCTATTTATTCAAGATTTATTAAGAACTCTGGATCAGGTGTTAGGCATGGAATTTTGATCAGTTATGGCTCCTACTCTGGCATAGCCTATTTTACTGTGACACTTTGGCTCCCATTCACAGAGTTATAAAAGTTGTTGAGATTGCATATTACATTTGGGGTACCTGCAAATACACCTCTGATTCTAATGGATGAGAGAAGACTTTCTAGAGAAGGCATGTATCAAAGACAGAGTATGAAGAAAGCAAATCTTAGAGCAGGTTTTCTATCTGGGCAATTTACAACTCCAAGGATGTGCCTCATGTGTGTTGTTTTTCTTACAGATGTGACATTACAGCCCACTCCTGCTCTGACATACCGCACCACAGGAGGGATTTTGGACTTCTACATTGTTTTGGGGCCAACCCCTGAACTTGTAACTCAGCAATACACAGAGGTTAGAAGCCATTCTGTCCATCAATATATTGTCAAATATTTATTGGCTATTACCACATTATTAGCACTGAGATAGGGCAGTTTTTTCTTTTGACTCTTGAGTGTCACTACTAGATTATTACTGCCTTTGCTGAAATCATATTTTAGTATTATGGTTCTATAAAGCCATATTAATATCCCATGTGTCCCTCACTTGCTAAACAGCCTAAGAATTGCTAATCAGTAATAACCGGCAAATTCTCAGGTTTCCTAGAATGAAAACTCTGGAATACAGAAAAACTTCAATTACGTTTCTATCATTTTGCATGTCTGTAGTTGCTCCACATTTGTTGGACTTTCTTATCTTTCTTGGGTGAGGCCTCTTATACAGTACTTAGCAGAAACACTCAAGTTGATTCAAGTATAAGTCAATCACCTTGTCTTCCCTAAGAAATCTTTCTGGATGCATTTTTCTTTTTATTCTAGTTGATTGGTCGGCCAGCAATGATTCCATACTGGGCCTTGGGATTCCATCTGAGTCGCTATGGATACCAGAATGATGCTGAAATCTCCAGTTTGTATGATGCAATGGTGGCAGCCCAGATTCCCTATGTATGAAACCCTCACTCAGCCCAAGGTGTAATTAGTTACAGGAATTTGTGGCTAATTTTATATTAGAAGTGCTATGATGTTCTTATCAAAGATAACTTGATACATTCAGGCTGAATTTTTTTTCTTTGTATATACTATAATACTATGTACTTATTAAACAGAAATTAGAAAATAGGAAAATTACAAGATGAAAAAATCCACAAATCTACCTTACCAAAGTAATCAACGTTAATAATTTGCTGGTTTATTCTTTTCCAAATTTTGGCTTATGCACAAGTCTCTGTTTTACCAAACAAGTTTCACCTAGGGTCATATGGCAATGCAGGGGACTATCCCTTTGGGCTAAAAAGAAGCAAGTTCTTTTTTTCAACTAAATATTAATCACTTTAGTTATTATTCAACAATCATGGTTTGAGTAAGTTTCATGTGCAGAAACCTGGGTTGGTACTGCATAGAGAGGGTAGACATTCAAGAAAGCTATAGAATAATGTAGTTCTTGTATGTTGGTGTAAGGAAGGGGTCCAGTTTCCATTCTACATATGGCTAGCCAGTTTTCCCTGCACCATTTATTGAATAAGGGAGTCCTTTCCCCATTGCTTGTTTTTGTCAGGTTTGTAGAAGATCAGATAGTTGTAGGTGTATGGTCTTGTTTCTGGGTTCTCTATTATTTGCCATTGATTTATGTGTCTGTTCTTGTACCAGTACCATGCTGTTTTGATTACTGTAGCCCTGTAGCATAGTTTAAAGGGGGATCACCTGATGCCTCCAGCTTTGTTCTTTTTGCTTAGGATTGCGTTGGCTATTCGGGCTCATTTTTGGTTACATATATGAATTTTAAAATAGTTTTCTCTAGTTTGTGAAGAATGTCAATGGTAGATTAATGGGAATAACATTGAATCTATAAATTGCTCTGGGCAGTATGGTCATTTTAATGATACTGATTCTTCCTATCTATGAGCATGTTTTTCCATTTGTTTGTATCATCTCTGATTTCTTTGAACAGTGGTTTGTAGTTCTCCTTGTAGAGATCTTTCACCTCCCTGGTTAGCTGTATTCCTAGGTATTTTATTTGTGGCAATTATGAATGGGAGTTCATTTGTGGTTTGGCTCTAGGCTTGACTGTTGGTGGTGCATAGAAATGCTAGAGATTTTTGTACATTGATTTTGTATCCTGAGACTTTGCTGAAGTTGCTTATCAGGTTAAGAAACTTTTGGGTTGAGATGATGGAGTTTTCTAGATATAGGATCTTGTCTATATGACAAGATCTAGTATCTAGATACAGGATTATGTCATCTGCGAATATGAATAGTTTGACTTCCTCTTTTCCTATCTAAATGCCCTTTATTTCTCTCTCTCTCTCTTTTTTTTTTTTTTTTTTGAGTTGGAGTCTCCCTCTGCTGCCCAGGCTGGAGTGCCATGGAGCAATCTCGGCTCACTGCAACCTCTGCCTCCTGGGTTCAAGTGATTCTCCTGCCTCAGCCTCCTCAGTAGCTAGGACTACAGGTGTGGGCCACCAAGCTTGGCTAATTTTTTAAATATTTTTAGTAGGGACGGGGTTTCACTGTATTGGCCAGGCTGGTCTTGAACTCCTGATCTCAGGTGATCCACCTGCCTCGGCCTCCCGAAGTGCTGAGATTACAGGCGTGAGCCACCGTGCCTAGCCCGTTTATTTATTTCTCTTGCCTGATTGCCCTGGCCAGAACTTCCAATACTACATTGAATAGGAGTGGTGAGAGAGGACATCCTTGTCTTGTGCTGGTTTTCAAGGGGAATGCTTTCAGCTTTTGCTCATTCAGTATGATATTGGCTGTGGGTTTGTCATCTATGGCTCTTATTATTGTGAGATATGTTCCTTTAGTACCTAGTTTATTGAGAGTTTTTAAAAATCAGCCAGATTTACTGTAGAAAAAAACCCCAGATATACAATCCTGTTTGTTTCCTAGGAAAGTCCCAGTTTCTACCCTTGAACATTTCAATTAGAACTTTGTTTGATAGACTGAGTTTGAGATTTGAAGAGTGGGAAAGACATGAATTGAGGAAAGGAAAGGGGATAGAGTTCCAATTGGGGAAACAGAAGGAGAAGGAGTGGGCACAGGTGAACTGCATGCAGGCATCAGAAAGCAATTTCAATCTGCAGAATTGAAAAGTCAGCAGAGGGAAGTAATGAGATGAGGAATGAAGAGGGGCCTGGAATGGGGCAGGCAGGCAGCAGGACCAGGGGCCTGGCAGAGCAGTTAATGTGCCCTGCAGGGCACCTACTGCAGGGTTCCAAGAGCCTTGCTGCTTCTTTCTGCAGGACGTCCAGCATGTAGACATCGATTACATGAACCGGAAGCTGGATTTCACCCTCAGTGCCAACTTTCAAAACCTCAGTCTTCTGATTGAGCAAATGAAGAAAAATGGCATGAGATTTATTCTCATTTTGGTATGTATTGAGACAGATCAGATCCTACTTTCTGTTTCCATATTCATGGTTCAAAAATAGCACCATTGTGGGAAACTGGATGAAGGGTACCAGAAATGTTCCTGTACTCTGTACTTTTTGTTTTGTTTTGCAACTTCTTGTGGTGAATCTATAATTATTATTTTTTAATTTAAAAGCAAATGAAAGAAAGAAATGAAAAGGGGCTTTTAAAAGATGATACTTTATAATATTTATTTTCCATAACTGTCACTGGAATATAATTATTATTCTCTTGGTAAAGTTAGAACAACTGTGGGCTGAAGCACTGAAGATAGCAAAAAAAAAAAAAGGGGGGGGCATCTCACTGTTTCAGGCTATGTCTCAGGAGAAATAGCTGTATCTTAATCTCATCTTTACGTCAGGAGGTTCAAAAATCTCTTATGTTGTATCATCACTCAGAAATGGTAAGGCTCAGATGACATTTCTTCCTAAACTTACAAACAATTGAGTTAAGATCCAGAATACCAATTTATTATATTACTAGGAAGCCACATCTTGACAAATGCAGAGGCAATTACCTGCAAATGATTCTCTCTTCTAGCTTCCAAAACTTACAGCATTATTTGGTGACTTTTGCTCACTTACTAATTCACGTATTTATTGAACACAGTATTTGAAAACCACTCTTCTACAAGTTGTGTGTGTGTGTGTGAGGGTGCATGCATAGTCTAAATTAGCAAGGCAGTGCTCTTTTTCTTATAAAGTTTTTATTCTAATGGAGGGAGACAGCCAATAAACATCTGAAAAGATAATTTCAGACAGTAGTGATTTATATGACAATTGTGAAACAGCATAATATTATAGAGAATAATTGGGGCAGGTATGGGATGGAGTGAACAGGGGAAGATATTTTAAATAGACAGATTGGGACACAGAGAGCAATAAAGAAGTTTCTTGTTTTTGAGGAACATTGCTATTATACTCTGGAAACATGATAAATTGGCTCTCTCTGCTTGAGGATTAAGTCTTATCAATCTGGTTTATCTCCAGGAGTTGTTTCCAAACACTAGCAAAAGTTTTTCTCAAGAATTTTATGGAGAAACACCAATGCATTCTTTTTCTTCTCAACTGTCTTTGTAAAAATAGATTTCTATGTCATTGGAAAAAATCACTTATGTCATATTTAAATTCCTACAGGATTTTTTAACATCTTATTTATTTGTTTATTTAAATATTTCAGGGTTAAACTTTTTTTAACTTCTATTTTAGATTCAGTGTGTACATATGTAGGTTTGTTACAAAAGTGTATTGTGTAATGCTGAGGTTTGGAGTATGTATTAGTCTGTTTTCACGCTGCCAATAAAGACATACTTGAGATTGGGCAATTTACAAAAGAAAGATGTTTAATGGACTCACAGTTCCATATGGCTGGAGAGGCCTCACAATCATGGCAGAAGGTGAAAGGCATGTCTCTCATGGTGGCAGACAAGAGAAGAGAGTTTGTTCAGGGAAACTCCCCTTTTTAAAACCATCAGATCTCATGAGACTTATTTGCTATCATGAGAAGAGCAGGGAAAGACCTGCCCCCGTGATTCAATTACCTCCTACCATGTCCCTCTTACAACACATGAGAATTCAGGATGAGATTTGGGTAGGGACAGACCCAAACCATATCAGAGTATGACAGAGTATGATGGAATCCATTACCCAGATAGTGAACATAGCACCAAACAGGTAGTTTTTCAACCCTTGCCCCACTCCCTCCCTCTCCTCTCTTGTAGTCTCTAGTTTCTGTTATTCCCACCTTTATATCTATGTGTACCCAGTACTTAGCTCCCACTTATAAGTGAGAACATGTGGTATTTGCATGTCTGTTCCTGCATTAATTCACTTAGAATAATGGCCTCCAGCTACATCCATGTTGCTGCAAAGAGCATAATTTCATTCTTTTTATGGCTGTGTATTATTCCATGATATATATGTACCATATTTTCTTTATCCAATCCACCATAGATGGGCTCCTGGGTTGACTTCACATCTCTGCTATTGCAGATAGTGCTGTGATAGACATAGAAGTACCTGTGTTTTTTGAGAGAATAATTTATTTTCCTTAGGGTATATACCCAGTAATGGGGTTGCTGGGTGGTATGGTAGATCAATTCTTAGTTATTTGAGAAATCTCCAAATTGCTTTCCACTGTGCCTGAACTAATTTACATTCCCACCAACAGTGTGTAAGTGTTCTCTTTTCTCCACAGCCCCACCAACATCTATTTTTTGACTTTCCAACAAAAGCCATTCTGACTCATGTGAGATGGTATCTCTTTGTGGTTTGATTTGCATTTCTCTATTAGTTATGCTCAGCATTTTTTCAAATGTTTGTTAGCCACTTGTATGTCTTCTTTTGAGCAGTGTCTGTTCATGTCCTCTGCCTACTTTTTAATGGGATGGTTTGTTTTTGGCTTGTTGATTTAAGTTCCTTATATATTCTGGATTTTAGGCCTTTGTCAGATTCACAACTTGCTAATATTTCCTCCCATTTGGTAGGTTGTCTCATTACTCTGTTGACAGTTTCTCTTGCTGTGCAGAAGCTGTTTATTTTAATTGGATCCATTGTCAATTTTTGGTTTCATTGCAATTGCTTTTGAGGACTTTGCCATGAATTATTTGCTAAGGCCAATGTCAAGAACATTTCCTAGATTTTCTTCTAGGATTTTAATAATTTGAAGTCTGACATTTAAGTCTTTAATCTATCTTGAGTTAATTTTTGTATATAGTGAAAGGTAGGAGTCCAGTACCATTCTCTTGCATATGGTGAGCCAGTTATCCCAGCACCATTTATTAATAAAGAATTCTTTCCTTCTTGCTCATTTTTGTCAGTTTTTCTGAAGATCAGATAATAATTGTAGGTGTGTGATAGTATACGTTGAGGTTGGGTAATGTGATATCTGTAGTTTTGTTCTTCTTGCTTAGAATTGCTTTGGCTATTCAGGCTGTTTTTTGGTTCCATGTGAATTTTAGAATAGTTTTTCTAATTATGTGAAAAATGACATTTGTAGTTTAATAGATATAGCATTGAATCTATGAATTGCTTTGGTTAGCGTGGCCATTGTAATGATGTTAATTCTTCCAGTCCATGAGCATGAAATGTTTTTTCATTTGTTTGTGTCATCTCTGATTTCCTTCAACAGTGTTTTGCACTTCTTGTAAAGTTCTTTCACCTGCTTGGTTAGATGTTTTCCTAGGTATTCTATCCTTTCTGTTGTTGTCGTAAATGGGATTGCATTCCTGATGAACTATAAAAACATTCTTGTTTTTATAGTTCTTCTAGGTGTGAAGTTGGATCGTTAATTTGAGATCTTACTAACTTGAGATTTCTAATTTGAGATTTCTCAGCTTGAACGTTATTGATGTATAGAAATGCTACTAATTTTTGTACATTAATTTTGTATCTTGAAACTTTACTGAAGTTGTTTATCGGTTCTAGGAGCCTGTTGGCAAAGTGTTTAGGGTTTTCTAGGTATGGAATCATGTCATCCTTGGAGAGAGAGAGTTTGACTTCTTCTTTTCCTGTGTGGATGCATTTAATTTTTTTCTCTTGCCTGATTGCTCTGGCTAGGACTTTCAGTACTATGTTAAATAGGAGTGATGAGAGGGGGCATCCTTGCCATGCTCCAGTTCTCAAGAAGAATGCTTCCAGCTTTTTCCCATTCAGTATGATGTTGGCTGTGGGTTTGTCAGAGATAGCTCTTATTATTTTGAGGTACTTCCCTTTGATGCCTAATTTCTTAAGGGTTTTATCATGAAGGATGTTGGATTTTATCAAAAGCTCTTTCTACATCTATTGAAATTATCATATGGCTTTTGTTTTTAATTCTGTTTATATGGCGAATCACATTTATTGATTTGCCTATGTTGAGCCAACCTTGCGTCTCAGGGTTATGGAGGAAAGCCTACTTGAACATGGTCAGTTAACTTTTTGATGTGCTCCTGGGTTTGGTTTGTTAGTCTTTTGTTGAGGATTTTTGCATCTATGTTCATCAGGGATATCAGCCTGAAGTTTTCTTTCTTTATTGTCTCTGCCAGATATTGATATCAGGATGATGTTGGCTTTGTATAATCAGTTAGGGAGGCATCCCTCCTCAAGTCTTTTGGAATAATTTCAGTAGGATTGGAACCAGCTCTTTGTACATCTAGTAGGATTTTATTATGAATCCATTTGGTTAAGGACTTTTTTTTGGTTGGTGGGCTTTTTATTGCTGATACAATTTTAGAATTTATTATTGATCTGTTTATGGTGTTATTTCCTTTCTGGTTCAGTCTTGGGAGGTTGTGTGTTTCTAGGAATTTATTCATTTCCTCTAGATTTTCTAGTTTGTGTGCATAGAAATGTTCATAAAAATCTCTAAGGATATTCTGTATATTTGTGTGATTGGGTGTAATGTCATCTTTGTCATTTATGATTATACTTATTTGTATCTTTCTTTTTTTCTCAATCTAGCAGATGGCCTATAATCTTGTTTATCCTTTCAAAAAAACAGCTTTTGCTTTTGTTGATCTGTTGTATGGATTTTTGAATCTCAATTTTGTTTAGCTCTGCTCTGATTATGATCATTTATTTTCTTCTGCGATCTTTGGGGTAAGTTTGTTCCTGTTTTTATAGTTCTTCTAGATGTGAAGTTGGATTGTTAATTTGAGATCTTTCTAACTTCTCGATGTAGGCACTTATGGCTATAAACTTTCCTAGTGTGTCTTAGGGATGATTATCTTGCATAATATTTCATAGGGATTCTCTGAATTTCTTAAATTCACATGTTGAACTCTCTAGCAAGAATGGGGAAATTTTCATGGACAATATCTTCAAATATGCTTTCCAAATAATTTTTTGTTTCCCCTTCTCTCTCAGGAATGCCAATGAGTCATAGATTTGGCCTCTTTACATAATTCTATATTTCTCAGAGGTTTTGTTCATTTTTAAAAATTATTTTTAAAAAATTTTTTTCTGACTGGGTTGTTTAGAAGGGACTTGTCTTTGAGTTCTGAGATTCTTTCCTCAGCTTGGTCTATTCTGTTGTTAATACTTGCAATTGTGTTATAATTTTTTGTTTTAATCCCAGAAGTTGAGTTTAGGAAGTTCAGTTTAGCCATTCAGTTAAAATGGCTGTGTTATCTTTCACCTCTTGGATCATTTTACTGGCTTCTTTGAATTGAGTTTCAACATTCTCCTGAATCTTGTTGAGTGTCCTTGTCATACAGGTTTTGAATTCTGTATCTGTCACTTAGGCCACTTCAGTCTGGTTAGAAACCATTGCTGGGGAGCTAGTAAAATTGTTTGGCAGTCAGAAGATACTCTGACTTTTTGAATTGCTAGGGTTCTTGTGCTGATTCTTTCTCATCTGAGAGGGCAGATGTTCCTTTATCTTTTTGAAGTCGCTGTCTTTTGGATATGGCTTTTTGTTTTTATAGTCTTTATTTTCCTTGAGGGTTTGACTGTGGTGTATGTTGAGTATAGTTGATTGGCTTCATTTCTGGGTGCTTTCAGAGGCCCAAGGCTCTTTAAGAGATATTTATCTGTGGCTGAATTCCTGCATTGGGTTTCACAGGCACCCTTTTTGTTTGGTGGTGTAATTTAGGCTGCGATACAGTAGATGGTGTTTAAGAGTAAGGGCCAGAAGATAGCCTCTTATTCAGCTGCAGGCCTCTTTCATATTTCAGCACAGTTGCAGTAGTGCTATGGGGTGGGGGAGATGGGGGATCCAGAGATGGCCCCCTTCCCAAGTCCATTTTTGGTGCTTGAGGGAGCCTCCTCTAATCACTGATATCATGCCTATGTTTCCTTAGCCCCAAGGGCGTCCCTGACAGGCTGTGCTCTTCCCTCTTAGGGACAGCCTGAGCCAAAGGTCAAGTCACCATGAGACCTGCAGCTCCCTGTTGGTCCTCTGTACTTGGCAGAGTCAGAGTGGGTTGTGGGGTATGTCTGGGGGTGATCTGTTGACGCAGTGGGTCAAGGGCAGAAGATCCCCAGGCACTGCAGTGTTGCCGTAGGGGTGCAGCTGATATGGTGCCATGATCCAGTATTTTCTGCACAGCAAATGGCTTTGGGGCCCTCTCAGCTTGCTCTCCCCCAACTGAGTCTCCTTCCAATGTCTGCTCTAGTAGCTGCCCTGACAAGCTAGTTTTGTCCCAAACCTTTTGCACCCAGATTGTTGGTCTGTTGGATGTTCTGAGCTATGGAGCTCCCTTGGGCAGAGTCTGTGGCTGGTAAACAGGCTACATCCTTCCCAGACCAGTCTGGCAGAGGGAGGCATGCCCAACTCCCACACCAGCACACAAGCCCATACCTCACTCTTCTCAGTGTTCTGAGAGTGGGGCTCCTCCCCTACTCAAGCCTCAGCCGCAGATCTCAGCTAGATAATCCTGATTTGTGTGCTTAAACCCTGGTGGGTTGGTACTGGGCCTGCAGCTTTGTTTTCTGGCCTTAGGGTCCAGCACTGGCTCTGCTGGGGGTCAGAGTACTTCCAGGCCACCAGCAAAGCACTCAGGTGGGGCAGTGGAGGCTGTGCTGTGTGCATTCTCTTTTGGGAGCAGCCAAGCAGTGGCCTTGGAAGGGGCTGGCAGACGGGTGGCATGCAGATCAGATGCACCCTTGTTCTGTAGGAAAGACAACGCTGCTGTCTCCCAGCTCAGCTGTCAGCAGGGGCTAGAGCCACTCAGAGCAAGATGGAGAGCCTTTGCAGATGGGTCCTCATGGTCGTGTTTTGCTGCAGATGCCCTGTATGCAGAACCTTCTCGTCTCCGCACAGGCTTGAGCTCTGCCTCTGCCTACTCTCCAGGCAGTTTCTCTTGCCAATTCAAATGTCTATGGTGTTTGTGGGGTCTGTTGTAGCTAGGATCCCAGATGTCTGCAGTGCAAGTTTCCCTTCACTCACTCCTTCCTTGGGACCTGTTCAGTGCCAGGAGCTGGTCCCGGCACTCAGCAACTCTATGTGGGATTTCCAGCTTTCTCCCTCTTACACCTCAGTGTTTGCATTGCCTCTCTATAGACTGGCAGTGTTATCTTTCAAAAGCTCTGTTTGAAGTGTAATGGTTTACTCAGTATTTTGGTTTTTCTCCATGGGAGAGGTGCTTCCCAGCCGCATCTAGCTGGCCATATTGTCCCCTTTCCTCTCATTTTATTACTTACAGGTTGGGGTGGTAACTTTTTGTAGTATAGAAAGGCTCCTTCATTTGTTGGCACAGATTCTTATACCCTTTGAAAGAGATTACCCCTCATAAGGGTTTTATATCTTACTTTGAGTACTCATGGCACCATCCCTTTTCAATTGGCTATGGTAATATATGCAGTAAGACATAAGGCAAATTATCAATGATTTTTATTTTATTTCATTTTATTTTTGGTATTGAGATTCACCATTTCCTTCTGCACTATGAACTACTAAATTTTTGGAGAGAAATTTTCTTAGAGATGTTTTCCTCACATTTGCTGTTTGAAATTCTTTTACTGCAGGACCCAGCCATTTCTGGCAATGAGACACAGTATCTCCCATTCATTAGAGGACAGGAAAATAACGTGTTCATCAAATGGCCTGACACCAATGACATTGTCTGGGGAAAGGTAAGGCTTGGGGAAGATGCTTACAGTTAATTAACATTACAATGTCTTGAAATAAAACAGCTCTCAATACACATTGGAAAATATATTGGACAATCAATAAATTATGAATGAGTAGAAATCTGTCCGATGCTGATTAGCTCAATAAGCATTAATAAGACCAAGGTTACAAATCTCATCCTCTATTATTATTGAGCACTGTCTATTGCCTGGAAATACTCTGATGTCCCCACTCTTTATTTATTCCACATGGTCATTAACAAACATTAAGAATCCCTTTGAGAATGACACTGAAATCTGTGTCTCCCAGACACCTGCATGCAAAACATGCGTTCACCTTTGACCTATCATGCTTAATCTGCCTTCATATCTAAATGAATCATTAAGTCCTATAGATTCTCCTCTTTCTCTTGTTTCCTTTAATTCGTCTTTATGGCTTCAATCTTCATCTTTATATGTCTGATTTTTGGCAATAGCATTTTAGGTGGACTTCAGGTGATAATAGCTTTTAGCCTAGGTTCGAATTCTTCCTTAATTATACTATGCTACTTCCTACTGCTCTGGATGTATTCCAGGCTCCTTTTTTTTTTTTTTTTTTTTTTTTTTTTTTTTTTTTTTTTGAGATGGAGTGTCACTCTGTTACCCAGGCTGGAGTGCAGTGGTATGATCTTGGCTGTCTGCAACCTCCTCTTCCCAGGTTCAAGCGATTCTCCTGCCTCAGCCTCCTGAGTAGCTGGGATTACATGTGTGTGCCAACACTCCTGATTAATTTTTGTATTTTTAGTAGAGATGGGGTTTCACCATGTTGGCCAGGCTGGTCTCGAACTCATGACTTCTGGTGATCCACCTGCCTCGGCCTCCCAAAGCGCTGGGATTACAGGCGTAAGCCACTGTGCCTGGCCCTGTGCTCACTTTGAATATTACCTTCTCAACTTACCCAGATAATATCTTCACTTCAAGATCAACTCAAATCTTACCTCGTTTGAAGCAGTTAGTAACTATTTTAGTTTTTCCTATTTTCCCTTGTCTGTAATATTGCCTTCAGTATAGCATACAGTGTAGCATTTATGTACTATCTGTGAACTCTTAGGAAACAAGTACTATTTCTTACTTAAATCTCAGTAAATACAGATCCTGGAAGAGTGCTTGTCATATAGGAAGTACTTAGTAAGTGTCTGTTGATTGAATCAATTAATCAGTGTGTATATACTTAATGTCCTGGTAGTTACAGCTAAAATTAGTTGGTACTATGGATTTTTTAATGCTACATATACTTGGAGTCCGCTATAAGTCACGATAGTGCTTAAAAGTATTGAGGTGAGGTGTATGGGTTATGAATGGAAATCAATCTTATTTCTTTAGAGTCACACTTCATACTTATTATGAATTTTGTTATAGGTCTGTGACAAGGAGATCAGAGATCTGAGAAATCACTCGAAAGTTGGTTGTTCAGAGGATATGTTTAAAAGAAATTCAGTTAATTATTAAATTCAAAAATAGAATTTTGAAAACATAGAATGAATCAAGAGACCCAGCCTACTTTCACCTAATGTAATTTTGTAGATTCAGCCTTTACAGTTTAATTTATGGCAAAGATTCCCAAGCGTTTCATGGAGATGCCTGTCATCAGAGTCTAACACATGAAATATCTCATAGTCTGTATGCAAGGATCTGTAAAGGTTTTAATTGCCCTTCTTTTTCTCTAGGTTTGGCCAGATCTGCCTAATGTAATTGTAGATGGATCCCTTGACCATGAAACTCAGGTTAAGGTACAGTTGTATATAGATTTTTGTCAACATTGCCCTAAACATCTGGATATTTACATTTTTTATCCTGATGAATAAGTAGCTAACCCTTCAGTTAAGTAGCCCTAACTTGAGGGTGCTTATCCACTGTTAGTTTCTTGGCAGAAAGAGATCCTCGAGTGGAAAGCTCAACAAACAGCGAACATGGAAATGTGTAGAAGGAAATCATCAATGAAATCCTCTCATAAGTGTGATTTTAATGGGCTGTGATTTGTTTGAACTTTATGACGCTTGAAAAATAATGAACCAAAGTCTAGCATTTTCTCACTAGAGGGGAATCCATTATGAACAGACTGGATTTTAATAAATTATCTGCATACAAAAGAAAATACAAGTCAGCTGAATGAAGGAAAGTTGTTAATCTCAGCCTGGTCATCTAGCATCCCCTCTACTCTGGAGTTCACTTGCCCCTGGATGACAGTCCTCCTTCATCTCATTTGAATAGTCTGGAAAAAGCTTTTGCTAATATCACACTGATATTTAAGTAAAAAAAAAAAAGAAAAAGTATTTGCATCTCTAAAGTTCAATTGTTCAGACACTGTTAATTTTCCAGTCTTGTGATTACATGTCCAGTTATTAAACAAATCCTGTATTTGAAAGGGATTATAAAGCTATCTAACCTTCTTCTAAGAAAATAAAGAATGAAGTCAGCCTTCCCCAATCTCTGCTTCTGTTGTAAACTCTGCAACAGCAGCAGATCTGAGATTAGAGCAGAGACTGATCTGGGCAGGCACAAATTCCTGTTCATCTCCCATTTGTGGTCTCCTGTATAGGCTGAGACCCCGACAATGAGAGTGTGTGTTATTCTTACAGCTTTACAGGGCCTACGTTGCCTTTCCTGACTTCTTTCGTAATAGCACAGCTGCGTGGTGGAAGAAAGAGATAGAAGAGCTCTATGCAAACCCTCGAGAGCCAGAGAAGAGCTTGAAGTTTGATGGATTGTGGATTGTAAGTGCACCCTTGGTTGTCTTTTTTTTTTTTTTGGAAATGTTAGCAAGTCAAAACATGGGGAGGAGAGACTAGCAAAGCAGAGACATAGGGCTGAAGAGATGAAAGGGAGAATCTAGGTGCTGTTACAGAATCTAGGTGCTAGGACCAAGAGAAGCAGAGATCATTGCTGATCTGCCCAGGGACATATTGTCTGGTGGATGTTGGAGCCCACAGAGGAGACTGCTACTGCTGGAGATGCCAGAGCAAAAGAGAAAGGGAGAAATCACCTCCCATCTCCAATCTCTTGCCAATATCACCCACTGGCCAAATCTACCTGAAAGCTTATTGTAAGGGAGTCTTACAGGGCAGAGCTGGGAGTGGGTGAGGCATGGAGTTGAGAGCAAGTAGACGTTTGCCATAGTACTGGGGCAGACAACTCTGAGGGAATGGCTTAAAGGGCCTGTTCAGATGTTTGCTGTAAATGCCAGTTGGCCTTAAAAGCAGGACTTCCTGAGATGTCCCTGGGATATATGTCCAAGGGCAGCTCTATCTATGTTTTCCTCTGTCCTGATTTCCTTCCCCACTGTCCAGTGGCCTGAAATCTTAAGCAAGCTCTAGGCCAGCTCTGAAGAGCTATTCAGCTCTGGGTCAGACTGGAAGAAGTCTGTGATTCACTCCAGAGACAAAAGTCCACTGAAAACACAGGGGCCTCCCTGACCACCCGCACCTTTGAGATAGTTAGGCACAGAATAGACATGTGAAAGGACACAAATTAACTCAAACAGGCAAATCAGACAGTGGAGAGTTGTGGGCAGCTTTGAGAATAAGAGATGCTGATAGCTCTGGGGTAGTATTTTTTTTTTTTTTCCAATGGAGGGAAAGCTGTAGCTGGGTAATTCAAAGTAATGAATAGTTCCTCAAGTACTTTCATTTGCCTTTAGTATGTCCTATTTAAAATAGTCTGGCTTTCGAAAATTTAACTTTTCCATTGTCAGAGTGCACAGTGAACATTCCCTTAGGAGCCCCTACTCCTTGCATTTAAGTAACAAATTCCCCAAAGTATGTTTTTATTTCCAAACTTGTTTCTGAGTTACATATAACTTTTTAGAAATATATTTATAGCAGAAAGTGAGATAACTCTCCTTGTGTTTGGCCTATGCCAATATCAGAATTAGTCCAAGCAACTGGACTAAGAAAAAATAGAGGAAGATAATAGTAACCTCTGGCCATAGACTAAAAAGTGAATAATCCATGCGTAGTAAAACAAGATGGGCTACCTCTGTTGGGGAGTTGTATCAAGGGGAGTTGTATCAAGAGATTTCCTTAGGTCCTGTGTCCAGCATTACCTCACTATTTTTGCCACTGTAAAACAATCCTTGTAAGTTTTAAAATGCCAGGTAAGCAAGGAGTTTAGCACTCCACTTTGGCCGATATAAATTTTTAGAGTCCATTTGGGTCAATGCCAGGGATTACACTACACATTTTTAGAGTCCATTTGGGTCAGTGCCAGGAATTAAACACAGTGAACTAAACCACCAGCTGAGCTGAGGGCTTCAAAAGTCATCTCCCTGAGTTAGTGTCCTCTATAGCCAAGGCCATCCTGCCCCTGACATGACGAGATCTTTTTTTGTTAACTCATTTCAGGATATGAATGAGCCATCAAATTTTGTGGATGGATCTGTCAGGGGCTGCAGCAATGAAATGCTAAATAACCCACCCTATATGCCATGTATGTAAAATAATTACTTCATCAACTTACTTTCCTACTCAAAGACTCCAAAAGTTTTCCTTTTACTGTCAAAGTGAAGCCTAATGTTGAAGACAGAAACCATTCTCCAACATGACATGAAATCCCAAGTAAGATAACCTTGAATAAGTGCAGCTAAACTAATCAAGCAAGAAATAATGACATGATGTGGTGTGAAAGAAACCAAACGATGCATGGTACATTTGATTCCATTGATAACTATGAACAGATTGCTAAAATTTTAAATAAACCCTTAAACACACACACACACACACACACACACACACACACACACACACGTGGAGAGATGTTCTTTTGATTAAAGAATTAAAACCTAGTTTCTGAAGTCTCTCTGCCCATGTAAACAGACATTTGATGAAGGATACTTTTTGGTCATTCTGTGGTACAAACAAAAATAGAATGTTGGTATCAAAAGGATCTCAGAAAGTTGAATCTTCTCGTGTTGCAGAGAAACAAGGAAGGAAATGACTCACTTCTAAAAGTACTGTACCACGGCTGAGGTGGGAGGATTGTTTAAGACCAGGAGTTTGAGTCTTGAGACCAGCCTGGGCAACATAGTGAGACCCATAAAAAAAAACAAACAAACACCAAAAACCAGAAAAACAACAACAACAAAAGGCATTATACCAGTAATCTATGGGACAGAATCTAGAATTCAAGTTTCTTGATGTCTACATCACTGTTATGCTGCCCATTTCTCACTCACTCACTCATTCATTCATTTTCTCCTTCATTAATTTAATGCAGGGGGTGTTTGACTTGCAATGGTCTGACTTATGATTTTCAACCTTACAATGGTAAGAAAGTGACATGCATTCAGTAGAAACCGAACTTTGAGAGCCCAAATAACCATTCTATTTTTCACTTTCACTATAGTGTTCAATAAGTTACAAGAGATATTCAACACTTTGTTTTAAAATAGGCCTTGTATTAGATAATTTTGCCCAACTTAGGCTAATGTAAGTGTCTGAGCACATTTAAGGTAGGTTAGGTCCATTCAATGCATTTTCAAGTTACAGTATTTTCAACTTGTGATGGGTTCATGGGGATATAATCACATTGTAAGTTAAGGATCATCTGTACTTATGTATCAAGCAAATGCTGTCAAATCAGAAAGATTTAGAGACACAAATACAAAAATGATTGAAATAGATTTATTCCCTGGAGAACATTACCATCTAGTGGAAGAAACAGTCCTAACAATGAAGGAGTTTATTATGTTGGCAAAAGGGCTATGACAACACTCTATAAATTAAATCAGAGTTGGTGCAAAAAGAAGGGGAGCTGCTTTTCCCAGCTCCATATTTTATCCTTACCCTTCATTAGTTATAAAGACACAGAACATTGTTTTCTATAGACTAAAACCTCATAAAATTGGGTCTGTTACTGGTAACAAAGTTGTTGATTGAAGTAAAGAAATGCCAAAATGATGGGCATTTCTAGTGAATGTGCAAATCATGTTGTTTAGGAAATAACTCAACATTTCCCCTCAGATTTGGAATCTAGGGACAAGGGCCTGAGCAGCAAGACTCTGTGCATGGAGAGTCAGCAGATCCTGCCGGACAGCTCCCCCGTGGAGCACTACAACGTGCACAACCTGTACGGGTGGTCCCAGACCAGACCCACATACGAGTGAGTGTCTTTTTGTCACAGCAGCAAAGATAATTTTCCACATCATTCCTTTTGCCATTTCATATTTGCATTGTGCATGTATCTACGTGATCCGAGTTAAATGGGTTAAAGTCAAAATTTCAGGCACGGTTGCCCAAGCAACCACCTCTGAGCGCATTTATCAAGTGGGTTACTAAATTCACCTATTTAAAGTGAGCAATTAGGTAATGTTTAGTATATTCATAGAGTTGTGCAACTATCACAAAAATTAAATTTTCGAACATTTTCAGAACTCGAAAAGGAAAACCTTTGCCCATTAGCAATCATTTCTACCTTGTTCCTACCTCCTGAGCCCTAGCCATTACTCATCTATTTTCTGTCTATGTGGATTGCCTATTCTGGACATTTCATAAAATGGAATCACACAATATGTGCTCTTTTGTATATGGGTACTTTCACTTGGCATAATGTTTTCAATGATTATCTATGTTGTAGCATGTATCAGTACTTGATTTCTTTTGACTAATAAAATTTCATTATATAGATACACCATATTTTGCTTGCCTATCTACCAATGAGTGAACATCTAAATTGTTTCCATTTTTTTTTTGGCTATTATGAGTAGTGATTATGTGAATATTTATGTGCAAGATTTGGAGTAGACATGTTTTCTTTGTTTTGAATATGTATCTAAGAGTGGAACTTCTGTGTCATATAGGAACTGTATTTTTAATATTTTGAAGAAATATCAAGCTGTTTTCTAAAAAGGCTGTACCATTTTACTTTTTTTTTTTTTTTTTTTTTTTTGATGGAGTCTGGCTCTGTCGCCCAGGCTGGAGTGCAGTGGTGCAATCTCGGCTCACTGCAACCTCCTCCTCCTGGGTTCAGGTGATTCTCCAGCCTCAGACTCCCGAGTAGCTGGGATTACAGGCATAAGTCACCATGCCTGGCTAATTTTTTTGTATTTTTTAGTAGAGACGGGTTTCGCCATGTTGGCCAGGCTGGTCTCGAGCTCCTGACCCCAGGTGATCCACCTGCCTCGGCCTCCCAAAGTGCTGGGATTATAGGCATGAGCCATCGCACCCAGCCTACCATTTTACATTCTTACCTGCATGTATGATAAAATGTATAAGAGTTGCAGTTCCTCCACATCCTTGCCAACACTCGGTGGTATTCATCTTTTTAAATTATAGAC
Organism: Homo sapiens; assembly: GCF_000001405.40. Taxonomy (NCBI): domain Eukaryota; kingdom Metazoa; phylum Chordata; class Mammalia; order Primates; family Hominidae; genus Homo; species Homo sapiens. The sequence continues at coordinate 152,560 of NT_187562.1, forward strand.
ATTCTAATGGGGGTAAAGTGATATCTAATTGTTGTTTTCACTTTATTTCACTAATACTAATGTTATTGAGCATGTTTTCATATGCTATTGGCTATTTGTATATATTCAAATATCTATTCAAATCCTTTGCTCATTTTTGATAGAATCATTTTTTTTAATTATTATTGAGTTGTGGCCAGGCGTGGTGGCTCACACCTGTAATCTCAGTACTTTGGGAGGCCGAAGTGGGAGGATTGCTTGAGTCCAGGAGTCCGAGGGCAGCTTGGGCAACATAATGAGACCCTGTCTCTACAAAAAACAAACAAACTAGCCAGGCAGAATGGTGCATGCCTGTAGTCCCAGCTACTCGAGAGGCTAAGGTAGGAGGATCTCTTGAGCCTAGGAGTTTGAGGCTGCAGTGAACTATGATGGCACTGCACTTCAGCCTGGGCAACAAAGTAAGACTATCTCTACAGAAAAAAAAAAATTATTGGATCGTAAGAATTCTTTAAATATTCTAAATTCAAGCTTCTCATGAGATATATAGTTTGAGGATATTTTCTCTCATTTTGTAAACTTTTCACTTCCATAACCATGCCTTTTGGAGCACATTTTTAAAAGTTTTTATAAAGTCCTATTTATTCATTTACTTACTTATTCATTTGTCACTTGTGCTTTTGGTGTCATATTCAAGGAACTATTACCTAATTCAAGGTCATGAAGATTTATTCCTATGTCTTCTTCTAAGAGCTTTATAGTTTTAGGTATTACACCAAGATCTGTCATCCATTTTAAGTTTATTTTTGTGTATGGTGTGAGGTAGTGGTTCAATGTTATTCTTTCCTTCATTTTATTATCTTGACACCTTGTCAAAAATCAATTGACAGTAAATGAGAAGGCTTATTTTTGCCTTCTCAACTCTATTTCATTGATCTCTCTCTCTCTATATATATATATATCCTTATGCCAGTACCACACTGTCTTAATTGATGAAGTGTGACTCTTCCAATTTTTTTTTCAAGATTGTTTTAGCTACTATGGGTCCCTTGCATTTGATATGAATTTTGTAATCACTTTGTCAGTTTTGACAAAATAGCAACAGGGATTTTGATAGTTTTTACATTGAGTCTATAAATCAGTTTGGTGAGTATTACCATGTTAACAATATTAAGTCTCTTTTGATTCATTAGCATGAGGTGTCTTTCCACTTATTTAGATCTTTAATTTTTTCAACAATTATTTTTAGTTTTTAATGTATATGTTTTTGGCCATTATTTCTATAAATATTTATCTGTCCCTTTGTCTTTTCTTTTATCCTTCTGAGATTTTGCCACTTTCCAATGTCGTTGGGAAATTTCAGACTTGTTCTTTAGTTCTTCCCAGGACAGAGTGTGATCTTTTCTGTTCAACTGCCCCTTTCTGCTCAAGTATCTGAGCTCTCTGCCTTCTGTCCCCAGAGTTTACAAGAACCTCATACTATTTGATTTTGGGCTATCAACAGGTGATGTATCATGTTGCCCCTGGTGTTCCACAATCAGGGGCAACATGGTCTTCCAAACAGAAATTCTTCTTCCCTTTCCCACTTTCTTTACATCTTCATCTTTCAGTTGCTCTTTCACAGTCTTGCTTTCCACACCTAGCTTGAGGCTTTTCCAACCAAGGAAAAACTAGTTCTTCAGGAAAACACCCATGTCATTATATGAAATACACACAAAACAAATAGGTGTTTTGCAACCTCAGAGATAACCTTACCTTGGAAGAGTACAAGGATGAATAAGTCACAGTCCCTGCTTTCAAGGACCTCATTGTCTAATTATAGGAGTCAAACATGAGAGGGAAAATCAATTAACTCTACTGGGATAATCCAGAAAGTCTTCATAGAAGAAGTGATGTTTGAATGTTGGTTAAAAGAAGAGTAGAAATTTTCTTTTGGCAAAGAAGGGGCTTTCAGGGCAAAGAAAGCAGCAATAAGAAGATGTGAAAACTTGATAAAGTTTCTACCAAAAGCTCAACTTTCCCATGCACCATCCCCTCCTCTCTCTTCAGGGAAATTTGCTTTTCACACATCTGCATCCCATCGCCATCTTTCTCTTCAGAGAAGCTTGCTCCACAAATTATACTTTTCCATGGGTGCTCGTTTCTTCATGAATTATTTTTTATCTTCTTCCTCACTGCTGGTATATTGCTTTAGGATTTAGGCTGTGAAATCTTCTAACTAAACTTTCTCATCTTTCAAATTGGAAAAATCATGGCATCTATTGTTAATATAAAAATTAAATGATATAATGAATCCACAAGTACTTGGCATATTGTAAGCACTCAACAAACATTAGCAATATTTTTTAATTCCTTTTCATCAATATTTGAAAATGCCCCAGTTGTTCTTGCTTTTGCCTATATCCTCCTCCAACCATCATCTAATCTTTCAACTCCCTCTCATATTCAAGCTGTTTGAAGGAACTCTTTCCATACATGATATATATATTTTTTAATTCCCATACACCTTGATGTTTCTCCCTTTACCAATCACAAATGCTGGTCATTCTGACCTTGATCAGGCTAATCTCTTAGCACATACAATCTAAAGACCAACTTACATCTATTTCCTTCATGAAACCTGCTCAGATTACTCCATCCCTCCTAATTCCCTCCTTCTCTTAACTACTAACCTGACAGTATGTTCTACATTTTAAGTTATTTCCTCTACACACCTGGGGAGAAGACCATGTCTTCTTTGCTCTTTTCTGTCCAAGCACTGAACCATTTTTATTTCTTTTTATGAAAATGCCTTTGTTTGTCAGCCCTGAGTGCCTGCATTGATGGGAGAGCTCAGCGTTTGTGGCATCAGTGGTCAGTTTTGTTCACTGACTCTTCCCTGCTGACCTTCATGCTACATCCTCTGCTGACCTTGAGGTTCACAATATTGAGGTTCATAATATGCCCTGCTGCATATGCTCTGTGTGCTTTTGCTAGTTTCTCAGGATCTTGACTGTGCTTTCCAACCTAGATTCCAGATATTTATGCATTTACCTCTCTGGCCACAGTTCCACAAACTCCTTTGCAGGTTTCCCTTCCCAGTCTTTCCAAGCCTATGCTCCTTCCACACCTGGGTTCAGTCATCTTTTTTTTTCTTCACACCATGTAGCTTTTCCCTTGGATAAGCACAAACACATACTACTGGCTTTAAATACACTCTGGATTCAGATGGCCCCCAAATCTTTGTTCCCAACCCAAACCTCTCTTGAGCCTCAAACCTAGAATTGCCCATAGCTGTCTCATTTATGATGTCCCATAGGCACTTCAAATCTAATACTTAAAATGTTGAACTATTTATCTCTCCCTTAAACCTGTCCTCCTGCAGTCTTTTCTTTCTTCTTCTTTTTTTTTTTTTTAAGATGGAGTCTCGCTCTGTCACCCAGGCTGGAGTGCAGTGGCACGATTTCGACTCACTGCAACCTCCATCTCCTGGGTTCAAGCAATTCTCCTGCCTCAGCCTCCCTAGTAGCTGCAATTAGAGTTGCATGCCACCATGCCCAGCTAATTTTGCATTTTTATTAAAGACAGGGTTTTGCCATGTTGGCCAGGCTAGTCTCGAACTGCTGACTTCAGGTGATCCATCTGCCTGGGCCTCCCAAAGAGTTGGGAATACAGGCGTGAGCCACTGCGCCCGGCCCCTCCAGCATTCTTTATTTTAGTGAAAGGAACCAAGTTTAACTAGTCATTAGGTCATCCTAGATTCTCTTTCTTTTCCTGCTTTCAGTTGGTGACTCAGTTCTTTGCATCAGTCACTACTCTATCTTCCTGCCTTATTCCAGGCCTTCATTATCTCTCATCTAGACTGTTATAAAAATCTAAGCTATCCTCACCCCCATTTCTTTATCACACATACATACATATGCATTCTTCCAATTTGTGTATGGTTAAATCTATACCTTTTACTTCATTATGTTTTGTCCATTGTTTTTATTTGAAATTCCTTTCTCTTGTAGAAATCAGGTGGTTTATATATTCTTTCAGTTTTAATAGAACATGTGTGTATGTGTGTGTGTGTGTGTGTGTGTGTGTGTGTGTATTTCCATTCATTTTTGGATTTGTTTTGGTGTGAAAAATTGGAAATAACCCAAATGGATTAGTTTACACAACAGTAGTCAGCTACTTTTCCTGACATCATTTATTGACTAATTCATCTGTGTCTATTGATCTGTGATGCTTTTTTAAGCAAATACTTGGATTGTATACATACTAGGATCTATTAGTAGACTTTCTCTTTTGTTCAGTTGATTTTTCCCTCACACAGTTGTTGTTATTTTCTAAGGGTGCGTGCAGATGATCCATCTTCCACTGAAAGATAAACATCTTTTATGTATATTTGCCTCTGTGTGCAAAACATGTCTCGCTTTTTGAGGTACAGAAAAGCAGAGTGAATATTTCCAAAATGCTGTAGCTTTTATTTGGATCCCAGATCTGCCTCCTTATTCTTTTTTTCCCTCTTCCCCTGTCTGCCATGTGACTACAGACACACGTGCACCACCCTGCCCAGCTAATTTTATTTTTTTGTAGAGACAGGGTCTCAATGTGTTGCCTAGGCTGGTCTTGAACTTCTGGCCTCAAGCAGTCCTTCTGCCTTGGCCTCCCAAGGTGCTGGGATTACATGTGTGAGTTTCTGTGCCTGGCCTCCTTTTTACTCTTTTTTTTTTTTTTTTTTTTTTTTTTTTGAGACAGAGTCTTGCTCTATCACCTAGGCTGAAGGGCAGTGGCACGATCTCAGCTCACTGCAACCTCCATCTCCTCAGGTTCAAGTGATTCTCCTACCTCAGCCTCCTGGGTAGCTGGGATTAGAGGTATGCACACCACACCCGGCTAATTTTTTTTTTTTTTAGTAGAGACAGGGTTTCACCATGTTGGCCAGGCTGGTCTTGAATTCCTGACCTCAAGTGATCCACCCACCTTGACCTCCCAAAATGCTGGGATTACAGGTGTGAGCCACCACACCCAGACCTCTTTACCCTTTAAATGACCTTTGGTAAGCATTTTAAAGATCATCTTATTTTGTCCAGCTCACTATTTTCAGGCGAATGCCTTTCTAACTTCTCTGAATCTTAGCTTCCTAACAGTAAAAGGAGTGCAAGGAAACCTTTTCATGATGTTATGAGACACCACATAGGAAAGTGACCGGTATAATACTGGAATAGAGGAATTGTTCCATAAATAGCTATATTACGCCTCACTCCCACCCCTTTCTCTTACTCCAGGGTGATAGTTAATTAACCAGATTTTTCAAAAATGAAACCCACATTCTACGTGCAGATATACCTCTAGTCTTGCTGTGAAGTTTGTTGGGATCTTTAGCATGGCTTTGAGACAGCAGATTCTTTCAGGGAAGAAGTTATCTGACTCGGACCGAAGTACCCTCACCCTCTCATGCTCCAAGCTGCAGTTATTCTCTGTAAAGGAGTTTGTTTCTTCAACTCACCTCTTTATTCCCCTCCCACCAGAGCTGTGCAGGAGGTGACAGGACAGCGAGGGGTCATCATCACCCGCTCCACATTTCCCTCTTCTGGACGCTGGGGAGGACACCGGTTGGGAAACAACACAGCTGCATGGGACCAGCTGGGGAAATCTATCATTGGTGTGTGGGCTCATTCCCAGGGGCCTGTGCTGGCAGGGAGGGCACTGGAGTTTGTGCTGTTCAACAGCACTGGTTATGTCTCTATCATCATCTAGGTGGGTGGTAAAATTAACAAGAACTGAGTTCTCTCTGGGCGTGGATTTTAATTTACACCCATCTTTTAATATTTTCATCATGGTCCAGGGCTTTCTAATGGGGTAAGGAAAAATCAGGCCAAGCCTTCACTCTCCTCCCAAAGTGCTCCTTCCTCCAACACAGCTGTGTCTTCTCTTTGCAGGCATGATGGAGTTCAGTCTCTTTGGAATACCTTATGTAAGTCACATTCAGACCATTACTAATTGCCCAGTCAGATTTTAGTGAGTCAGCGCCTCATGAAATTCCCACCTCATGCTCTCATTATGCATCTTCTCAGACAGGAGCAGATATCTGTGGGTTCTTTGGAGATGCTGAATATGAGATGTGTGTTCGCTGGATGCAACTGGGGGCATTTTATCCATTTTCCAGAAACCACAACAACATCGGGACAAGGGTGAGGCAGTAGTTCGTGCTCCAGGTGTTGTGTACCCTCAAATCATAACTTCTTTTTAACCCCCAGGACTATTATACTCATTTCCTGAGAAAAATCAAAAAACATCACCAGAATCTTAATTTCTTGGAAAATCCACAGAGTTCAGAACTCTGGAATTATCAGTAATTTTTAGAAATATACCTTTTCTCATCTCCTGGAGAATTACTACCCATGAGGAAAGGTTTTTATAGTTCCACATGGGGCTAAAATGAAAGAAGATCCCTTTGCTTTTAAGAATATTGAATTTGTATTTTACTCAAATTCATCGAAGATATGTTGGTGCTGCACGGAAACCTCTCTCTGTACACATGTAGAGGGCCAGAGCTGGACCTATTCCAGGGACTTAGGAATCAGTGATAAAGAGGAGAAAGCAAGAAATTCTAATTTTGTAGGGTGGCAGAGATGGGGGAAAGGGTAGGCCAGGAATGAAAGGGTAAGTGGCTTGTAACCTACATTTTGAATAAATGCCCATTGATTCTTTTCTGATGCCACTGGGATGGAATGAAGAAGAGGTGATCCATTATATGCTTCTTTATCCTTACAGAGACAAGATCCTGTGGCCTGGAATTCAACCTTTGAGATGTTGTCCAGAAAAGTCCTAGAGACCAGATATACCCTGCTTCCTTATCTCTATACTCTGATGCATAAAGCTCACGTTGAGGGCAGCACAGTTGTCCGGCCCCTTCTCCATGAGTGAGTACAGCCTCTTTCCCCAAGCATGTCTTGCAAATAATCCTCTGTAGCAGTCATAAGAGGATAGGTGAATTTTTCCTGTTTATTTTTTTAAGGTTTACGGATGACAGGACAACATGGGATATAGACCGTCAGTTCATGTTGGGCCCTGCTATCTTAATCAGCCCTGTGTTGGAAACTGTGAGTTCTTCATTGTAGGTCAGAAAACCTTCAATCACATGATCTAAAATCATGGGAAAAGCATTTTAAAGATCATCTTATTTTGTCCAGCTCACTATTTTCAGGCGAATGCCTTTCTAGAACATCTACAGGAGATCTTTTTCTTTTATTTAAAAGATCTCTCTGTTAATGAAAGCTTTACTACACTGACTGATTTCTCATTTTAAAATTTTGTCATTTACTTTTTAAAAATAGTTTTTTCTGTAGTTCTGAGGAATAATTTTTCAGGATTTTTCTTAATAAAATCCCTCAAATTATTGCAATCACTAATACAATTTTCATTTTTTATCTTAATTCTACAGTGTTTTGAAAATGAAAATGAAAAATATTTTTTGAAATATTCATAATGACATGTCAATTTTATGTTTCAGAGCACATTTGAGATCTCTGCTTATTTTCCGAGAGCCCGTTGGTATGACTATAGCACGGTAAGAACTAATATATTTGTGAAGAACCAGTTTGGTCTATGCAGGGTGGAGAGGTGGATAGAGCCTTCTATTTCCAAGCACATATTTCCTAAGGCAATAATTTTGACCTTTTTAGCCTTGGCAAGGCTTGTTTAAATGAAAGCATGTATAAGAGCATAGACGAAATCTAAGCACCTACATCTCATTGAAGCTCCCCCCTCACCCTTGCCCTTGCCTCTCAACTTTTCTGGAGAAACAAAGACAAGTCTAGATTTTCAGTCTTAAGCAAAACTGAAAGATCAGAGATTTTCTCTTTAGGTTTGCAGTCTTTTGCTGACTTTCTAACATGCTTCCCAGGAAAGGAAGGACTTGTAATTAAAACATGCTCTCATTTAATATATTTATCTCTCGCCATTTTTTGCCTGTATTCTCCTTTCTAGGGAACTAGCAGCACATCAACAGGTCAGAGGAAAATCCTGAAGGCTCCCCTTGACCACATCAACCTTCATGTCAGAGGAGGCTACATCCTGCCCTGGCAAGAGCCTGCTATGAACACTCACTCCAGGTGAGGAGAAGAGGCAATGTCTAACAGCCTCTTGCTATACCGTAATGAGGAAGCCTTACAGGAGGCTGTCCCACCTTCGCCAGGGATATGTGGATTATAAACTAAATTGCCAAACAGCTTTACTGGTCAGATCCTGTGAGTGCTTTCTGAGTGGGACTCGGAGGAAGATGAGTTCATAAAGTTAGTCTTAGGGATATATATACACACATATATTTTTGTCTGTAGTGCTGTATCAAAGGCAAAAATTTTCCTGAAGGCAGAAAAATGTTTCTCTTTCCACACTGTTAAAAAGGAATAGGGAATGTTAATGAGCTCTTTGACTTGTGATTGAACAAGAACTAGGTAGGACTGAGTCCTTGTCCTATCCTAGAACTTAATGTTCATTCCTAGGTCTGCTTTGGTCAATCAAGGAAAGATATGCTTGTGTGTTGTGTGTGTGTACATACACGTATATAAATTACACATATAATATGTAAAAATTTATAAAATCATTGATTAAACAGAACACGTCACATCAAGAAAGGCACATAATAACAAGTCAAAAGGAGAGAAGTTAACTTTCAGCCTTGTGGTATAACACATGGTTTATATGAAAGAGGGCTTTGAGCTGGATCTTTTAGATTTGAATGTACAAAGGGGAAAGAGAGATCCTGGTCGATTAAAGAACTGAAGGTGAAAAATGGCTTGGGTTTGGGAACATAAACCATCCAGTTTAACTGGAGGACAGATAAAGGAAGAGATAAAAATAAGTAAAACTCCAGCAGGTTAGGATCAGATCCTGGAGGGTGGTGAATGCCAAGCCACTACTTTGGATTTTATTCTGTGGCAACCTGGAAGCTACTGAGGATTCTCTTTTGAGGGATTTTCTTCCTATGAAATTAATATTTCATTATATTACTTGTATGTATATTTGATTTTTAGAAATTGAAGCTAAACCAAATGTTTTATTAAATTTTAAACGTTTTCCATTAACTTTTAAATGTCTTATATTTTATCTATTGTACCTATTTTTAGAACTTTATATGCATATTTAATACATTTCTTTTATTTCTAGATAAGTAATGTTTTTAACACAGTCTGTTCTTTATTCTTACAACCTACAATCTAGAGAAAAATAACTCTTTTTTTTTTTTTTGGTAGTCGACAAAATTTTATGGGATTGATTGTTGCTTTGGATGACAATGGGACAGCTGAAGGCCAGGTGTTCTGGGATGATGGACAAAGCATTGGTGAGTATAAACTTTCCAGGGTCCCTGTACATCACTGAGAAAAATCATACCATAGAGGCTCGGCATATAACTAACATGAACTGAAAACCTCTCTCTGCCTATTGTCAATAAGGCAATAACATTTGGAGAATTTTTCCAACTTTTGCCTGCTCATTTATATTATACTATAGTTAGTATAGACTGGGTACAGTCCCCAGCTTTGTAGGTTCAGAAACTTGCTGTTATGCATTCAGCCAGGGATGATCTATCTCTGTATAACTGTCTCACTCTTGATTTAAAAAGAAGTGTGGATGCAAATATCAGGCTGATGGTTAATTCATTCTCAATGGGACAGAAACATGACTCTATCATTTGGATCAGCCATCTATACCAGGCACCCTGTTCCTCACAAATAGGCCTGCTCAAGAGGCAATTTAGAGGTTAGAAAATTTCTTGGTGACTCATAAATTGGGAATTAAGTGTTGCCCAAAGGATACTTACATCGATGAAATATTAATTTGTATGTTTCCTTTCCCCAGTTGAGATAGAGTATGTTAGTTCTACTTAGGTAAGTGAGATTTGTCATTATCATCAGAACACCCTCTAACTCAGAATTTTCTATAGATATATGGACACACTGTTACTAGCTGACTCTCACTTTTCACTACTTATTACTGTGGACCAGAACCTTCTAATCTTGCAACATACCACATTTTCTGAAATTATAGTATAGCTTATTTTTCACTACTAATATTTCTAGAGATTCCTTCTTTTTTAGGTTCCTTCATTATAAAGATAAGAAATTCTCATTAAAGAAGTAGATATTCTTTACAACACATGTTAAAGACAGAAAATTAGAAAAAAATACAAGCACTTTTAATATTTTTGCTGTACTAACTTTGGCTTTTGTATTAAGAAAATGCTTAATTTTTAATATGGCTGAAAACATTTTGCATATTTAATTTGTGAATCCTGTTTATTTTCCTCTAACATAATGACAGAAACATGTGTGAATGTTATTATTTGTTCCTTATAAATACCATTATGTATGATGATCATATTCTATTGAGAGAATATGTACAGGTTGGTTTTAATTTTCATTGTTATAAATAACATCCTTTTTCTTTTTTTTTTCTTTTTTTTTTTTTTTTGAGTCTCACTCTCTCATTCAGGCTGCAGTGGCACGATCTCAGCTCACTGCAACCTCCTCCTCCCTAATTCAAGTGATTCTCCTGGCTCAGCCTTCCCGAGTAGCTGGGATTTCAGGTGTGTGGCACAACACCCACTAATTTTTGTATTTTTAGTAGAGATGGGGTTTCGCCATGTTGGCCAGGCTGGTCTCGAACTCTTGGCCTCAAGTGATTCACCCACCTCGGCCTCCCAAAGTGCTGAGATTACAGGTATGAGCCACCGTTCCCAGCCCATATATAACATCCTTGAGTATTAACCATTGTTTCCATTTTAGATTACGTCCATAGAGTAGATTCCTGGAAGTGATATTACTGTCTTTTAATCAACTTTAAAAAAGTTGTGATTTATACAAATAAAATGTATCCATTTTAAGAATACAGTTAGGTTTTGACAAATGTGTACAGTTGTATAGCCACTACCACAATGAAGATGTGGAATATTTTTATAACCCTGAAAGTTCGCCTTTTATAGTCAGCCTGCGGATTCATCCAACTGTGGTTTGAAAATGCAGTTAGCCTACAATAGTTGCATCTGTATTGACCATGTACAGACATGTTTTTCTTGTTACTATTTTGTAAACAATACAGGATACCAATGATTTACATAATGTTTACATTGGATCAGGTTTTATAAGTACCCTGGAGATTATTTAAAGTACACGGGAGGATGTGTATAGGTTATATGCAAATATTATACCACAAAATAACTTACATTCAAATAATAATGTCAGATTCATTTTAATGGTCAAAAAATGAAACCACTGAAATATTCATCAATAAGTATATTGGTCAATAGTCATGGAATATTACCATGGAAGACACCATGGATTATTATTAGGAATAAAAAGCAATTAAAGCAATTAATTTCTTTTACATGCAACAGCATGGATGAATGTAAAAGGCATTTTTGCTAAGTGAAAGATGCTAAAAATACAAAAATAGTACATATTGTATGATTCTATTCATATAAAATCTAGAAAATACAAATCCAGTCTATAGTCACAGAAAGCAGAACAGTAGTTGCCAGATCCTGGAAGGAAGGATCAGGACTGGGGAGAAGCTGACTAGAAAGAAGTACTGCTGTCCCTGGGTATCCATAGGCGGTTGGTTCCAGGACCCCTGCGGATATCAAATTCCACAGATGCTCAAGTTCCTTATATAAAATGATAATATTTTTATAATTTCAACTTTTATTTTAGATATAGGGTGTACATGTGCAGGTTTGTTGCATGGATGTATTGTATGATGCTGAGGTTTGGGGTATGGATCCCGTCACCCAGGCAGTGAGCATAGTAACTAATGGGTAGTTTTTCAACCCATGCCCCCATTCCTTGTTACCCCATCTAATAGCCTGCAGTGTCTATTGTTCTCGTCTTTATGTCCATGTGTACTCAGTGTTCAGCTCCCACTTATAAGTAAGAAAATGCATTATTTGGTTTTCTTTTTCTGTGTTAATTTTCTTAAGATTGTGACCTCTAACTGCATCCATGCTGCTGCATAGGACATGATTTCATTCTTTTTTATGGCTGTGTAGTATTCCATGGTGTATATGTACCACTTTTTCTTTATCCAATCCTTTGCTGATAGGCACCTGGGTTGATTCCATGTCTTTGTAATTGTAAATAGTGCTGTGAGGAACATAAGAGCACATGGGTCCTTTTGGTAGAATGATTTATTTTCCTTTGGGACATACCAAGTAATGAGATTGCTGGGTTGAATTGTAGTCCTGTTTTAATTTCTTTAATAAATCTCCAGACTACTTTCCATAGTGGCTGAACTAATTTACATTTCCACCAACAGTGTTTAAGCATTTCCTTTTCTCTGCAGCCTTGCTAGCATATGTTATTATTTGACTTTTTAATAATAGTGGGTTTGATTTGCATTTCTGTAATGATTGGTGATGATAAGCATTTTTTCATGTTTATTGGCCATTTACATGTCTTCTTTAGAGAAGTGTCTGTTCATGTCCTTTGGCTATTTTTTAATGGGGTTATTTGACTTTTGCTTCTTGATTTAAGTTTCTTATAGAATCTGGATGTTAGACCTTTGTTGGATGCATAGCTTGTGAATACTTTCTCCTACTCTGTAGGTTGTCTACTCTGTTGATAGCTTTTTTCACTGTGAAGAAGCTCTGTAGTTTAATTAAGTCCAACTTGTCAATTTTTGTTTTTGTTGTAATTGCTTTTGGGGGCTTAGCCAAAAATATTTTGCCAAGACCAACGTTGAGAAATCAGACAAGACACATAAATGGAAAAAAACATTCCATGCTCATGGATTTGAGGAATCAAAGCAATGTACAGATTCGACACTATTCTTATCAAACTAGCAATGTCATTTTTCACAGAATTAGAAAAAAACTATTCTAAAATTCCTATGGAACCAGAAAAAGAGCCCAAATAGCCAAAGCAATCCTAAGCAAAAAGAAGAAAACCAGAGGTATCACACTACCCAACATCAAGCTGTACTATAAGGCTATAGTAACCAAAATAGCATAGTACTGGTATAAAAACAGACACATAGCAATAGAACAGTATAGAAAATCCAGAAATAAAGCCACACACCTACAACCATCTAATCTTTGACAAAGGTGACAAAAACAAGCAGTAGGGAAAGACTCTATTCAATAAATGGTACTGGGACAACTGGCTAGCCATGTGCAGAAGAATGAAACTGAACCCTTACCTTTCACTGTATAAAAAAATTAACTCGAGATGGATTGAAGATTTAAATGTAAGACCTCAAACTATAAAAATCCTAGAAGGAAATGCTCTTCATGTTCTTCTTTTTCTTTGGTTATTTTAGCTCTTTTGTATTTCACACAGATTTTAAAATCAGCTTGTCACTTTTTAACAACAAGACCACCTTCTGGAATTTTGACTGTAATTGCTTTTATTCTTAAGACCAATTTTTGAATATTTGTCATCTCTTTTTTTTCTCTGTCTCTTTCTCTCATCTACTTACCTACTTATCTACCTATCTAGCTCTATATAATTACCATTTACTTAGATCTTTAATTACTCTTAGCAATGTTTTATAATTTTTGGCGTATAGTTCTTGTACATATTTTGTTAAATATGTCCTAAGTATTTTTAAGTTTTTGATGGTATTTTAAATATATTTTAAATTTCTCCTAACAGTTTATGGATAATATATTATAACCTATATTCACTTAATATGATATATGAGAGATATTTTTCAAATGGTTTTATTTTCTATTTATGGGTGAAAACTTGCTAAAGAAAAAATATGAAGGAATTAAACAACTTCTCTCTTCAGAGCTCAGTTCAGTCTTTGGACTTGCTTTTTAACATAATCTGATAAGAAGCTCTAGGAGAGGCATGTGGTATTCTGAAATTAAATAGATCTAGGTTTGAATACCATCTCAGTAACTTTCTAGTTGTATATCTTCTGGAAAATTACTTATTTTGTTGTCTCCATTTATTCTTCTTTAGTATCTACAACATACACCTATGTTGTAATTTTATGAGGATAAAATGATTTAACATACATAAAACATTCCTGGCACATGAGTTCTGAACAAAATGTGTTATTAATATGTAAAGTAAATAAAACTCTATTCTAAACATTTAATATGAGCTACTTTACATAAAATTAGCATGTCTAACTTATGAAAACAAAATGAAAATAAATAAATACGTAAATAAAATAAAGTTAGTGTGGTTAATAAGATAATAAGACAATAAGGCATCCAAAAGTCAAAAAGAGGAGGTTGACCAGCCATCCTGAATTTCAAAGCTGTAGCAGGACTTGAGCCTTATAAGGGCATACTACGGTGCCAATTTTTAAATTTAAGAACTGTATTTATTAAATGCATTTTAATATTCCTGTCTCTTGGGAAAGTACATATTTTTTCTCAAATTAAGCCTTTGTGAAAGATGAACGTTTAATCAGGGGTTTGCTAGGTGAGCAAGGAATGATAATAAAAGGAGTTAGTGCCCATGATTAGACAGTCAACACTTTGGTACCTCAGTGAGTCTTGCCAATGGGACTGCAGACTGTTTTTGTTGTCAGATCATGACAAGTGCTTGGTATATATCCATTCATCAATTGATGGACATTTGGGTTGTTTCCACTTTTTGGCTATTATAAATAATGCTGCTATGAACATCTGAATATAAGTCCTTGAATAGACACACTTTTAAAAACTCTCTTGTATATTATACATACCTGGGAGTGAAATTTCTGGCTTATGTGGTAACTCTATGTTTAACTGTTGATAAAATATCCAACTGTTTTCTATAGAGGCAGCACCATTTTACATCTCAATCAGCAGTGTATGAGGGTTCTGATCTCTCTTCTTCCTTGTCAACATTTATTATCTATTTTTTTAATTATGATCATTCCAGTGGGTGAAAAGCTGTAGTTTTTTGTGGTTTTGATTAATTTATATTTCTCTGATAACTAATGTTGTTGAACATCTTTACATGTACTTATTATTCATGTGTACATTTTCTTCAGAGAAATGATTGCTTATATTCTTTTCACATTGTAAAATTAAAGTGTCCTTATTATTGAATCATAAACAGTCTTTATAGAATTTAGCTAAAAGTCCCTTATCCGATGCAGGATTTTCAAATATTCTCTCTCATTTAGCAGGTGCCTCTTTTGAGGCACAAACTTTTAAATTTTGATGAAGTCTAATTTATCTATTTTTTTCTATTCGTTTAATGTGCTTTTGGTGTTATAGCTAAGAAACCATTGCACATTACAAAGTCCCAAGTATTTGCTACTAGATTTTCTTCTAAGAGTTTTATAGTTTTAGCTCTTACATTTAGGTCTTTGATTCTTTTTGAGTTAATTTTTGTGTATGGTGTGAGGCAGGGGTCTAACTTCTTTCTTTTGTATGTGGATTACAGTTGTCCCAGAATCATCTGTGAAAAGTCTATTATTTTTCTCATTGAATTATTTTGGAATTTTTGTTAAAAATCAATAGACCATTACTGTGAGGATTTATTTCTGAATTTTCATTTCTATTGCCTTAATCTATATGTCTATTCTTATGTCAGCACTGCACTGTCTTGATTACAGTGGATTTGTAGTAAGTTTTAAAATCAGGAAGCATGAGTTCTTCAATTTAGTTCTTTTTCAAAAATGGGCCTTATTTTAAAGCGGTTTTTCTCAACCTCAGCAATACTGACGTTTTGGGCTAAATAATTATTTTGTGGTGGTGGCTGGGCTGGTTATTATACATGTTTAGCAGCATCCCTGCCCTCTCCCCACTTGATGTCAAAAGCAAAGTTATCTTCAAGATAACTACATGATCTCTAAATATTGTAAAATGTCTCCAGAGAGGCAAAATTACTGCTGGTTGAGGATCAATGTTTTAAGAGAACATAGAAAGTCCTTTGATACAGGTTTAGCTAATTAGGACTAGATGAGTGATGTCATAGTAGGTTAATAACATCACAATTAGTATGCAAAATCAACCCCCTATGAGCAATATGTTTCAAAAATTTAAAGGAATAAAGCCATTTCCTACAAGATTTTAACTTTCTATTACAGTATATTTTAGTCTTAAGATTAAAAATTAATAGTACCTGAAACTTTCAAACTTGTAAATTTTTATGGAGAAGGTTTTTAGCCTTTTTAAACATCAAATATGCTTAAAAATTCAAATTCAGACTACTAAGATACAGTGTAAGTGTCATTTAAATGTTCTATTAGCAGACTTGGAACCATTTATTTAACTTTTCCTCACATAGGTGATATAATGGCTGTTCAAGGATAATCTTAAAAGAACATGTTAACAGAATCCCATTCTTTACAATTTTTTTATTAACTGCTAGAAGAGGCTGTAGTGTTTGCCCAGGTTGCATTTTCTAGCCAAGACTAAATTTTAAAATATGAGTTGTATAATTGCTTCCATAAAAGTGGAGGTAATTTAGAATACTTCGAGAGTTAGTTGGTTTGGGAGAGAATATGTTGGAATACTGACAAGAGTTGGAATGTTGAGAAGGGCCAAGAACAGAACATGAAGTGAAACTGATTTTTCAGAAACAGGGAGTTATAGGAACCATATGGGAAGGAGACATAAAGTAAGGAGTATTTCAAAGGAGAGGTGTGTGGGCAAAGTGGCCTAAAAATCCTGAACAGTGTGAGGAGATATTTAGATTTTATATACTATGTCACTGGTGACTTAGAAAGGGTCAGATTCCATGGAAAAAGGAAACACAGGAGCTGGAGTTTAGGAGATGTAAGATTGAATTATGAGTTGGGTACACAGACATAACAAGTAAAGGCTACATTTATTTATTTATTTATTTATTTATTTTTATTTATTTTTTTGAGACGGAGTCTCACTCTGTCGCCCAGGCTGGAGTGCAGTGGCGCGATCTTGGCTCGCTGCAAGCTCCGCCTCCTGGGTTCACGCCATTCTCCCACCTCAGCCTCCCGAGTAGCTGGGACTACAGGCGCCCACCACCACGCCCGGCTAATTTTGTTTTAGTATTTTTAGTAGGGACAGGGTTTCACCATGTTAGCCAGGACGGTCTCGAGCTCCTGACCTCGTGATGCGCCCGCCTCGGCCTCCCAAAATGCTGGGATTACAGTCGTGAGCCACCGCGCCCAGCCCAGCAAAGGCTACCTTTTTAAGATGTATGGTAATAAAAAGGAGATGCGGTAGTAGCTCGATATAAATAGAATTAGGTAAAAGTATTATCAGAACAGAGTACTCTGGAGCATAAATGTAGCTTGAAAAAGCAGAGAAGGTATAGGGAAGAATCGATGGAATAAATTCTACAGAGGCAGAAGTGCTTGGAATCTGGAGCACTGTGGGAGGATGAGCTAAGAGTAGGGAGAGAAGAATGGTGAAGGTGAAGATTGATGACGACTTTGACGACAGTGAGCAATCAATTTTAAGCACTTATTGTGCACAAGCCGAACATTATGTACCTTATTGCCACTAACTAGGTACTATTATCTCCATTCTATAGATGATAAAATGTTAAGTAACTTGTCTGAGTTTGCACAGCTATTAAGTACAAGAGTTGGGATTTCAACCCATGTCTACCTGACTTGGGAGCCTAAATTCCTAACCACTCGCCTCTGCTTTATCATCATAGTCTTTAACACCACTGCTATGTGAACTCCTATGACTACATGCTTGCTGTCTCGCACAGAATAACCAAACAGTAGTCTCCACACTTCAGGTAATCTATCCTTTGTTCAACCCAGATTCTCTTGCATTTGTAACCTTCTGACCTCCCCGGCAAGGTACCCATTTGCATTTGCACATCCCCACACTAACATGCAGTGAAATAGTCTCTTAGCCACTCTCTTCAGTGCTCCTCAGAGAGGTGACAATCATCAGTAACTGTGACCCCATTGAGAGTGTGGTTTCTGACCACGCTCAAGATTATTTGCTGCAATTGAAGCAGTTAGTAGTTGCTTATTCTTTTCTTTTCCTTGTTTGCAGATACCTATGAAAATGGAAATTATTTTTTGGCAAACTTTATAGCAGCTCAGGTAAGACTAATTTACTACATTTTACAAATCTTTTCCCAGGTGTCTACAGATTAAACATTACAGTTAACTGCGTAAATGTAATATCCCACATCTTAATAGGAGGTTCTTCTTGCCTTTACTTTTATAATCCAGGTCTGTTGTCATTAAAGTAAGGAAGAAACAATCCTTACTTTGGCAGTTTTCCAGTATACTATCTCCATGAAAAGAAACTTGGAATTCATACAATGCTGGGGAAAAAATGGGGCCTTAAATGTGTAACATGTTTTCCAAAGATGAGAAATTTACTAGCTGATAAATTTTGAAAGAAAAATGCTATATAAGCTACTTATTATGCAATAATGCATAAAAGACGACCTCAAAACCTTAGTGGTATCTAACAATAAGCACTTACTTAGCTCATGAGCTTGCAGGGCTCAGAGGATGTGGGTCTGGTCTTGGCTGATCTTTGCTAGCTCACATACATCTCCAGTTAGTCTTGGGTCTATTGGGCTGTTTAGGTAATCTTGGCTGTATTCACATATCTGGGGGGTCAGCTGACTCTCATATGATTTATCATGGCCTTGTGGGAAGGTCTAGGCACGGCTTCTTCATAATTATGGAAGAGGGCTAAAATAAAAATAAAAGTGGAGATCCCTTAGTTCTTTATAATTTTTTTGTATCGAGTTGACTAATTTCCCATTACCAAAGCAAAATCACATGGTCAAGCCCAGAGACAGAGGAGGGACAGAATGCCTCAACTGGAGTGGGAGGGCATTGCAAAACTGCATGGAAAGGGGTATGGATTTGTAAGGGTTGAATATTTCATAACAGTGATGCAATCAATGCACCTTGCATATTAAATGATCCCATTGGTAATCTACATAATTTTAATTAGAGTATGAGGAGAATCATTCTAGGTCAAACTGGATTCTGCTTCTCTATTTTTACCTAGTCACTTTAACCAAGAAGTAATATAGCACAAATCTATTTTTTTTCTATAACAGTGATTCACATATTTGAAGATGTCTCTCAGTTATTTCTTTTGTCTTCTTAGAATTATACATCACCAGGCTAACTTCATATTTTCTCTATTTCCTGCTTATAGTGGTTTCCAGGTCTGATCATTCTGTTTAGACTCCAGTTAACTTAGATTTCTTTTAAAACATCAGAACCGAGAGCATATTTTAGAGCTGTCTATCCAGTATGATAGCCACTAGCCACATGTGGCTATTGAACACTTGAAATGTGACCAGCCTAATTTGAAATATTCAAAAGTTAGCTTAAAAAATTCAAAAATGATTTGTGGGCTTCCTGGGCAAGATGGCCAAATAGGAACAGCTCTGGCCTGCAGCTCCCAGTGAGATCAATGCAGAAGGCAGGTGATTTCTGCATTTCCAACTGAGATACCTGGTTCATCTCACTGGGACTGATTAGACAGTGGGTGAAGTCCACAGAGGGCGAGGAGAAGCAGGGTGTGGTGTCACCTCCCCCAGGAAGCACAAGGGGTCAGGGTACTCCCCCCGTAGCCAAAGGAAGCCACGAGGGACAGTGCTATCTGGCCCAGATACTACACTTTTCCCATGGTCTTTGCAACCCACAGAGCAGGAGATTCCCTCAGGTGCCTACACCACCAGGACCCTGGGTTTCAAGCACAAAACTGAGTGGCCGTTTGGGCAGATACCAAACTAGCTTCAGGAGTTTTTTTTTTTTCATACCCTAGTGGTGCCTGGAACACCAGTGAGACAGAACCATTCACTCCCCTGGAAAGCCAGGGAGCCGAGTGCCCTTGCTCAGCGGATCCCAACCCCACAGAGCCCAGCAAGCTAAGATCCACAGGCTTGAAATACTCGCCGCCAGCACAGCTGTCTGAAGTTGACGTGGGAAGCTCGAGTTTGGTGGAGGGAGGGGCATCCGCCATTACTGAGGCTTGAGTAGGCGGTTTTCCCCTCACAGTGTAAACAAAGCCACCAGGAAGTTCGAACTGGGCAGAGCCCACCACAGCTCCACAAAGCCGCTGTAGCAAGACTGCCTTTCTAGATTCCTCCTGTCTGGGCAGGGCATCTCTGAAAAAAAGGCAGCAGCCCCAGTTAGGGGCTTGTAGATAAAACTCCCATCTCTCTGGGACAGACACCTGGGGGAAGGGGCTGCTGTGGATGCAGCTTCAGCAGACTTAAACCTTCCTGCCTGCCAGCTCTGAAGAGAGCAGTGGATCTCCCAGCACAGTGCTGGAGCTCTGCTAAGGGACAGACTGCCTCCTCAAGTGGGTCCCTGACCCCCGTGCCTCCTGACAGGGAGATACCTCCCAGCAGGGGTCAACAGACACCTCATACAGGAGAGCTCCAGCTGGAATCTGGTGGGTGCCCCTCTGGGATGAAGCTTCCAGAGGAAGGAGCAGGCAGCAATCTTAACTGTTCTGCAGTCTCCACTGGTGATACCCAGGCAAACATGGTCTGGAGTGGACCTCCAGCAAACTCCAGCAGACCTGCAGAAGAGGGGCCTGACTATTAGAAGGAAAACTAACAAACAGAAAGCAATAGCATCAACATCAACAAAAAGGATGACCATGCAAAAAATCCATCCGAAGGTCACCAACAGCAAAGACCAAAGGTAGATAAATCCACGAAGATGAGGAAAACCCAGTGCAAAAAGCCTAAAGATTCCAAAAACCAGAATGCCCCTTCTCCTCCAAAGGATCACAACTCCTCACCAGCAAGGGAACAAAACTGGAGAGAGAACGAATTTGATGAACTGACAGAAATAGGCTTCAGAAGGTGGGTAATAACAAGCTCCTCCGAGCTAAAGGAGCATGTTCTAACCCAATGCAAGGAAGCTAAGAACCTTGATAAAAGGTTAGAGGAATTGCTAACTAGAATAACCAGTTTAGAGAGAACATAAATGACCTGATGGAGCTGAAAAATATAGCATGAGAACTTCGTGAAGCAAACACAAGTATCAATCACTGAATAGATCAAGCAAAAGAAAGGATATCAGAGATTGAACAGCAACTTAATGAAATAAAGCGTGAAGACAAAATTAGAGAAAAAAGAATGAAAAGGAACAAACAAAGCCTCCAAGAAATATGGGACTATGTGAAAAGACCAAACCTACATTTGATTGGTGTAGCTGAAAGTGACGAGGAGAATGGAACCAAGTTGTAAAGCACACTTCAAGGTATTATCCAGGAGAATTTTCCAACCTAGCAAGACAGGCCAACATTCAAATTCAGGAAATACAGAGAACACCACAAAAATATTCCTCAAGAAGAGCAACCCCACGACACATAATTGTCAGATTCACCAAGGTTGAAATGAAGGAAAAAATGTTAAGGTCAGCCAGAGAGGAAGGTTGGGTTACCCACAAAGGGAAGCCCATCAGACTAACAGCAGATCTGTCTGCAGAAACCTCACAAGCCAGAAGAGAATGGGGGCCAATATTCAACATTCTTAAAGAAAAGAATTTTCAACCCAGAATTTCAAATCCAGCCAAACTAAGCTTCATAAGTGAAGGGGAAATAAAATCCTTTACAAGCAATCCATTTACAAGCAAATGCTGAGGGATTTGGTCACCACTAGGCCTGCCTTACAAGAGCTCCTGAAGGAAGCACTAAATATGGAAAAGGAAAAATGAGTATCAGCTCCTGCAAAAATAAACCAAAATGTAAAGACCATTGACACTATGAAGAAACTGCATCAACTAATGGGCAAAATAACCAGCTAGCATCATAATGACAGGATCAAATTCACAAATAACAGTATTAACCTTAAATGTAAATGGGCTAAATGCTCTGATTAAAAGGCACAGACTGGCAAATTGGATAAAGAGTCAAGACCCACTGGTGTGCTGTATTCAGAAGACCCATCTCATGTGCAAAGACACACTAGGCTCAAAATAAAGGGATGGAGGAAGATTTGCCCATCAAATGGGAAGTAAAAAGAAAAAGCAGGGGTTGCAATTTTCATCTCTGATAAAACAGATTTTAAACCAACAAATATCAAAAAAGACAAAGAAGGCCATTACATAATGTTAAGAGCTAACTACCATAAATATATATGCACCCAATACAGAAGCACCCACATTCATAAGGCAAGTCCTTAGAGACCTACAAAGAGACTTAGACTCCCACACAATAATAGTGGGAGATTTTAACACCCACTGTCAATATTAGACAGATCAACAAGACAGAAAATTAGCAAGGATATTCAGAACTTGAACTCAGCTCTGGACCAAGCAGATGTAATAGACATCTACAGAACTCTCCACCCTAAATCAACAGAATATACATTCTTCTCAGCACCAATAGCACTTATTCGAAAATCAACCACATAATTGGAAGTAATACGCTCCTCAGAAAATGAAAAAGAACAGAAATCATAACAAAGAGTCTCTCAGACCGCAGTGCAATCAAATTAGAATTCAGGATTAAGAAACTCACTCAAAACCACACAACTACAGGGAAACTGAACAACCTGCTCCTGGATGACTACTGAGTAAATAATGAAATTAAGGCAGAAATAAATAAGTTCTTTGAAACCAACAAAAACAAAGACACAACATATCAAAATCTCTGGGAGTTTTCAGAGGGAAATTTATAGCACTAAATGCCCACAGGAGAAAACAGGAAGGATCTAAAATCAACACCCTAACATCATAGTTAAAAGAGCTAGAGAAGCAAGGGCAAACAAGTTCAAAAGCTAGCAGAAGACAAAAAATAACTAAGATCAGAGCAGAACTGAAGGAGAGAGAGACACGAAATACCCTTCAAAAAAATCAGTGACTCCAGGAGCTGGTTTTTTGAAATGATTAACAGAATAGTTAGACCGCTAGCCAGACTAATAAAGAAAAAAAGAGAGAAGAATCAAATAGACACAATAAAAAATGGTAGAGAGGAGATCACCGCTGATCCCACAGAAATACAAACTACCATCAGAGAATACTATAAACACCTCTATGCAAATAAACTAGAAAATCTAGAAGAAATTGATAAATTCCTGGACACATACACCCTCTGAAGGTAAAACCAGGGAGAAGTTGAATCCCTGAGTAGACCAATAACAAGGTCTGAAATTGAGGCACTAAATTAAGAGCCTACCAACCAAAACAGCCCAGGACCAGACAGATTCACAGCCGAATTCTACCAGAAGTACAAAGAGGAACTGGTACCGTTCCTCCTGAAACTATTCCAAACAAGAGGGACTCTGCCCTAACTCATTTTATGAGGTCAGCATCATCCTGATACCAACACCTGGCAGAGACACAATAAAAAAAGAAAATTTCAGGCCAGTATCCCTGATGAACATCAATGCAAAAGTCCTCCATAAAATACTGGCAAACCGAATCCAGCAGCACATCAAAAAGCCATGACCAAGTTGGCTTCATCCTTGGGATGCAAGGCTGGTTCAACATATGCAAGTCAATAATTGCAATCCATCACATAAACAGAACCAATGACAAAAACCACATGATTATCTCAATAGATTCAGAAAAGGCCTTTGATAAAATTCAACACCCTTTCATGCTAAAAACACTCAATAAACTGGGTATTGATGGAACAAATATAAAAATAATATGAGCTATTTATGACAAACCAACAGCTAATATCATATTGAATAGGAAAAAGCTGGAAGCTTTCCCTTTGAAAACCGGCACAAGACAAGGATGCCCTCTCTCACCACTCCTATTCAGCATAGTATTGGAAGTTCTGGCCAGGGCAATCAGGAAAGAGAAAGAAATAAAGCTTATTCAAATAGGAAGAGAGGAAGCCAAATTATCTCTATTTGCAGATGATGTGATTGTATATTTAGAAAACCCCATTGTCTCAGCCGAAAATCTCATTAAGGTGATAAGCAACTTCAGCAAAGTCTCAGGATACAAAATCAATGTGCAAAAATCACAAGCATTTCGATACACCAATAATAGACAGCCAAATCATGAGCAAACTCCCACTCACAATTGCTACAAAGAGAAGAAGATACCTAGGAATACAACTTACAAGGGATGTGAAGGACCTCTTCAAGGAGAACTACAAACCACTACTCAAGGATATAAGAGAGGACACAAGCAAATGGAAAAACATTCCATGCTCATGGATAGGAAGAATCAGTATCGTGAAAATGGTCATACTTCCCAATGCAAATCAAAACCACAATGAGATATCATCTCATGCCAGTTAGAATGGCCATTATCAAAAAGTCAGGAAACAGCAGATGCTGGAGAGGATGTGGAGAAATAGGAATGCTTTTACACTGTCAGTGGGAGTGTAAATTAGTTCAACCATTGTGGAAGACAGTGTGGTGATTCCTCAAGGATCTAGAACCAGAAATACCATTTCACCCAGCAATCCCATTACTGGGTATATACCCAAAGGGTTATAAATCATTCTGCTATAAAGAAACAGGCACAAGTCTGTTTACTGCAGCACTGTTCACAATAGCAAAGACTTAGAACCAACCCAAATGCCCATCAGTGTTAGACCAGATAAAGAAAATGTGGCACATATATACCATGGAATAGTATGCAGCCATAAAAAAGAATGAGTTCATGCCCTTTTCAGGCTCATGGATGAAGCTGGAAACCATCACACTCAGCAAACTAACACAGGAACAGAAAACCAAACACTGCATGTTGTCACTCATATGTGGGAGTTGAATAATGAGAACATATGGGCACAGAGAGGGGAACTTCACACACCAGGGCCTGTTGGGGGTGGAGGGCAAGGAGACAGATAGCATTAGGAGAAATCCCTAATGTAGATGACGGGTTGATGGGTTGATGGATGCAGCAAACCACCATGGCACATGTATACCTATGTAACAAACCTGCATGTTCTGCACATGTATCCCAGAACTTAAAGTATAATTAAAAAAAAAAAAAAACATTTGGCTGAGCGTGGTGGCTCATGCCTGTAATGCCAGCACTTTGGGAAGCCAAGGCAGGTGGATCACCTGAGGTCGGGAGTTTGAGACCAGCCTGACCAACATGGAGAAAACCCTGTCTCTACTCAAAATCCAAAAATTAGGCGTGGTGGCGCATGCCTGTAATCCCCACTACTTGGGAGGCTGAGGCGGGAGAATCGCTTGAACCTGGGAGGCAGAGGTTGTGGTGAGCCGAGATCGCGCCATTGCACTCCAGCCTGGGTAGCAAGAGCGAAACTCTGTCTCAAAAAAAAAAAAAAAAAAACCTCATGAATAATTTTATATTGAAAAATGTTGTAATAATAACATTTTGGCTATATCATGTAAATAAAATATATTTTGAAATTAATGTACCCTTTTTCTTTTCACTTTTTAAAAAAATGTGACTACTAGAAAGTATTCAATTACATATATAGTTTCCCTTATATTTCTATAAGATGGCATAGACTTCCATGTTGCCTACTACCTCTTTTTAGCTAGAGTCTATATTTTTTCTGCTGTTATTACATTGTGTTATTTTTTAACACATGTATCAGATGTTTGGCACATATAAATCTCATGGTCAGCTAAGACCTTCAAATTATTCTCATAGACATGATTATCAGGTCATATTGTTCCATCCTGCATTTGGCCTCTCTGAAACTAACTGCTAGACTTTGTATACTAATTAAATTTGTGTATTCTCTGCCCTTAAGAGTAGTTGGGTTGAAGACTCTACATATTTTTTCCTCTCAAATATTATTTTAATGAATATTATTTTAATGATCTGGAAGTCCTGAATTTTAGTTCTATTTCTACTGCTATTATTCAAATTCGGAGAGACACTGTTTAATCTGTGTTTTTTAAAAAATTGTAAAACATTAGATTGCCCTTTAATAACATCTAACTTCAAAATTCCATTTTTCTGATAAATGAATTCTTATTTCTGTGATGTTTGATAGATTATTTCCTTAAGAATAAGGGGCCTGAAATGAAAGAAAGATCGCAACTTTCCTTAGGGGATAACTATTATCAGCGGTTTCCTGGTTGGTAAACCAGCTTGTGGGGGTGGGAGATGATTTGTAACATTTGCTAATTTCTGTAGTGTAGCTTCTCCCACCATCTTAACCAATTTCAAGCATCAGCTGGCTTGCAAAATTCTAGGAAATTTAAAAATCAACTCTCTCAAATCAATAAGAACTAGCTTTAGTACACCCATTTATTTTGAGCTGTATATTTTTTCCTTGATTCTGCCTGCCCAGTAGCAAAAGTCTTGTTCATCCTTCATGATGCCAATTGAACATGTTTCTTTTTTCTCTTCCTACTGCAGCCATCATAATTGAGAAATGCATAGCTTCCCTCTGCTACAACTATCTCCTTGATTATTGCATGTAATCTTCAAAATCTTTCCTTACATACCTAACTGGCCTCACGTCTCTGTTTGCTCAGCACCAGCTATGGTTGTCCTTGCACTCCTCCATGAATGTGGCTTTGTTCAATGTGTCCCTGTACCCCTATTTCCTGTCTCATAATAAATCCTTCCCATGCTTACCAGGAGTTCCGAAGTTACATGTCCTTCCTAAGTTCTCTCTTGACCCTCTTCCTCCCATGTAATTTTTCCTTTCTCTTCACATCCATGAAAAATATCCACTATGATTTTCATTTGGGCCTTCATCATGTGCCACCTCATAATTTATGTCATATTATTTTAACCCTTGTATTGATACTTAAACAATTCATGATTTGGTTAACTTCCTATGTTTCTTGCACACTGTCCTCAGTCTAGGGACTGTTTGCCACACTTCTTTGTTCACTCTAAATTAACTTGTGCAGTACTATGTACAGGGGCACCTTGCGCTTCCAACTTTACCTATGTTATCTAGCCTTGTCGCTTTGGACTACTCACTTCATTTTCCAGAGCCTCAGTTTCCTTATCTCTAAGATAGCAATAATGATATTTTCTTTTCAAAATGATTATAAGAATACTTATGATATAGGGAAAATAACTTTCATAATGCTGGTACAATAAACTTATTTGTGGCATTACCCAATTTATTATAGCAGGTACTCAGGAAGTATGTCTTCATGAAGTGTGTGGAGAGTAGAATTATAGTAACCAGAGGCTGGGAAGGGGTGGGGGCCATAAAGAGAGGTTGGTTAGTGGGAACAAAGAGACAGTTAAATAGCAGGAGTGAGTTCTTGTGTTTGCTAACATACTAGGGTGATGATAGTTAACAACAATTTATTGTATATTTCAAAATAGCTAGAAGAGAATATTTGAAATGTTTCCAACACGAAGAAATGATGAATGTGGCTAGGTGTGGTGGCTCACACCTGTAATCCCATCACTTTGGGAGGCCGAGGCAGGAGGATCACGTGGTCAGGGATTTGAGACCAGCCTGGCCAACATAGTGAAACCCCGTCTCTATTAAAAATACAAAAATTAGCCGGGTATGGTGGCACACACCTATAGTCCCAGCTGCTTAGGAGGCTGAGGCAGGAGAATCGCTTAAACCCAGGAGGCGGAGGTTGCAGTGAGCCCAGACCACGCCATTGCACTCCAGCCTGGGTGACAGAGTGAGACTCCATCTCAAAACAAACAAACAAACAAACAAATGTTGACTATTTGAGGTCATGGATATCCTAAATACCCTGATTTGATCACTACACATTGTATACATGTATCAAAATATCACATGTTCTCCATAAATATGTATAATTATTATGTATCAATAAAAATTTAAATACATAAATAGAAATAGCAAACTAATATAACAAAAGTAAATTTAGGTTTGTTAATATTTTAATATGGACCATAGTCTATCAACAATATGTTATGTATTCTTTTCTCTTTATAAATTCTTTATAGAACATCCTGCAAATCCAGACCATACACAATAAGTATTTGAGTGACTCGAATCCACTAAAAGTTGGGTATATTAGAATCTGGGGTGTGAATACCTATGTGACACAAGTCAGTTTCACCTATGACAACCGGCAATTTATGGAGACAAATTTCAAGAGTGAACCTTATAATCAGGTAGGTCTGAAAGGAATATTAGCATATCACAAGTAAATTTTATCATTCTGCAAAATTATCACCAATAATTTTGCTAACAATTAAAATTATCATTGTTAAATTTTCATGTATTAGATGGTTATAAATACGTGCAATAGATATGTTCCTGAAAAGTTGCAAATGTTGAATCATATTGTAAAATATGCAACATTAATGGTCTTTCCAGTATGGCCTAGGGGTCAGTGATCACTGGCCTGATGAGATCCTCTCCATGTATTTACCAAAGAGACTGTGCTATGTTTTGATAGGTTAGTCTTCCACATTAGCAAAATAAAACTTATTTCTGCTGCAGAGGCTAAAACAAAGGAAAGGGTGATTCCCTAAAGCTGTTGAAGGTTGCCCCCATGCTTCCTGCAGTTATTCATGTCCCTGGTCAAATTGATGGATCTTATAGGTAGACGAAAATTGGCAGTAAACTGTGGTAATCTTCGAATGAATACATCCCACCTGTGGTATAGGATAAAAGGTTGATAAAACAGGGGGACATAAATAGCAGGCCCTACTAGAGGATTCTAGAATCAACTAAACCAGAATTTTGGAAGATGAAATACCAATAGTTACCAAAGGCAACCACAAAGAAAAAAGTATCTCACTTTTAGAACATAAGACAACATAAATACGGAACCAGCAACCCAAAAGGGATGGTTTAGAAAAGTGAAAATGGATAACCATAGTTCTTGTTTTCTAAAACGTGAAATGAGTGCCCTGATGGTATTTGGACTTTGGAAAATGGCCCCTCTGAGCACTCAAATAGATCTTCTCCCTCTAGGCTCTTCTGGGTATTTACCTTAAAGCATTTTACCTGGACTATTGAGTTCAAAACCACTCTTTGCAAGTAATTGCTTCTAGTTAAGATTGTGCAGAAAATCCTTGAATACCTTCTTTTTAAAAACTCTATGGCATATCTGATGCCTATTATGTGCCAGACACCATACTGTTTGAAATGAGGAAAACATGAAACTAACCTGCTGTCAAGAGGACTAAAACCCAATGGCAAAGCAAAGAGATTTTAATAAATGTTGGTTTTAATCACAGCTACAAATATTTGTAAACAATAAGGTTCTGACTAAATGAAGTGAAAAGAAAAGATTTCCAGCATAGGGATTATGCACACAGAGCATCTCTCTGTATTTATCTGACCAAAATCAACATGACCTAACCCAAAAAGGAATGTTTATATCCTATTACTGGAAAGGAATGAATCCATCATTTTTTGTTAAATTGTAATTTAAGAGGTGAGCTACATGTGAGGTTTAAGAAGTTCTAAAATACCCATTTATATCTCTTCTTTTCTGGCAGATACTAACTATTCAATTGACTGACAAGACTATCAACCTGGAAAAGTTAACTGAGGTTACTTGGATTGATGGTGGTCCTGTACTTCCTACTCCAACTAAGACAAGTACCATCCCAATGAGTTCTCATCCTTCTCCATCTACTACCAATGCCACCAGTTCTGAGACAATCACCAGTTCTGCCAGTGCAAATACTACCACTGGCACTACTGATACTGTTCCTATCACAACCACATCTTTCCCAAGTACTACTAGTGTTACAACTAATACTACTGTTCCTGATACAACTTCTCCTTTCCCTACAAGTACTACTAATGCTAGCACTAATGCTACTGTTCCTATCACAACCACACCTTTCCCAACAAGTACTATTGGTGTTACAACTAATGCTACTGTTCCCAATACAACTGCCCCTTTCCCAACAAATGCTAGTACTGCTAGCACTAATGCTACTGTTCCTATCACAACCACATGTTTTGCAACAAGTACTATTGGTGTTACAACTAATGCTACTGTTCCCGATACAACTGCCCCTTTCCCAACAAATACTACTACTGCTAGCACTAATGCTACTATTCCTATCACAACCACACCTTTTGCAACAAGTACTATTAGTGTTACAACTAGTACTACTGTTCCTGATACAACTGCTCCTTTCCCTACAAGTACTACTAGTGCTAGCACTAATGCTACCCCTGTTCCTATCACAACCACACTTTTTGCAACAAGTACTATTGGTGTTACAACTGGTACTACTGTTCCTGATACAACTGCTCCTTTCCCTACAAGTACTACTAGTACTAGCACTAGTGCTACTGTTCCTATTACAACCACACCTTCCCCTACAAATACTGCTGATGCTAACACTAGTAATACTGTTCCTAATACCACTATGCCTTCTCCTACAAGTAGTACTACTGTGAGTACTATTGCTACCGTTCCCATTTCAGTGACTCCTTCTCTGACAAGTACTGCTGATGCCACCATTAGTACTACTGTACTTATTGCCACTACTTCTTCTCTAACAGGTACTACTGATGTTAGCACTAGTACTACTATTAATAATATAAGTACTCCTGTTCAAACAAATACTACTAATGCTAGCACTAGTA
This sequence comes from Homo sapiens, assembly GCF_000001405.40. NCBI lineage: Eukaryota > Metazoa > Chordata > Mammalia > Primates > Hominidae > Homo > Homo sapiens. The sequence goes on from NT_187562.1 coordinate 182,858, forward strand.
CTAATGTTGCTAATATAACTGCTACCTCTCATACAAGTACTGATGATACTGTTCCTAATAATACTGTTCCAGTTACAGCTATTCCTTCTCTTGCAAATACTGGTGTTGACACTACTAGCAACAGTTTTTCCATTATGACCACTTCTTTCTCTGAAAGTACTAATGCTATGAACACTACTGTTATTATGGCAACTACTTCTCCTACAAGTACTGATGTTGCTAGCACAAATAATGATGCTTCTATGACAAATTTTCTTTTAGCTACAATGTCTGCTGGTAATATAACTAGTAATAGTATTTCCATAACAACTACTTCTTTTGGTAATAGTGTTCCTTTTGTGACTACTCCTTCTCCAAGTACTGATGCTACTACTACAAGTAATAATACTAATCCTGGCATGACTACTTATTACCAGACTTCTCCTACCATTCCTACCCATACTCTTACTTCTATTCCTAGCTCTATTACTTCTATTTTGAGCATGTTTCCAACAAGTAATACATTCACTACTGATAAAATTACTAATTTTACTACCCCTACAAATGCAAACACCATTATTTTCAACACTCTTGATACAAAAAGTACCATGGTAATAGATGCTACGGTCACTACTACCAGCACCAAAGATAATACCATGAGTCCAGATACAACAGTTACTTCCATAGACAAATTCACCACACACATCACACAGTTCGCTACTCCCCATTCTGCTACTACTACAACACTGGCCTTAAGCCACACCTCATTAGCTCCTACAAATCTTTCTAATCTAGGCACCATGGATATTACTGATGCAGATAACTCCAGCAGTGTTACAGGTAACACGACACACATTTCTGTTTCAAATCTCACAACAGCCTCAGTCACAATAACAGCCACTGGTCTAGATTCACAAACTCCCCATATGGTAATAAATTCTGTGGCTACTTATTTACCTATTACTGCAACTAGTGCTACCACAGATACTACAAATATTACAAAATATGCTTTAAATACTACCACTCCTGATAGTACAGTACATACCTCTGCTACTGCACCTACTTATATTGCAAATGCCATAAATGCTACTCAAGTTCCATGATTACTACTCAAGGCAGGATAGTTACCTCAGATAACGCCTACAAACAACTATTACAGATATAGAAAATCAGTTACGAGACACTCTATCTATCTTATGCTACTTAAGTTTTCACGGATATTAGTACTCTAGCCATAAAAGACACAGCTACTCCAAACACTCTCGTCATTGCAGACATGTTTAGGAAGGTTTACAAACCTTATAGGTTTCACCAAAGAAGCTGTGGGTACTTATTTTGCAACCATAGTATGTGCTCTTATTCTTTTAAATTATAGTTATTACTCCTATAACCTCATCAGTTAAACTACAGATGTTTTATATATCCTATATATCCTTGCTACAGATTTCACAGGTAATTTTGGTATCTCAGATAACACCACATTAGGCTCTGTAAATACTATTGCCTTAGATTTAGTTACTGAAATAGCCCAACTTGTTTCTTGGGTCACATGACGTACCATAACTGAGAGTACTGGTGATACCCCCAGCACTCAAATGGTTTCTATACCAACAGTTATTGATATTACAGGAGAGTATGTAATTAGTAATGCTAAAAAAATGCACTTTATTATCCTATGGACTTTTCCAAATGCCATAGCTACCAATAGAGTCATTTGCATTACACATACTAATAGTATTATTTCTTCTGAGGAGATCCTAGCTGTAGCTACAGATATAGAAAATTCTACCATTGAAGATCTTGTATAACCTTACTTCAGCCACTGAAATAATTTAAATTATAAATATTACATGTGGGTTTGACTATCACAGAAAATAAAATGATTATAGATCCTAAAAACATAAATTCCTGAACTTTGCAACCATTAATTCATAGGTACTACTAATACTCTTACTACAGATTTTATAAGTACTTCCACTTATAGACAGAAGAGCATTCTCAGAAAATTAGAATTAATCTAAATTATGAGATAGTCTTAAAGCCTCACTGTTACCACCAATGACTGGCTCTGACTCTAGTATAAATCAGAAATTATCCAGACAGAGGTGAGAATGTAAATATACAGCATGAGGAAGACAGCCTCCACATTGGAATCAGAGTTCATAATCTTATTTGCATTTTCTTCTATTAATACAAGCTTTTCCCTTATAATTTCACTGTTCAGACTCCCCTTCATTGTGTTAGGGTTTTCAGTCTATTCCTGGTTTTTCATATCCAAATTCATCATCCATCCTTGATCCATTGTTTTCTTAGATCACTCAAACCCCCATGAGTAGACCCATGGTCATTACCAAATCTGGTCATTTGGGTACTATTGTAGGTTTAACCCTAGGGCAATATTCTCGAAGTTTAGTTCAGGGATCCATGGGGTTCCCCAAGACTTTCTGGAGCACACAGCTTCTTCAAATCTACTTTCATAATGATGCTAAGTTATTTGTTTTTTCAGTCTCATTGTCTCATTAGTATACAGTGGCACTGTCCAGATGCTCTATGCTGTATTGTGTCATAAAAGATGAATATAGAAAAAGAAAAAAGAATCTAGCTGTATTCTATTAAGCTAGACATTAAACAGATTTACAAAATGTAAAATAATGTCATTCTTCTAATTTTTTTTTGCTTTGGGAAATACAGTTATTTTTCATTAAAAACATATTTATGTTATCACAAAGTGAATATGTTATTTTTTATGAATGAAAAATAAATATTTAAAAAATATTTTACAAATGACTCAATTTTGATTTCTAATGCAGTAAATATTAGCAGATATAACCCACATAAATAAAGCACAGTGCCCTCACCAATTTTGAATGTAAAGGGGTTCTGAGACTAAAGAGTTTGAGAACAACTTCCTTTAAGTGGGCAGAAACATCGTATTTCCACTCTCATGTCCTGGTCAAGTATATTATCAACTTCCCCAGCATGTAGGTACTCCAGCATCTGTGGCTTACTCAACATGAATATCTTTCCACTGTCTACAAACACATCTACCCAGCTTTTTGATCTGTCAGCCCAGCTGTACTATTGTCCAGACAATTTGATGGTACTCCAGATGAGGGGCACAGATTCATCAGTCAGCAACATTTGCTTTTGGAATCTGCCCACAAGCTACAGTCCTCTGAACAAAGTTGATAGACCTTATTCTTGTGTATACATGACTCTTGACCTTCCAACTCAAAACAAAACTCAAAATTCTATGGGCTTGGTCAGACTCCCTCGCTTGTATCTTTACTGAGGGAGACTTAGTGCATTTGTCTTCTTGGCATCACAAACTCTGATACAGGACAAAGTGCTCTGTGTGATAGGGCACCATGAGATTCTGCTGCCAGGCCACCATACATTGCTCATTCACTGACCAACAACTTCATTAAAGCAGCTGGGATTTGGAAAACTGAAGATGAATCTGCTTGAACAAGCATAGTTCTGAAGCCACCAAAGTCCAACCTCTTAAGTACGTAAATGGAACATAATTGAAAGCATGGAATTTTGAAAAGGTAAGAAATACTTTGAATATACAAAAGTCTTGACTTTGGTCAGATGTTTGAAAAGACTTGAGAATTGAAACTCAGGAGTCAATGCACAAGTAGTGGTCCTGGAACCAGGTTCAGAAAACATGAGGGCAATGTTGACATGCTAATTCTACCATTGACAACACTAGCAAAACCTGTGCATGGACTCTGATTTATAAGGTCTAGAGAAACTTCTAAGCTCCATAATGACTGGCCCCGCTGGGTCACCCACATGTGTGATATTAATTCTGCACTAATGATTATAACTTATGTTCTAAGTATAAAGAAATTTACTTTTCTACACTTCTGGTACTTGACACATTCCTACCTTTACCATTACTGTGGACATCATTATTTTTACACCTAAAATTTCTAGTTATTAATTTAAACTTCAGTTTCTAGTATTCCAAGCATCGCTATGTAAACACTATTCATGTTGACTATTTAAGAGATGTCACACATACTGCATGATTAATTTTCCAGTGAGGAATATAGATGACAGATGTTTTGGATTAACAGGAAACTCACTGGGAGTCTAAAGGTATTTAGGAATACTTCAAGGAGTAAGGGAAGCTGGGAGGTACCCTGTAGCACAAAAAAGAGTCAAGAAAAGCCTTTCAGGTGGGGAATGCACTGGACAAAGAGACTGACTTTACATGGTGTGATTAGGAGATATAAAATAGTCCACTCTTTTCTACAGCAGGAGCATTGTGAGAAGAGACAAGATTTAAAGTTTATCAAGTTCCATCACCAAACTTCCGTGTATATGAGATTAGACATTCAAATGAGGGTTGAAAGAGCATTCATACCAGTAAAGGAACTTACAGGGCTAGAGAATGCTTTGGTTTCCACATCCCTTTCCCCATGGGAGAGTGGAGTGGTGCTCTGTGTGAAGGGCACTGCAGAAGAAGTGCTCGATGGAGATTAAGAGTGCCTGTGAGGAGCTGGGACTGGCATCTCACTCCCAGCTGGGCACTCGCTGAACTGAGAAACTCTTGCCTCTCTTCCCCATCAGATGATACAGTGGAGCATGGAGCATGGGCAAGGTTTCAGAAACCTCATCATGCATCTCCCAGAGTGTGGAAGCCAATGAAATCACAAAGAATGGCGCTAGAGTCTTGCCCAGAGAATTCCAAAAGTGGCAGAGATTGGAGACCCTGCAGTAGTGGATGCAGAGCCAGGGAAGTAGTGGTGCATCCTGGACTCAACAGTGTTCAATGGACAAGGAAGCTGAAGCTCCTCAGGTGGGTGTGGGGAGATGGCTGGGCTAGGGCTGTCATGAAGCAATCTGTCCAGTGGAGAAGGGACTCTAGTGATGAGAGGTCGTGGATGGACTTCCAAGAGTGGAAACTAAGTTTGTAGTGGGGAGAGGTCAAAATAGGTCATGCAGATTGCATCTCACCTCATGTTAGATGCTGCACAAGGGGCCTCTGAAAAACTCACTAATGTGCCCATGGGAAGAAATCAGCACTGGGGTCCTCTCACACTGAGGGTACCTGCGGATGCCTTGCCATAGCATCCATCACATGGGAACCTTTGTCTTTTCCTTTAATTTCCATCTGGCTGTGAAGGATACCCAGAAACAGTCAAGGAAGAGGAGAAGGAGAATATGGAAGTGTAAAAGCATAGACCGTAATCCCCTTCCTCACTGCTGGAGGTGGTCTCTGCGGAAGGAGAAAACTTGACATGGATGTGAAAATGACATACCGATTTAGATGATACAAATTCTTGAAAACTTCCAAATGACCAGAAAGTGATGAGGTCTGTTGACGGGATAAGAAAAGAATTTCAACTCAGCATTGAGGAAGAGGGGCTAAGATTAAGAAAAAATGAAAAGCTTGAGAATGCTGAAAAGACACACACTGCCTCATTTCACATTGCTCTTACCTGTTAGAATGATGGGTGAACATTCATCCTTAACTTTGTAATGCTTTATAAATCTCTTATTCCAAGGAAAAGTGGAGAATGGCTTGGAGTACAAAAGTTAGATCTGGGCCCCAAAGGACGTTTGAGGTTTTCTCACCTTAGCCAATCTCTGGTGGCTTCAGAGAAGGTGGCTTTGGAAATTTTTTACTATGTAATTGAGAAAAGTTTGGCTCAAGAGAAGAAGTAAAGGGGTCTGTACAACCTATGGGTCTTGTTACTTAAAAACAACTTCTTATATTTGCACAATAATCCATAGTTTGCAAAGGGCCTCACATAAATGTTTTATTTTGTTCCACTCCTGCTGTGAGGCAGAGAGGGAAGAAATCTTTACACTTTTTTTCTCAGAGGCAGAAAGGAAGACTTAGAAAGGTTAAATGACTTCTTCAAGAACACAGAGTCTTAAAACATAGTAGAGCTTGGCCTTCTGATTCACTTCCTATTACCCGTCTGCTTCAGGGTCCCATCTCCTGAGGAAAGTCCATCTTTGCCATGATGTGATGAACTAAAATAAAATAAACAAAAACCCACTTCTAGAACCAAATAAGTCTTGTAAAAGAGTCCTGATATTATTCCTATCTATTTACGTGACCTGGATCAACTTGCTTGAATTATCTGAGCCTTATTTAATTCCTTCATTGGTAAAATGGAAGGATTGAGAGAGTGCCTAGGAAAATATCTAGTGTAGCAAGAACCCATAATTTGGTATTCTTTTTGGCATATCAAAACATCTTGTAACCTTGAATATATACAATTTTCATTTGTCAATTATACCTCAATAAAGCTGGAAGAAAAAAAAAGAGCTGACTACTCTATTCCTTACTGCTAATACACCAAGATGATACGTCTGGCTTCCTAGGTCCTCTCTCCCAAATTCTTCCCTTTTTGATAATAATTTTAAAATGAACAATAAATAGATAAGTTGTGGTGAGGTTGCCAATGTGTTAGAAACATTGAGTGGAACTTACGAAAAGGAACCCCTTATGAAAGTTGTAAGATTCAAAATGGAGTCACTTGTGCCAAACCCTGGCAAAATAGAGTTGGGGAAGGTCCTGAAGAGAGGGCTCTCACACAATTTGTCTGATAACAGGAACTATCACAGGACATTTTTCCAAACTGCAGCTTTTTACATGAGTCACGCCAAGACAGCTAGCTGCCTACACAAGAATACTTGCCTGACACACTGTCTCACAAACCTAATCCCTGCAAGGGAGCTACAGTAACTTCCAGGTTACAAATCCCACCTAGCAACTATAGACTGTTGCCAATCACAACTCGCCAGCTCTTGTAAGACACTGCTAGTGCCAATGAACTTTCTTTCAAAACGACTTGCATAACCTTCTCTTTCCCCAATAAAACTCTAATGTTTTTCTTTGTTCTCTGGATATAGCAGAGGCCACCCTGTTGTGCCTGTATCCCAAATTGCAGTTCTGTTTTCACATTTTAATTCCAAATAAAAGTTCTGTGCTTTGGGAACATCTCTACATTTTTTCTTGGAAGTTGACACCCTTTAACTCTGCCTTTGCTTTCCTTCTTACCCTCTTTTGCTGGGTGGAAATGTGGAGTCAGACAGTAGCAATAGTGAGTTGGCTCTAGATGCCCACAACACCTTGGAGGGGGAGCTGGAGAGCAGCTCTGCATGCAGAAAGTAGGTGTGGGCGGAGTAGCTCTGTCATGTGCCTCCACACAGGAGTGAAGCTTGACATGGAACATGGTCACCATATGCCATTTGCGCCTCCCTCTAATTCAATGACTTCTCAAAAAAACCACCATTTTAATATATTTATTATTCATTTTTAAATTTCCTTTTACTTAAATTACTAATGCATTGGCAGTTTTTGTAGATGAAGATTCTTATTTATTGACTGTCTACAAAAATAAAATTGTAATCTTTCTTAATAAGAGGAAAACCCAAATTTTTGAGGGTGAGCTATGCAAAGAGCCTCTTCAGGGTGCATGTGTTTGGACATAGAGGTCGCAGTAGAGGGAGAATTGACAGACCTTGTGGTCCTAAATCTTCCCCTGGGAGGTTAATTGCTCCTTAGTGGTCACTTACTGATAAATGGCACCTCCATATGCTGACATCAGGCAGAAGTGGAGTGCTGATGCAGGACAGGCAAGCCCCCAAATTGGGGCTCAGCCAGACAGGGTTCTTGGCTTTCCCCAGGAAAGAATTCAAGGGCAAGTAGGTGGTGCTAAACAGAAACTTTTACTGAAGTGGCAGTGCATAGCAGCAGCAGAGGCAGTGCTTCCTGTGGAACAGGGCTATGCTGTAGGCAGTGCACCCAGAGTAGCAGCTCAGAGGCAGTTCTGCAGCCTCATTAATACCTACTTTTAATCACATGTAAATTAAGGAGCAGGTTATTCAGAAATTTCTAGAAAAGGGGTGGTAACTTCCAGGTCATTGTCATGGAAAGGGTTGTAACTTCTGGCTGTTACCATGGCAATGCCATGGCAATGGTAAACTGGGAAGAGGTCGACTGACATGGCATTGGTGGATGTGTCTCAGGGAGAGATGCTTTTGCCTCTTCACTATTTCAGCTAGTCTTCAAACTGGTCTGGAGTTCAAGCCTTACCTCAGTGCTGCTTCCAATACTCTGTCCAATACTGATTGTTATCTTTCTCTTATTTTAGAGTGCAGTTGAGATAAGGTGGAACCACTGAATGTTTTAGGAAAGCATACTAGACAGGAAACAAGAGTATAAGAATTATGATCATTTTCTCTGTAAGGTAAAATCCATCCTTTCTTCCTGAGTTCTCAGAGAAAGGATGTCTGAGCTATGTCTGCCTGTGAATTAGTCCATTTTTCTCTTTCTTAGGTCCTAACTTTCTTCTTCCTTTCCAGAGGGCAGTCCCAACAAGACGACAATTAGTTATTTGAATAAAAGGGCAGTTTCTTAAATCTACTAAAGATTTAATCTACTAAATTTAATCTACTGAAGACCCTGTGCTAAACATTTTAATTCTATAGGCATGTGAAATGACAGAAAAACAAAACTGTTGTTCAGAGAGTTAAGCAACTGGTCTGATACTGTTTATCAGGTTAAGTGTTGGAGAAACGATTACAATGAGATCTGCCTGCCTGTAAATAGCATTATAATTTCAAACTTCCCCTGAGGAAGAACCTTGGGGTTCCTAAAAGCTGCTTTAGGATGAGGGAAGGTCAAACTCTTCCTTCCCAGTTGTATCAGAATTGCTTTGTTTTTTGTGTTTTCTCTTCTGTATTTTTGCATAAGATTTTATTTGAAGAAAGGGCATCATTGCTTAAAAAAATTGAGGAAAACCAATTCTGAACAATGCCATACTTTCGATAATTTCTGCTGTATGAGTTAGACAGTATTTTGTGGGCTAGCTCAGGAACCTAACCAACATGCATTCTAAGTAGGAAGCATATTACCTATAAATCAGCTATCAGAACACAATCTCCATGTAATCTAAATACTTTATGTCAGGATACAAAGATGGCCAAATTGAAGAAATCCTTAAAGCAAATGTTGGGAGATGAGGAGAAGTGAATGAAAGTCTCTTCCTCATGATGGCGGGAGATACCTGGTTCTCAGGAGAGGGAAGACTACAGAGCTTGTCTGGGACTTAGGCTGCCTTGGCCTCTAGGACTTGCCCCATCTGTTGTGCAAAGGATAGACTGAAGAAACAGCTCTACTGTTTTTGAATAACCTCTTTACTACGACCTGTTACTCTCCTGTCATGGCAACCCAGAGAAGCATGGGATTTTTTTTTCCATTACATGATGTTTTCCATTTAATGGGATTATAATATGAACTATGCATTTAAAGGTAGTATTCTCCATTTTTTCCAAGTCTTTGTTTTTTTATTTTTATTCATTTATTTAAAAATACAATTTCAATTTCATTTTAGATTCAGGGTGTGCATGTGCAGGCTTGTTACCTTCGTATATCATGTGATGCTGAGGTTTGGTGTATGACTGATCCCACCACACAAGTAGTGAGCATAGTACCCAACAGTTTTCCAAATCTCATCCCCCTCCTTCCCTCCCCACTCTAGCAGTCCCCATTGTTTGTTGTTGCCATCTTTAGGCCCATGAATAGCTAATGTTTAGCTCCCACTTATAAGTGTGAACATGTGGCATTTGCTTTTCTGTTCCTGCATTAATTTGTTTAGAATTATTGCCACCAGCTTCATCCATGCTGCTGCAGAGGACATGATTACATCCTTTTTATGGCTTAGTATTCCACGGTGTATATGTACCAAATTTTCTTTATAACAAGGAATTTTTGAACTTGTCATTTGTGGTTGTGTAGGGAATTAATCACATTGTATGGGGAATGATGTCTTAGGCAAAAGTCAGCTTGATAGCTATCATTTACATTATTTTGTGGCATTGTACTAAATGTATTACATGTGTTATCTAAGTAAATATGCTGAATACAAGTCCAGGAATCTTTTCACTTGATTGGACTTGGCTTTTACGGAATTTTCCCAGACATAAGGGAAAACTTTGTGGCATAGCATTTAATAATTCTGGCTCTGCCATCAGATGACAAGGGTTCAAATCTCACCTCTGCTACTTAGGAACTTGCCATCTTGTGATAATTATTTAACTTATATAAGCTTCAATGTCCTCATTTATAAGATGGAAATAATGTAGTATTTCTTTATATTTCTAGTAGTACTTTTTGTTTTTTTTGATACAGAGTTTCGCTCTGTCACCCAGGCTAGAGTGCAGTGGCACCATCTCGGCTCACTGTAGCCTCTGTCTCCAAGGTTCAAGCGCTTCTCCTGCCTCAGCCTCCCGAGTAACTGGGATTACAGGCATGCGCCACACATCCAACTAATTTTTGTATTTTTAGTAGAGATGGGGTTTCACCAGGTTGGACAGGCTGGTCTCGAACTCCTGACCTCAGATGATCTGCCTGCCTCGGCCTCCCAAAGTGCTGGGATTACAGGCATGAGCCGCCGCGCCCGGCCAGCAGCTTGCTACTTCTGAGTCCTGAGTTCAGCTGGCTCAGACGCCAGATCCCAATACATATAGCAGACTCCATTGGACCTGCACTAAGAGCACCACCTGTAGGGGCTGTTGCTTCAGGTGGACACTTTTTTTCCTTTCTTGCCTCAGTTCCCACATCTGGAGGATGAGGCAAACATCTGAACTACAATAAAGTACATGGAAATGCATTTTCAGTCTGTAAAATGCTGCACAAAGGTTTACTATTATTTATTATTGTTATTCTATAATTCCCTGAGTGTTCTGATGTCTATTGCGGGTTGTTTTTTAAGTTTTGTTTTTGTTTTTGTTTTTTTTGTCTTCCTTTTTCTTCCCCTTGGATCTTCTGGAAGCAGAGAAGTTTCTCTTTAGTGCTGGTGAAACAGGAGAGTTCCCTGATTCCCCCCTGCAGGACATGTGACAAGGGTGTGGCCTGCTTGGTCGCCCTGCAGCTCAGCCCCCTGTAGGGGGAGCATGCAGACAGGCAGGCGTGGAGGCCAGCATGAGCGCTTCTGGGCTCCGGCCCCAGGGCAGTGTCTAGGGACCGGTGTCTGAGACTCCCGAAGCCCAAGTGGACGTGTCTTACTAAGCTCTTTTAGATATTCTGTCTGCAGATGGCTTGTGTGTTAATCAGCTTAGTGGATCCTCTGCCTTATCCCAAGGGCAGTGGGCCAGAGTGACAACCTTCTGCATCCCAAGTCCTTGCCCAGTGTATTGGAAGAATCAGATCACATGTGGGCTCGAAGGATGAGTGCAAGATTTTATTGAGTGGTGGAGGTAAACGTTTTCTCTGTTTCAGTCAGTCAACAACCGCATGTAATTACTTAATTTTAATACAAAACTAGGATCAGAGGGTAGGAGCTGCGGTGTGAAGAGAACTAAGAGCCCCTTCAAATATATGGGAATCTAGGTTTTCTGGAGAGCTAGGTACTCTGCTAAAAAGAAATAAGGAAGAAATAAGAATAAGAGATGAGGAAGGGGGGCTGTGACCACAAGAGATAAATAAGATTATCTCTAGCCAATGACTCTCCCATAGTCAGAGGACGCCTAAAAGCAGAGTTGAATGTTGACTCTCAGTCTGCTGAATACAAATCCAGGGATCTTTTCACTTGATTGGACTTGATTTTTATGGAATTTTCCCAGGCATAAGGGAAAACTCTGTGGCATAGCATCTCATGAGATGAATGGGGAGCCAGAGAGGGGGGATGGAGAGGGAAGGTGGTCTTCCCCTGAGTTGGGCCACCCATCGGTGGGAGAAAGACTCTCCTCCAACCGCCCCCAGCTGAACTCCCCTAGGGATCCAGACCTCCTTCTTCTCTCTTTCTCTGCCTCTTGTTCTGTCATTGCTGTTCTGCTGGTTCCAACATTCAGCAGCTTGCTTGCATGTGCCCACTAAGGTCTACGGTTTATATGGGGGCAGGATGGGGGGCATGGCGGGCCAAAAGGCAATTTTTAGGGTACAAAAACAGAATTGCCTGTCCTCACTTAGGGCCATGGGTCTTCAGACTTGAGGGTGGGGCCTTTTCCAGGGAACCACCCTCTTCTACCCAGAATTTCCCCCTCCTGTCTGTATCACTGGTGCTTTATAATAAGGCTGCTCTGAGTCCTTTTTTCAAATTGAAGTTTTGTGAGGGAAAGCTATCTCCAGAGGTGTCTCTAGTGTGTCTCAAACTGTGATTCTGGGTAAAATTGGCTCTTATTTGAGCTGGAAGAAAATGTTTCACTGCTAAATTAAATAATGCTCATCTTTCCTCACTTTATAAAATAGTTAATGGATACAGTTATCCCAATTTTATGTTATTTTTCAATGATTTTTTTTCTTAAACCTCTTATGTTTGCTGCTATTTATTTGTTGCCTTGTAGAAGCTCTAGCTAAGCACAAAATGTATGAACAAATAACAGGCGGGAAAGATTTTGAAACAGTCAGTAGGGTTTCTATTGACTGTATTGGTGTGGTTGACCATTACTTTATATGGCAAAACTCACATTTTATACAAGTAAAATTTTCTTTGGTTTGTGTGATTAAATTGAACATAGTGTTTCATCATGTTCTTTTTTTTTGAGACAGAGTCTCGCTCTGTTGCCCAGGCAGGAGTGCAGTGGTGCAATCTCAGCTCACTGAAACCTCTGCCTCCCGGGTTCAAGCAATTCTCCTGCCTCGGCCTCCTGAGTAGCTAGGATTACAGGCATGGCTAATTTTTGTGTTTTTACTAGAGACGGGGTTTCACCATGTTGGTCAGGCTGGTCTCGAACTCCTGACCTTGCAATCCACCTGCCTTGGCCTCCCAGAGTGCTGGGATTACAGGCGAGTAATCCTGTATGATTATACCGCCACCATTCCCGGCCATCATATTCTTCTAAGAACACTGTTATTTGATGGTGATCCACAGAATAAATGTGAACATTATTGCTGAGAGAGACTTTGGCTTGTCTCCTGCTCTGGCAGTGAGATGTTGAGTTTTACAGTGTTTTTCCAAAGCAGACTTGTGTCCAGCCTCAGCTGAGGTGTACACAGGATGCTAATTGTCCCTCAACTTGTCTGCACATCGTTCTACTTATACTCACTTATGTTTTGTCAAAATATGATATTAATATTAAAATATTTGTTGAAATAAGTTACAAACATTTTATAATCTATACAAATAATTCACATTTGAAGTAGAATATTATTAAGATATAACATCTTGGTATTTTTCAATGTATTCTATTTAACATTCAATTTTTAATATTCAAATTATTATCATTCACTACTCAATCTAACCCCGTTTATAAAGTTGTATAATTTTACAACTGCAGGGAATATTATGGATGACTTTATACAACTACTTAATTTTACTGCTGTGGAAAGTGAGGTTCATAGTGATTAAATGATTAAGCAATTTGCAAAAGTATTATGGCTTTGTAGTTTATTGATCTTTCCACCACATGGTCCCCAGCTCTGTTTAAAAATATTTCTGAGAACTTAAAGAAGTCAGCTCCTCCTCTGCACCAGGCACTGACCTGTTGCCAAGAGACTCTTGTCCAAGCCAAGTAGTGGTGGCCAAGAGAGTCTTGTCCTTGGAGAATATACATTCTATTAGGGTAGGCTATCAATAAATAGGTGAACAATTGCATAATGATGAGATTTCAGGACTCTGCTGCCAGTGTGAATGTGTGCATGGACACTGGCTACCCACACCTCCCCTTCACTTTGCCATGGCCACCAGTGTGATCATGCACACAGAGGGCAGCAGGCCCTGCCACAGGTGCAAATGCAAGCACAGACCTCGGCAACCCTGTCCCCACCTATGACTCACTGCTGGCATGAGCATGTGCAGGAATGTCACAGCCCCGCTTCTGCCAGTATCCCCCTGCCCCAGCCAACATGCATGCATCCTGCTGTGCTGTGCCACGGCTGCCAGCACAACCCGTCGGAGTGTTGTGGCCAGTGGACCAGGAATACCTCGGCCCCCTCAGCACAGTAGGTTCCTAGCCTTGAGGGGCCAGAGAAGAAAGCTGGGGTCCTGGAACCAGCTCCCCAGGGTTAGAGCACACAGCTCAGGAGTGCTAAGCTGAGTCTTGGGACCCAAAAATCTTCCAGAAACAACCCCAGGGAACTGAACCCACCTTATACCACAGTCAAACCCCCAAGGGCATCAAAGAAAATAAAAGCAAGTAAACAAACAAAAAATCATCCAAAGTATAGTGCCTTCAAAGATTGAAGAAACATCAGCCCACACAGTGAGAAAGAACCAGTGCAAGACGTCTGGCAACTCAAAAAGCCAGAGTGTCTTCTTACCTGCAAATAACTGCACTAGTTCCTCAGTAATGGTTTTTCGCTAGGCTGAAATGGCTGAAATGTCAGAAATAGAATTCAGAATATGATTAGGAATGAAGAACATCAATATCCAGGAGGAAGTTGAAACCCAATCCAAGGAATCTAAGGTATCCAATAAAACAATATAGGAGATAAAAGACAAAATGGCCATGTAAAGAAATAACCAAACTGATCTGATAGAGCTGAAAAACTCGCTTTGAGAATTGCAGAATACCATCACAAGTACTAACAGCAGAACTGACCAAGCTGAGGAAAGAGTCTCAGAGCTTGAAGAATGGATCTCCAAAATAGTCAGAAAAAAAGGAAAAACAATAAAGAAGAGTGAACAAATCCTCCAAGAATTATGGGATTATATAAAATATGAAATCTATGACTCACTGGTGTCCCTGGAAGAGAAGGAGAAAAAGCAAGCAACTTGGAAAGCATATTGAGAATATTGTCCATGAAAATTTCCCCAACCTCACTAGACAGGCCAACATTCAAATTCAGGAAATGCGGAGAACCTCTGTGAGATATTACACAAGACAACAATTCCCAAGACACATAATCATCAGATTCTCCAACGTCGAAATGGAAGAAAAAATGTTAAAGGCAGCTACAGAGAAGTGACAGGTAATCTACCAAGGGAAACCCATCATGCTAAGAGCAGACATTTCAGCAGAAACTCTACAAACCAGAAGATACTGGGGGCCTATAGTCAAGAACTCTTAAAGAAAAGAAATTCCAACCAAGGATTTCATATCCAGCAAAACTAAGCTTTGTATGCAAGGGAGAAATAAGTTCCTTTTCAGACAAGCAAATGCTAAGGAAATTACTTACCACCAGACTGCCTTACAAGAGGTCCTTAGGGAAGCGCCAAATACAGAAAGGAAAGACCATTACTGGCCAAGAAGAAGACTTAACTATCTAAAGTATATATACACTCAACATTGAAGCACCCAGATTCATAAAACAACTACTTGCTTAATGATTTATTCTTTCTATGAAGCACATGATGATGCCATCAGCTGTGAATCAGAGATGTAGGGAGGTGGTTGTTGGAAGCTTGAGAAAGAAGGTGAAACAGCCATCCTGGAAAGCAGAAACATTAAAAGACAAGGGACCTACTTACACAAGGATCAAAAGCTGTGTTGTAAGACAGTTTGTCACAAACGCACGAGTGCTGTTTCTTCTGCAACAGTCAGCTACATGGGTACAACTGAAGGAAAAAAAGGTAGGTAGAAAATTTGGCCAGAATTGAGATATTACTATGCAAATATGACAGAAAGAGAGAGGGAGTTAATAAAGGTAAGAGTGTTTGTAAGGAAGCAGTTATAGTTCTGGCCCATGGAATCTGGCCTGGGAAAGAAGGGAAGTTAGTACAATAAAAGACTGAGTTCAAGAAACTGAGAGGCTGGTATGCTGGACAGAACCACTCTGTGAATATCGATATTTCCAAAAAGACACAGGAGGAGTGGTGGAAGAAGAGACAGTTGATTGTAGTCATCAAGGGATGAATGGTGTGACTTGCAGAGGACATTGGATGACAGCAGCAAGCAGCTGTGTTCTTAGTACAAGCTTTTCAAAGGAGCTCGGGTTTGAGAGAAGGAGAGAAATTGGAGAGGGGAGCAGGGAGGATGTCAATCTACCTCCACTTCTTACAAAGAGATGGTAGAAACTTTCAGAGAGTTTGTTGCTTTCTAAAGGTCTTTTATTGTGGAGGGGTTTGAGAGAAGGTGTGGGATGGGGTTAGACTGGGGCTGTGCAGAGCAGTGTGAGGATGAGGGCCTTATGATGGTGAGTTACCCCAGAGGATTATATTGTGGATGGTGATTTAGTATATGGGGTAGTGAGCAAGATAGGAATGGTACTCTGGTTGGAGAGTAAGCAGTGATTTCCCATGGCTTGAGGGTTTTCTAGATCACATTAGGCAGAGGAAAACCTCAGAAAAGGTGATTTCAATCCAGTTGAGGGTTGATTTATTTGAGGAAAAGATGCTTAAAGATCTCCAGGGGATTACTTTCACCCAATACTAGATGTTTTACCATGTGATCATTACAAGAGTAATACAAGCTATTCTAATTTCAGATTAGACTAGACATTATATTTTTCTTTCTGGCAGATTATAATTTATGATTACAACAATTCCTGTGACCTGTATGAAGACACATATTTCTAATTTCAGCTTGAGAGAAATTTAGTCTTTTATTGGATGATTTAAGTAGATGATTAGTCAGAGGGAAAATTGGTAATATAGAGGACAGAGTGTATTATAAGATGCAACAGAAACTTTTCTCCAATATATGCCCAGATAAAAGTACACCAGAGTAGGAACAGAGTTTAGGGCATATGTGGTTTAAAATTTCCACCCATAAAAGAGTTTCGTCCACACCACATCTTTCCAATCTCATCAGCATGTGATTTATACATCCTCAAAAGGTTGCCCATTAAATTTTTGCTCATTACTTATTTTAAAAACGTTTTTGTCGGTACTGAGATAAATTCTGGCTTCCCAGAGGTCTACCTATAAGCTTTAATTTTTCATGTTAAACCATCTCTCTGATACTGTTTCGCTTTTTAGATAATGGCTACTATTTTCTTACCAGTCATCCAGATTAAAACTCCTTATTCCTCTAAAACATCTGTCTCATGACATGTAGCTAAAAAAGAATATATATAATATATATATTTATTTGAATTCTACCATCTTGTGGTTATTTAAGTAGTTGTCTATAAAATCCTATATATGTATTTTGCAGCCTTAAGCCATGCATGTTATTACTCGTTATGCCAGACAGCTTGACAGCTGAAATTAGTCCAAGGGTCCAGGGCTCTACTATAGCTTGGAGATGGAAAGTTCTCTGCTCAGAGTGAAAATTGGTCAAGAATGCTTGCTTGGGAAAACGTGCAGGTGTTGTTTAGAAACAACATTTTTCTAATTTTTTTTCCAGGTTACTCTTTCTCTCCCTTGTTTCCATTTTTTCTGATTTCCACATTTTTAATACTGTTTTTATATAGATCCTGTGCTGGTTTCTTTGCTTTAATTAATATTTCATTTTCAAATAAGCTCAAACTTGGAGAAAAGTTGCAAGTATAGTAACAAATTCCAGTATTCTCTTTATCCATTTTTCCCAGTTATCTCCTGTAAATTACAAATTGTTCACTATATTTACTTTATCACTTTTCTCTTTTTCTCTCCTCCTTTCCCCCCTCTCTATCTCACAAACATTCGACAGTTTGTATACAATGTGTTTCGTTATCACAAAAATACTTTAGTATGTATTTCCTAAAAAGACAAGAACGTATTCTCACATAACTACAACATCATCATCCAAACCAGGAAATTAACATGCATACACTACCACCACACAATGCACAGACACCAGGCACATTTCACCAATTGCACCAATAATGTCCAATATAGGAAGCACAAACAACAGCAACACAAAAGAAATTAGTCTGCGAGCACAATTGCATGTCGCATTTAATTGTTTCATTGTTTTATTTTGCTTGTTTTTTACTCCCCTCTATTCTGGAACTATTCCTTGGTTTCTTTTTTTCTTTCATAATTTTGATATTTGAAGATTACTAGTCAGTTATTTGTAGAATATCCCTCATACTTGAGGGTTACCTAATATGTCCTCGTGATTGCACTGAGGTTATGCATTTTTGAGGGAAATAACACAGGCACGATGTTGAGCCCATCTCAGTGCTCCCTATCAGGAGCCACACAATGTCCATCTGTCCATTATCGCCGATGTTCTGTGGGGTTACTTGGTTGAGGTGGTGTCTTCCAGGTTTCTAAAGCTACTATTTTGTCTCAACATAAATAATAAATATACTGTGAGGAGATACTTTGAAGTTATGCAGCATCCCATTTGTTAGTTGTGGCATCCATTGATGATTCCTGCCTGAATCAGTTATTACTCTCAAATTTGCTAAACAGTGATTTTGTATCTCCTTATTCCTTTTGCCTTTGTTATTTTGCTTGGGAAGAACTTGTCTTTCTTTGCTATTTATTTATTGAGTGATGTTTGGTAATAGCCACTTCCTGAGGCCTCTAAACGTGCCACTTCTCTGAGATCCCACATATTCTCATGATCTAGCAACTAAAATTCTAACTACAGGAAATCAGGGGGCTTCCAGGATTTGTTTCCACTGATGTCCATTTTGACTGGTCAGTGCCTGTGCTGTGGCTTAAATGTGTGATGTTAGAATGTGATTCCTGTTCCATCCAGGAAGTAGACTGGTGAAGAACATTTGAACTTCTAATTCAGGGGTCCTCAGTCTTAATAGCATATTGGAAATGCCTGGAGAATTCAATAACCTACGAATGCCTGGGTGGTAGCTCATCATCAGGTGATACTAATATGCTGTCAAGATTGACAGCCACTGGGTTAGTGTAGTTGAGAGCTTTCCTGTTCATTGTCAGCTAACTAAGTAGTAGCAGGGACTTAGATACTGATGGAAACCCTAGCAAACAGGGAGAAGAAACTAAATTATTCGACTCATGAAGGTATGGAGAGGGAGGGAGGAAGAGAGAAAGAGGAGAAGGAGAAGGAGGAGGAGAAATAAGAGAAAAGGAAGAGAAAGAGAAGGAGAGAGAAATGGAGCCAAATGTAATCAATGGTTAGATTTGGGTAAAGAATATATAAGAATTACTGCCCTTCTTTATGAATTTGAAATTGTATCAAAATATTCTTAAGCCACTAAAGACCAAAGTCACAGTAAACATTAGCCCATGGGTCCTCTTGTCCTCATAGAACCACAGAGAAAAGTAAAAATAAGGAATACATCTTTTATTTATCCTCCACATTTAATATGAAGTTGTGAGTAGAGGAGGTGAAGAAGAAAAAGAGTTACATTCTCATAGTCACTAGGAGAGAATCTGACCTCAGAAACCCCTGAAGGATGAGAGATGACAGAGAGGCCCAAGTGACAGAGTGTTCTTAGAGGAAGTTGGGGTATCTTTCTTTTGCAGCATGTAACGCAGTCAGGAAACTTGCATCCAGAACATATGATCTGGAGAGGATCCTGAAGTCATCGAATTCAAGCTCCCACCGCCTGTAGGAATGTTTAAAGTACTTTCCCAGCGGTATTCATATGCACTGTCTGTCTAATATGTATGTAATATGAATGCATACCTTTTAACTATAGAAGTGCATTATTCTCTGCAGGTTGACAAAAATGTAGTCCATTTCTTGAGGCGACTGGAAGAGGAAACATTAGGTGGCATGGAGTAAGGCTCAGAAGGGGACAGTGTGACCTCAAGGAGAGAATGGCTGCTGAGGGGCTTGTTAGGCATGTAACTGCAGCTCTGTAAGGGAAGAGAAATGCATGTCTCATTTCCTATTTATTTCAGTGGCACCTGTTTTTGACCTGATGTCAAGCACATAGACGGTGCTCAATGAATATGTTACTGATAACTAAATGCTGAGACCAGCAATAGAGAGAAAAATAAAGGAGGTAGTGGGTAGGGCTTCCTTTCTTCCTCCCCCAGTCCTCCCCAAGGTCCCTTCCACACACACGAGGTCCTGTATTTCAGGATGACTCACTCTGATGCCTCCTCCCCTAGCTCGTGGGCCACGTAGATAATGTCAGGGTACCCCATGCAGCTGGAGATGTTATTTTGGGGATAGTAGAAGAGGAAGATGAGGCACATCTCATTAATGGTGCTGGGGCCTCCCTGGAGGAAACAGACAAAGATGGAGAGACAAAGATACAAAGGCATGCAGAGACAGGAGGACAAAGCAAACAGAAAATAGTTGAAGTGGTTATCTTACCAGTGATGCCATTCTCCTTTTCCCTTAAGGTAGAGCCAGCTCACTGCCCTATTTGCTGCTCTATTTTCATTGGTGGACAATTATTGATGTTATTCCAAAAAGCATTGCATATATCTGCCCTGTCCTCAGCTTCACTGCCACTATCCTGATTTGGGCTAGACTATCTGCCTCTCAACTATTGTCAGTCACTCATCTGTTCTAATTGCAATCTGACCTCTGTAGAGCTACCAGACAAGTTGTTTACAATTTGTCTTGCATCCTGCCATTTGCCTGTTCTGAAACCTCCAGTGGCTTCCAGTCACTGGAATAGTCAGTCATCACTAAACCAATTATTTGATTCTATCTAATAAATTCCAACCCATTCATTCATTCCATTTACTTACCTGGCAAATATTTATAGAGCTAGCCCTGCTGTCCTGGAGATATAGGTGGGTCAGGATCACCCCTGCTTCAAGGACTGTTTCCAACTTTATCTACCTCATCCTCATTCCATTCCTTTAGATATCTTTTGCCAACCAAACTTCTTCATGTGCACCCCACGCTCTCCTTATATATGGCTTTCTCAGTTTTTTCCTTCTCCAGAATTCCCCATCTCTATGTGTCTAAAGAAGGACTCATTCACCTACGTCACATGTTCAGTTCACTGTAGTAGGATCTCATGATTCTTTCCTGTGAATTTCCCTAGTGGGTTATTCCCGTTCTTCTTGTATGGTATATATCACTTACTAACTTGTGATATAATCATTTGTAGGGCGGTATTTTTTCCTCAGTTGCCTGCAACACCTTTTGAATCCCACAAGCACTGAACCACTCCTGATGCACAAAACGGGGGATTTTCTTGTGATCATAGAAACAATAGCCAACTTTAATTGAGAATCTACTACAAGTCAGGCAATGATCTAGGTGTTTTGCATGTGTTAACCAACTCCCACAACAATCTTGTGAGGTAGAAAGTAGTATTAATCTTATGTGAATTGGGAAACTGAGATACAAAAAAGTCAAATAACTTGTCTAAAGTTAGAAATGTACTAAATGATTGTGCTGATATTCAAACCCAGGCAATGAGGCCCCAGAATCTCTGCTCTTAGTCGCTATAGCATACTATATTTCCATGGTCTTGGTGGGTTATTGGCAGATAATGTGAGAAATCCCTGTTCCTATCTTAGATGCATGGGGTGTGAGAACATGAAAAGCCCCGTGTGGATGTGTGATGCCATTGGAGGAAGGAAGGGGCTTCAGTGAAATCACAGGGGTCACTGGGTAGCCAAAGCCATGAGTGGGCTCTCCACTGGGGCTATGGTCATGGTGACCATGGTGGGGTGAGAGGTCACTTACAAATGTCATGGAGTCACGGTCCAGTGTCTGGTAGTGACATTCTACCAGCAATTCATCTCCCTGTTCAGAGTGAAACATGAAGGCTGAGAGTAAGACACAGAGGGACTGGTACAGCTTGAGAACTTTCTTGGTTGTCAGTAATGAGGTATGATGCTGCTGCCCCCAACTCTGCCTGGCCTCCCTCAGACTCTCACCGGCTTGATCTCCACTCTAGAGGGCAAATCTCGAGTCTCCTGCAGGTTGAAGTCATAGGAATCGTCTTTACAGATTTTTCGAAGTTGTGTTCCATTCCTAGAGGAAGAGAAGTCGGGAATTCAGAAATAAAGAGAAGATGAAATACAGAGGGGTCTGCCAATAAAGATGTAGCATGCGGGTGGGGTCATTCTGTGAGTAGATTATCCATAAAAATAAACAAAAAACTTCATCTTCCACAGTCTTATTTCAGTTATTTCTACTCTAAAGATAGTTCTACCTCTTCCTTTTTCTCAACCGGACATAATCGTATGCTACAGAATAAATCACTATTCTTAAAATTCATTCCCACCTGCAGAAGGGAGAGCTTCAAGGTCTTCCCTCACCTGTATTGCACTGCTTGCAGAGCCCGTCCAGCCAAGTGGGTGTGTAGCAGGTAGCCATATACCTATATGTCAGGCATAGGAGCTCCATTCATCTGTAACAGGGAAGAGGTGCACCCGATTTGTTAAGGACTGTGTTCTTGACCTGCTGCTTGATTTCCCCCCCTTGGTATTTGACACTTTCCTCTGATGACTGATATTTACCACTGTAATTCTTATTGAACCTTTCTGACCCTTCTTCCTTCTGCACTTCCCTTGTTCTCAAAGCCCTGACTCCTTCCCTTCCTTGCAAAACTCATGTTAGTGAATCTCCTGAGCACCAGGCTGTAATTATTCTCCAAGTCTGGGGTTCAGGCTGTGTGGGCTTGTGGATCTGACCAGATCTGGGATGGGGGGTAAGGAGAGTGTGTTTCCTCCTCAGGAAGGGTGCGCCTCCCAGCTCCACCTCCTCAAACTTCTCCGTCCTACACAGCCCATAGGACATGAAGGACTCAGCGCCCGGGGGGATGAAGTGGATGGGAAACGTGAAGAAGCCCAGCTGGAGGACATCCGTGTCGTATTTGCGCAGCTGAGAAGTGTAGTACACGCAAATCCCCGAGGAATCATACACACCTGGTGCAGAGAGGAACAGTCAATCACAGGAGGCAGGAGAGTGGGTCACAATGTGGAGAGAAAGAGGCTCAGGAAAGCTGGGGTGGGGCTTTGACCACAGGGAGTCAGCACACATCCCACAATGCGTTCCCAATACCGAAAAAAACAGCCAGCCCCACCAGCTTCCCTTCCTTAAATCCTCTGGATGCTCACCAGGAAGGTTGTTAAAATTGCTGTAATGAATCTCCAGTCGGATCCACTGAAGGTCCAAGGGGGTCCCAATAGAGACGCCTACGTCATCTGGAAACTGGTAGCTCTGTTGGAAGGAGTTAGATTTGGCAGCAAGAAGGGCTGGGAACCAGCCATAGGGATTCAGGGCTCCTGGCCTTGTTTTCTAATTGTCATCCCAGACTTCCCCTATCCCCTGGTCTTCCACCAGCCCAGTGATCTCATTACCCAACCACATGCACCCGCTTAGCCATGTGTTTACCCCATCACGGGACTCACTGTGCCCCCGACAGCCCAGCCCACGATGACCTGTGAGCAAAGGGAGAAGGCAGGGTCGGCCCCATAGCAGTCGCTGATGCCTGTGGGGAGAACGCTAGCATTGCCGCAGGCGTACACCAGGATGTGATGCACCGTTGTCTCATTGTGGTAGACCAACTTAGGCTCAAACTGGGCAGAAAAGGAGAGCAGAGCATGATCAAGACCTTCTACATCAAATCCATATTATCTTCCTTCCTGTCAAAACTATACCCATTTCCCTCTTCTCTCTGTTTCTCTCTCTCCCTTTTTCTCTGTTTTTGTTCCCCAAGCTACCATTTTCCCACCCACTCAGTTTGACTCTCCTCTCAACTCCCCTCTCCTTTAAGCCCCTTCTGGAGAGCAGACATGAAATCTAGCCAGGGACATTCTGCCTTCCCTTAGTAACCTCCTCAGTTCACTGTATCTGAGCATGTAGCCATGCCTTTTCAAATTATCTGTCTAAAGAAAGAAAGTCTCCACATTTGCCACATATTGTGAGATCATACCTTTATTTATTTGATCAAAATTGAAATCACTCAAATATGAAATTGGGTTACCAAGTTTGAGTTCATTCTAGCTAGACTTCTCCAACCTCCTGACAGCCCCTGGCCATATCCTCTCCCTGCCTTTACCTCCTCTTGGGCTAAGAGAGCACAATTCTGGGGCCAGGTTGAGGCTCATACTTTGTTCTTTGCAAACAATTATTAATTCTTAACCTTCATCAACATGTCTGTTGCATTGTGGGGCTTAAATAAAATAGCGCTGGGAGTTACATTTCTGGGCTCAGGAAATGATGTAGCCGCGACCTCTACCAAGCCCTGCCTGTCCCCCTGTTCTTGCAACTACTTCCTTCTTGCTTCCTCCAAGAAATTTTCCAGACCTCATCCTCCAGGGTTGACCACACCCCCTGCTCTGCTCCAGCACCCTTCCCTGCCTTGACAATGTCCCCCATCTGGTCCACCATACCTTGTAAATGTGATGCTTCTCGCTCACAATAGGGAGAGGAAGAAAGGTGCAGGCATACGTGGTGTCATCCTCTGGAATGAGGAACTGTGGAAGGGTGCACAGAAGCTGAGCCAGATGACAGTGAGGCTCTGAAAAAGTAGGGCAAGGGCCAGGCCAGGGAAGGGGGTTCACATTAGGGTCAGATTGGCAGTCCTTAGGAGACAGAGAAGAGTCAGAGTAATCTCCACCCAAGGGATGTACTGAATACTGGGGGCAAGAGAAGGGATCTGGGTTGAGTGGGGTGAGGAGAAGGGAGCTGGAGGCTGCTGGGTGGGATGAAGGTGTCTTACATTAGTGATCTCCAAGTCATGGATGATGGTGTCCTCAGGGACATCCAGATCGTCAGGGTGGACGACTTGTAGCAGAAAGATGGACTTGACAAAAGTACGCTCCCGATACAGCTTCAGAGTGTCATCCAGGCCATAGGTGGCCAGCACCCTCACGGTGTTGCTCTGCGGGGTGCCATAAGCATTGAGGAGCTGCCACCCCTGAGCAGCACTCTGCATATCCCTGCACCCAAGGACCTACACAAGGCACTTGCTCATGTCTACATGGTGGAATGGAAGGAGCTTCACACTGGGAGTGAGAACTAGTTAAGTTCTATTTCTGCCTCCGAGGCTCACTTGCTGGTGATCTTGAGCAAGTCACACTCCCTCTCGCATGCCCTCTCTAAGCTTGTGTCCACATCTGTAAAATGAAAGGACTGAATTAAACTCTTATATCCTAACACTCTAAAGGTCAGCGAAACTGGGCAGAATTCTTCAAAAGGAAAACCCTGGGGCAGGTGGGCAGGAGGTGAATCAGTGGGAGGTCACCCTGCGGAAGGCTTGTGGATTTCAGCAGGTGGCACAATTGGAGCATTTCCTGGGAAGGCTGAGAGGAATAGAAGTCCTGGGAATGATGACTAGCTGCCTGACTGGGGGCAACTACCTCTCCAGAAGGAAAACCTGCTTGTGATTAAATGCTTTTCTCTGCTCTCTATTTTACCGTAATATCCAGGTCATGAGGGTCGCAGGAGCGGAAGGGCCTGGAAAAGTGCATGGTGGTGTAGACAGCATCTTCCGTCAGCCGCAGCAGCTCAGCATCCTGGCTCCCATCCTCCTTCAGAGTGTCTTCGTCCACCAAGTGCTGATCCTTGGGTCCAGTGAAGGTCAAGAAGTAAGAACTAGGAGCTTCAAATGTCATGCTTTGGAGCAGTAGCTGTTCCTTTAGCTCCCCTAGGATACTAGAGTAGCAGAGCCCAGGTGTTCTTTATTATGTAGTTTTTCTCCTTGGGCAAAGCATGGCATGAAGAACATGGCAGAGCACACTTTTATGGATAATGGAGTTTCACCACCTGTCCTTGCTTTACTTCTCCCATTTCAAATCTCATGTCCATAAAGTCTAATATTCCTGCATCCCTAATTCTTGAAGTCTCACATATTATCTGAAGTATGTATGACATTCATTCTCTCATGTGGCTCTTCATGTAACTATTTCTCAGACAGCTTTGAATTTTCCCTAGTGACCTGCATTTAGTGGGCTTTAGCAAGTAAGTGGTGCAAGACTATCTCACAATCTAATGGTTTCATTCTCTCAGCAGTCTTAGAGACTTGCAGTCTGGAAGACATAGATTTCAAACTCTACAATGGACCATTTCTGGAGGGACACACCAGCATTCAGCTGGCATTCTGGGAGTGTGTTTAGATATCCTCGGGGAATGTGAATCCTTTCTGGACAGAAACCATCCTCAACCCAACAAAGACCCTCATCCTTGGAAGCAAGTCACCCTCACACTTACCGAGAAATAGACATTGCCATTAGGCAAGACTCCTCCAACAACCAGATCACTTCCCACGTTGGTGTAGCGATTTGTGACACCGAAGCCCACCCAGCCAGCTGTACGGACCTGGAGCTCAAAACTGATGATTTCAGCCTCAAGGTCAAAGTCCCAACGCAGGAAAATGACATTAGAAGGATCTAGGAACCTGGAATAGCGCAGGCGAGATGTGGGGCCAAGGCGGTTGCTTTGTAAGGGGACTCCCAGGGCCAAAGGTGGAAAAAGCCTGAAGAGAAGGTCATGGGCCATGGCTCCTGGGACCTGGAGCATCTCCCTTGCAGATGAACATTCGAGAGCTTCAGAGTTTTATGTCCTACCTGGGCCAGGCACCATGCCATGGGGGAGGGCCAGGCTGGGGCACTTCTGATCTGATTATCCTCCGGGTTCAGAGCGATGCCCCTTACATAACTCTGGAGGTGAGAGGTGCCCAGAGAGGATACAGGGAAGGTTGCTTTCACTCTGAAGCAGGGGCCTGGCAGAAAATTCTTAGGATTGAATCATTTAGACTTTCCACCCTGACCCCATGCCAGCGTCCTGCCAGTGGGGACCCTGCAGAATCAAGAAAGTTTAGTTTCTTTTTCTCCCCCTCCCTTCCTGCCCACCTCTTCCATCTTCTATCCTGGATGTCTTTACAGGACATTCTGCCTCTGGACTATGCCCCCACCCCACTTTTTGTGGGCATTTCCCATTTTGTCTATGTATAGAACTTCGGTACTAGCAAGGATGTGGGACTGCTTGTAAACCTAGTCTTTCAATTTCCCAGTGCAGTGCAGGAAGGAGGGAAGTAGCTGGCAGGGACCGGAGGGAAGGCTGCAATTTCCATCTGCTAGAGGAGGCTTTGCTACTAATCCCTAGAAGGACACTGAGAGGAGGGATATCAGCTTCTCAGATGGTTGAGTCGGGCAGCTTTGGTTTTCTGCACACTCCTAGGGAGGAGCAGGAAGAGAGAGGAGGTGAGGGGAAGAAGATGAGAAATAAACATGAGTTTGCCTTTGGGATGCTTTGTGCTTTCCCTTCCGGCCATCAATTACCTTTCAGAGAAATTAATTTAATGGCTGCATGGCAGGCTGAGCTTGCCCGATTGAGCACATTAGTATTATGCAAACAATGGAAGCAACACAGAAGGAAGGTTAGAATATTAGAACACCAGAATAGAAAAGAACTTTAGAGCCACTTAGTTTTCCAAAAATTTCTATCTCCTTAATTTCTAGATGATGAAATGGGAGCTCCAAAGGGTAACAAGAGTGGTGCTTGATGCCCCGTTGAGTCAATGGTGGGTCATGGTCCCTGACCATAATTTCCTTAGGTCACAGACACCCTACAGGTACCAGACCCCTGCCATGCATTTCCACATGGCTTGTCCTGGTGGAAGAATTTAGTGACATTTGTTGGCTGCTTCTTAGGGAAGAAACCAAAGTCTGACTCTAACTCCACAGTATTTTCCCCCTGGTGACTGACACAGCTGACCTAGAGCTAGAAGTCACCTCATCTGACCCCTGGTTGCTGGCTCTCCACTTGACAATGGAGAGGACATGGACCCTGAGGGCCTCTCCCACACAGACTGGGCCTCACCTCTCCACAGAGGAATTCAGCTCAGGAGTAGATGTACAGATGCCGGCACGATCTGCTTACAGCTTCTCATTGCAGGCATAGTCTTTTTTTTTTTTTTTTTTTTGGCTACTGAGCTCATCAAAGCTGGTGAGGACCCAGCTAAGGTTGTTTGCTGCTGCTGTGAGCACTTGAGTAGTAATTGGGGTGTGGTGAGGGAGAAAACAAATGCCTCAAGGGGGCAGCCACAGCCCCTAACTCTAGGCCTGACAGAGAAGGCAGGGAGCTCGGCAGCCATCTGGAAGCAAGAGGCTTATCTTGGCCCAGGACCAGAGCTGAGCCAAGAGAAGAGGAGAGGTCGGAGCCTGGGAGGCACTGACCTTGAGGAGCAGTAACACCAGAGAGAGAGAGATAACAGGTGCGTGGAGACATTCTGATCCCAATCTCACTTAAGGATTAAGGGAGGGGGCAGTAGGGAGACAGGATAGCCAGTCTTGTAAATTGAGACGGGCCCAGGATCCCTTATCCTGCAATCTGTCCTGCTGGACAGAGCACTGTCCTCAGCACAGAGGCAAGGTCCTCAATAAAGAGCTGGGAGCAGTGACTGCAGACTCAGAGGGTCTCTTCTCCTGGATCCTTATCTGGCTTCCACCCCAGGAAGCCAGGCCATTGCTACACCTGTGTGAGGCTCTCTAGGGAGATGGGGCTGGGGCTGGCCCTGCTTCCCTTCTGCATTTATCAAGTGCCTGTGACAGGGAAGACACCACAAGAGGGTCACCGACCTGAGGGCAGTGCAGTCCCAGGTCTTGAAATAGTGAAGTTCAGTTTCTAAACCCCTCTGTGCCTCCTTCTTGCTCTCTGTAAAATGCTGCGGTTGGAGAGATGGTGGATACAGGGCCTTTTAAGTTGAATTTCCCAGATGATTGGTTTCCAAGCTTTCTGAAAAATGAGGCCCCTTATCAATGTTGAAAAATAGGTAAATCTCATTCTTTTTTATGACTGAACTTAAAGAATGTGATTGGATTGTTTGTAACCCAAAGTATAAAGGCTTTTTTTTTTTTTTCTGAGACAAGGTCTCACTCTGTCACCTAGGCTGGATTGCAGTGGCATAATCACAGCTCACTGCAGCCTTGACCTCCCAGGCTCAGGCGACCTTCCTGCCTCAGCCTCCTGAATAGCTGGGATTATAGGTGTGCATCACTATGCCTAGTTAATTTTTGTATTTTTTGTAGAGACGGGGCTTCATCATGTTGCCCAAATGCTTGATGTGCTTATTTCACATTCCATGCCTGTATCAAAACATCTCATGTACCCCATACATGTATATACCTACTATGTATGCATAAAAATTTTTTTAAATAATTTTTAAAATTAAAAAAATTCTGAGAATTTAAGCTTTTAATCTCAGTTGAGTACTAAGTGAATGGTAATTAAAGACTAAAATTACTACCAGTTGTCATATTTTAATTGAATTTAAAATTTACCATTGCAATCATAGAAGTCAACTCTTATTGAAAGCTTAGTCTGTGCCAAGCTCTATTCTAAAATGTATTGACCCTAAATACATTTAGATAATGTATACATTATCTAAAATGTAATAAAAAAATAATAATTTTTGTTATTATTTCCATCCTATGGATGAAGCTGCTGAAACCCAAGGTCCCACTACTGGGTGGTGGCAACACTATGAGCTGTTGGGAAAATATAACTAAATCTATTATTAAGTTTAAGTAAAATAATTGAATATTATATAATTATATGAATTAATCAAATATAATTAAATATATTTCATAAATAAATATTATTAGAAATAATTCAAGGAGAAAAAAAATCCCCCAACCCAGAAAACCTCTCTACAAAGGTAGATGAGAACAAAAGTACTTTTAAAATCTTTTTTTTTTTTTTTTTTGAGATGGAGTCTTACTTGTTGCCCAGGCTGGAGTGCAGTGGTGTGATCTCAACTCACTGCAACGTCCACCTCCCGGGTTCAAACGATTCTCCTCTCTCAGCCTCCCGAGTAGCTGGGATTACAATTGCCCACCATCACGCGTGGCTAATTTTTGTACTTTTAGTAGAGATGGGGTTTTACCATATTGATCAGGCTGTTCTCAAACTCCTTACCTTAGGTGATCCACTCACATCGGCCTCCCAAAGTGCTGGGATTACAGGCGTGAGCCACCGCACCTGGCCTCATTTTTTTTTTTTTTTTCTAACAAAGAGCATCCTGAAATATTGAGCTGCAAACATAGGTAAGAAAGCTGGAAACTTGCATGGGGAGATGCCTGCAGCTACACCAAAAGAAAAGGTGTACCTGGGGGCCAGGCATGTCCACCATAGAAGCTTCATCTTCCCTTTTTTGTTAGCACATGTACAGTAAGAAAGAAATGGGCAACATGGTGCAGCTCAGGCCAGAGGGAGTAGCTATTTGTCCTCACTCAAAATAACATATTCTGAATTTGGATTTTCTTTCCCCTGTCACCGTTACTGTCCTAGCATCACATTCCTTGGATTCTCTGAATGCCTTATTGCATTCCACACAAAAATGATGTATTCTCCAACCAAGGAGGTCACCTCACAGTGCTAGTGGAGTCTTATAGATAGTGCTAATGCTTATGGAATCCAGTGGCCTTGCCATGTTTCACCACCTAGGATCAGCTGGCCTTATACAATATCACTACGACCTATTGAAATCTTAGGACCAGCTCAAGTTGGGAGACATCTTTAGAGGCTAAGGTGCTCCTCTGAAAAATGGTCTCCAAACCATTTTCCTCTCCAAACTAAAATTTCAGTTAATAAAATATGTGCAAATGAAGCTGTCACAGTTGCACTTAATAATTCGCACTCCCAATTTAGCTTCTCAATACTGCAAGCTAGGCGTTACTGATTTAGGGGTTTTAGAGCCCTGGATAGATGAAGTTTTCCTACTAGAACTTCTGCTTCCTGAGGGGGTTCTCTTCTTCCCTAGCTGGGCTGAAAGACTCCAGTAGTCCACTTGTAGCAGCCACAGGCTGAACTCTCTAAAATCTGTTCTTGTTTTTGTTTTTTTAAATACTCAGTCAACTGGCCAAAAAAACACCTCTCCACTTAAAACTATCAATTAAAACTCTCAGGGGGTAACAGACTGCAGGGTGAAGTGAAGAGAGAAGGAAGGAAGAGAGGAAAATACTATAGAGTGAGAAAGTGGAGTTCCTGGGCAACTAGCTTTATATAAAAGGCAAGTATGTACTAGGAAAATCTGTCATTGATTTCCCGTTTATCTGCTGTGCCATAAACCTCAGTTAACTTTTATAGTAACTCCTCATGTCTCCAGTAAACACTCAGAATCCTGCAACATGAATGACCAGAATCCATCGATGGCATTGAGAGTTGCATGGGCAAGGAGAAGCTAAGTGTAACACCTCCCTCTCACCTTTGCCCTCCCCTCCCCTCTCACCTTTGCCCTTCTATATAGATCCCTCTTTATTAGACTTCCTTTTTTCAATCAGCATAGTAATGTGCCAAAATCACACATTGTCTAATTTGGTGCATGTAGTAAAGGGTTTTGTACCCCAAATGGCTGTGGAGTGGCCTTTATTTTATGTCAGTTACCAATTCGTTAGAGAGAACATAATTCCCACTTCATAAACTTCAATTATCTGAGGAATTTTGGGTTTTCCATCCTTATCTAGAAGGCAAGAAGGGTTGTTATGAATAATCACAGTGAAGATATGTACAAGTAAAACTGCTCAAGCACCCACTCTGTTTAGCAGAATTGAGACAGGTATGCATGGGGCAATGTGAGGAGTTAATTTATATTTAATTCTAAAGGTGAACGATGGGGACAAGCTGTGTCATATGGTCCACAACTGCCACAGCTCAGTTATTTTGGATTACATTTTCAATCCAGGGTATATAGTAAAAAATTTTGGCATAGATGCCAACATCGGCTCTCAAAACACATCCATCCGCAAAAGACAGGATTCCTTGAAGCATCCCATTGCAGATTGCCGGGGCAGCAGAAACTTCCTGCCAGGAAAACAATAATAACAACAACAAAAAAGCAGATTATCTTTCTGGCAAGACAGAAGGAAGAAAATGGGAAAATTAATGGATGAAGAGTATTTTACCTTGCAGGGCTGCCTCCTTCCTGGCACAATGCCCACACACAGCATATTTTCCGTGATGTTGTAGGTTTTATAGGCATCGCGACACTGAGGCTTGGAGATTACAGAGATGTTCACAGTTTGCAGTGAATCGGGCTCTTTGTCTAAAGAAAAGATAGAAGTCAAACTTCCTTAAGAGTTTTGTTAGGTATTAAAACTTCTTTTAAAAAACTTTTCTTCTTCTACCATCAGAAATTAAAAGAGATCAAACATTCAGAGAAGTCAGAACTGTGGCAGTTAGGACAACGAGGGTATAGGAGATGATCAGATTAACAATTTCTTATGATGCAAAATCGGTGACCTTATAAAAGTGATCAAATTCTTGGGAGTTACATGTACATGTGAGACACTCCAGGAATGAAATGAAACACTTTGTTTTAAACTTTTCTGGAAATTTGGCTGGGCACAGTGGCTCACGCCTGTAATCCCAGCACTTTGGTAGGCCAGGATGGGTGGATCACCTGAGGTCAGGAGTTCGAGACCAGCTTGGCCAACATGGTGAAACCCTGTCTCTACTAAAAATAGAAAAATTAGCTGGGCGTGGTGATGAGTGCCTGTAATGCCAGCTTCTTGGGAGGCAGGAGAATTGCTTGAACTCAAGAAGCGGAGGTTGCTATGAGCCGAGACTGCGCCACTGCACTCCAGCCTGGGTGACAAGAGTGAGACTCCATCTCAAAAAAACCCAAAAACTTTTCTGGAAATTTAAACATTCAAAGGGTTTCTTTTGAGATGTAATTTTTAGAGTTTGAATGAATTTACAGATATCTGGCCTACTTTCTCAATTGTCAGGTCAAAACAAAACCGAGTATCTGCACAAAAAAGTCACTGAAAAAGCAGTTTTCTTAAACATATAAAGCTAGTAAATGGTAAAGCTAAGATTTAAAACTGGATTTCCTGGTTCCTAATTAAAGTTCTTTTCTTTGTATCAATAGTCCACAAATACTGTGAATTGTGCACACTTGTAACAAAATTTGTCCAATCTGAAACAAAATGAGAAAAACAACAAAGTAGTATGAACACATGTGGCACGTGTTCTTTCCACGGACGTTTCTTTGGGAAGAAGTACTGTATTTTAAGATTTTGGTTTTTTTAATAATGGAAGAGTATGTTTAATGTTTTTATTTGAAAATAATGTATTACTTCTTGAAAAGAAAATGTATAAGATCCTTCACTTTATTTTCCAAGCAATAATTTCATGGCTAAACATTTCTTTTGGGAATACTTCTGTAGGAAATGCTTACTTAACTACTTGATGACCCAGATCAAAATAAGATGCATTTTTTTTGAAGTCATATCTCGTTTTGAACCTTATGCCATAACCCAGATGAATCAAACATACTGCTCACAGAAGGACATTTGGCTCTTTCCAAAAATCAAATTGACTCTCAGAGGACAAATAATTTCTACTTATTGATATATTCAAGAAAATGTGCTCTAAATCTGAAGGTATTTACTAAGGATTAGTTTTAAAAGGCTTGAATCATGGCAACAATGATAGAATAAGTGTACATCTGCCCGTTGGTTTCTATAAAAAGAAAGTAGTGATGGATAGATGAATGTAATCTGACAGGTTTGTTTCAAATAAATCTCCTTTTCATACTATGGTATCTAGTGTATGATGTATATTATATATACTCAAACTTACTCATGAGTAAAGTTGCATTAATAATTCTTCACAAGGGATTATATATCATTGTTCTATTTTGCTAATAGGTAATCAACTCCCTTTCACCACTACTCTCAACTCTCGTAATTAGCAACTATAGACAGTTAATTAGGGTTTGCATAGAAATTTGGAGATGGAGTAATGGGCAGATGGAGATGCAACTTAGAAAACAGAAAGTTGCCTTAAGTTGTGGGTGTTTTATGGAATATGAAACATGAGGCCTAGAACAAAGTTTAGATAGACTATCTAGTTCAGGAGTTTCAAATTATGTATAGAAAACTTCCATTGATAAAAATAATGGTAGCCCTTTGTCAATTTTCTGAAGAAATGAGTGAATGCTTAGAATGTTACCAGTTTAAAATGTTTATTTCAGAAGTTCTTTTTAAAACTTTAACTCTGTATCTTTATTAAAATCTTACATAAGGAAGTTCTATCGCATTTAGTAAAATATTATATATTTATCTTACATTTAATACACTGATATTTATTTCATGACTTTTCAAAGCTTCAAGTTGCTTTATTGCCTGAAATGGTTTGAAAATATACAACAGAGTAATCTGCTTTATTTTAGAGTTAAGGAAATTGAGGCTCCAAGGTAAAATGACCTGCTGTCACATAGAAAATTAGGATTGGAATACAAATGTTTTCTTTCCACTAAAACCACTTCTATCATATATGAAAGAGAAAATGATAGAAAGATACAGCGGGTGAATAAAAAAAACCCAAAAACCTTGAAGCACTCCTTCAGTGAGGTACAGAGAAAAGGAAAGGGGGGAAAGAGGTTAGAAGAAAGCTTCACTAGGCCGAATTGAAGAAGCCAAGAGTCGCGAAGGTGTAGAAGCATGTCTAATTCTGAGAGAAGAACATTGTCTTGAACTCACAGATATCACACACATTGTAGCTCCAGGTAGAGACAGAGCACATGGTATTTTCAGAGATAGTTTGGTAGGGCAGGTTGGCTAATTTCACATAGTCATTGAGTTCAGCCTCTGTTTTCAGCTTGATTAGCATGATGTCATGATCAATAGAAGTGACTGAGAAGTGTGGATGATGAATCATCTTCTCATAGCCAATCACTTGCAGATGCTTTTCATTAGAGTCTGCTGGGATTGTAACCCCCAATATCACCCGAAGCTTTCTGGAACAATATAGACGTTTATGAGAGGACTTAACAGAGATGGCTTCTCCATCATTATGAGCCTCTATTATCCCTCCCCACAGACCTTTTTCTGTACCCTCGTATGTCTCCCAAAGGCCTTTCTAATCCCATTTAATTGGGAGATGGTCTCAGACAGGGGTGAGAGTCTGTGCCCAACCTGAGAACCCAAAGAATGGAGTGCCTTTGAAGGCTTATCACTCACGGTAAATTGCAGTGTGCAGCTGTGATCACCCAAAGCGGGTGGATCAGGACTCCAGCGCAGGGCAAGTAGTCAGATTTCAAATAGACCAAGTAAGGGGGAGTGGAGCTGACTGTGTAATCTGGATTAAAGGCCAAAGCAACTGGAAAGAGAAGCATAGACAAGAAATTCCAAGATTTCTCAGTCATCACCAGAAAAACTTCAGGAAAGTCATTTAATAGGCTCCAAGTTCCCCTATCCTTTTCTCTAGCAACTTTATCTGTAAAATGACTTACTTTGTTCTAAAACACGAAGAAAAGACAAATGGTAGAAACATATCTCTTTTGAAAAATAAAAAGTGTTTGGCTTTTTCACTGTCAATAAAATCTTTCAAATTAAATGTTCAACTTTCTTAAATACCTTCCACAATTTAGTGGGTTGTATGCTAAATCAACGAATTTTTTTCACTATTTTTACCAATTTTAGAATGCTTCAATAAGTCTTAAGGCATTCTGATTTAGAATGCTTTAATAAGTCTTATCTCTTTTTCCCAACAACAACTCAAGACAGAATTATATAAGTATCATGACAAGAACAGACCAAATGCTAAGAGTCTGAGGAGGGGAAAAATAATGTATTGTTTTACCAAATATACATTGAGCACCTAGTATATGTCAAGCTCTGTTTTAGGGGCTTGGGCTATATAGTGAACAAAGTAGATATTCCTGCTCTCATATATTACAATTAATGAAGATATTCAGTAATAATAAACACAACACACAAATAAACTATGTAGGATGTTAAATGGTGATTAGTGCTATGGAAAAACACACAAGTAAACTATATATGATGTTAAATGGTGATTAGTGCTATGGAAATAAAAGTAGGACAGGGAAAGAGAGAAAGGTATTACCAATTGTGTGTTGGGGGAGAAGGAGGGGTTTCAGGCAGTATTTGTTTGTTGTTTGTTTGAGACAGGATCTCACTCTGTTGCTCAGATTGGAGTGCAGTGGCAAGATCAGGCTCACTGCAGCCTCAACCTCCTGGGCTCAAGCAAACCCTCCTGAGTAGCTTGGACTACAGGTGTGTGCCACCATATCTGGTTAATTTTTAAATTTTTTAATTTTTTTAATAGAGATGGAGTCTTGATATGTTGCCCAGGCTGGTCTCAAACTCTTGGGCTCAAGTGATCCTCCCACCTCAGCTTCCCAAAGTGCTGGGATTATAGGCATGAGCCATTACTCCAGTCTCAGGTAATATTAAACCAGTCATCAGAGTATAACTTCATGGGCAATGTTGAACAATAACATGAAAACGGGGGAAGTTGCTAGTCAAATATCTGGGTGAAGGGACTCCAGGCAGAGGCAACAGCTGCAGCATGGGTCCTGAGGCTTGTGTCAGTTACATCACAGAGGCCATGGCTGCTGACCCAGAGTGAATGAAGGGGAGCAGAGGAGGAAAGGGGCTCAAAGAAGAATGGAGGGTTTTGTAGACCATCGTAAGAACTCGGCCTTGTTTCCTGAGTACAAATGGAACCACTCAAGGATTTGTGCAAAGGAGTGATGACAGTCTCCTCATGGAGAACCTGTAGAGTGTAGAAGTATAGAGGTAGAGGGGTCTGTTAGGAGAATAATTTGCTAATCCAGGCAAGAGGTGGTGGCTTAGATCATTGTGAGCAGTGGAGATGGTGAGATGTGATTGAATTTAGGATACATTTAGAAGACAAAGCCAACATTTTTCTAAGAGATCAAACGTGGGGTATGAGAGAAAGAGAGGATTTATGAATAAGCCTGGGTTTATGCCTGAGTAACTGGAACTGTGCCAGGAGATATCTGATTCTTCAATGTTCTGCTGTGCCCTCTGTGGTGCAGAACATCAATCCTGTTGCAGACAGGTCCAGAGTCAGGTCTTAGGAGTGGGTCTGGTATTTGAGTGACAATGTCCACGCCTCCCACAAAAGCACACAAGCAAACCTCCTGCGGCAGGCAGGCAGGCACTATCACAGGAGGAAACTTGATGGGAACGGGGCAGTGGAGAGGGACAGAGGACCATCCTACACTTGAATTCTGGAATGATGCCTCTCGCTGTTACCCGTCTTTCATGCTTTTCCCAGGATTTCTCTTTGGTGGGTAAAGAGACAAATATGCACACACTCACCAGTCAGATTCAAGAGAGCCCAGAGGAGGATAAACTTCATGATGATGTTGAAAGCCCAGTTTAGCTCCAGTCTCTGGAAAACTGGGAAGAGAGAGAGAAAACAACTAAATAAAACAAAGCAAGATTGTAGAATTGGAAAAATATATCATCTGAATTATTTTAGTAGCAGGATTCAGTTTTAGAAATGGTGTCCATTATTCAGAGGAGAGTGTAGCGTCATCTGTCAGAGAGACAAGAATAGAGTCAAGTGATTGGTCCCCAATACAGTTGAAAATGGTTCTGGAACTCAGAGTTCTGCCCTCTGTCTTCAGGGAAGAAAGTACCAAAGCTAAGTTGAAGTTCATGATATCTCTACAGACGCCTCCTGTCTGGTCTCCTTTTTGCCAGCCTTGGTAGGCAGGTTCCCCTCTAAACTATGTGTGGGCTGCTGCCCCTCCTGTCTGTGTGATGCTATCTCCCACTGTGTGATGCTATTTTTCTCCAGTGGACATAATGTAGCCCTCTGGAGCTGACATTGCTTCCTCTGCCTGACATTAAACTCCTCTTTGAAATACATTAACCTTTTCCTTCATGTCACTGTTTATCCATTTATTCTGTGAACCAACCTGCTAATTATTTATCTTATGTATCTAACTTGTGCTAGGATCTGTGCTTGCTGTTGGGGTTGCCTCAACTGAAGGATTTCTTTCCTACCTTCCAAGAGCTTACAGACTAGTGGGAATGATACTTAAGTTGATGGTTATGAAACAAAGTATTCAGGGCTAAAAATTGAGATATGCCACAGACTAGATAAAAATATTTGCAAAACACATATCTGCTAAATAATTCATGTATAAGGAAATAGTAAAATTCGACATTAAGAAAACAAACAACACAACCTAAAAGTGGGCCAAAGATCCTTACCAAATGTTTTAGTCTGCTTGGACTGCCATAAAAAAAACCACAGTCTAGGTGTCTTACACGACAGACACTTACTTTCTTATAGTTCTGGAGGTCAGAAGTCCATGATCAAGGTGTTGTCAAATTCAGTTTCTGGTGAGGCCTCTCTCCCTGGCTTGTGGATGATCACCTTCTTACTGCTTCCTCACATGGCCTTTCCTCTGTGCACACAGAGATAAAGAGGGAAAGAAAGCTCTCTGGTGACTCTTTTTATAAGGACATAAATCCTATTGGATCAGGGCTCCACCCTTCTAACCTAATTTAGCCTTAATTGCTTCCTTTTAGGCCCTATCTTCAATACAGTTGCATTGAGGTTTAGGCCTTCAAACAGATATATTTTGCAGTGATGGGGAAGATAACACCAGAGAATATATACAGATGGTAAATGGCATATGAAAAAATTCTTAACATAATATGTCATTAGGGAATTACAACAACA
Source organism: Homo sapiens (assembly GCF_000001405.40). Lineage (NCBI taxonomy): Eukaryota > Metazoa > Chordata > Mammalia > Primates > Hominidae > Homo > Homo sapiens. The sequence continues at coordinate 220,946 of NT_187562.1, forward strand.
ATGGGATACTACTACATACCCTGTGGAAGGGCTAAAATTCAAACACTGACAACAACAGATGCTAGTGAGGATATGAAGTATCAAGAACTGATGCTGGTGAGAATTTATTGCTGATGAGAGTGCAAAATGGTACAGTCACTTTAGAAAATAGCTTGGAAGTTTCTTATTAAGCTCAACATAACCTTACTATATGATACAGCAATTACACTTCTTGATACACCAAAAGATTTGAAAACTTGTGTTCACAAAAATCCTACACATAAATGTTTATAGCAGCTTTGTTCAAAGTTGCCAAATCTTGGAAGCAACCAACATGTCCTTCAATAGATAAATGGATAAACAAAGTGTGATTCATCCATATAATGAAATGTTATTCAGAGATTTTATGATTTAAAAAACTTAACTCTCAAGCCATGAAAAGACATGGAGTAAACCTATATGCATATTGCTAAGTGAAAAGAGCTAGTCTGAAAAGATTATATACCATATAATTCCAATTATATGACATTCTGGGAAAGGCAAAGCTATGGAGACATATGTATGTGCAAGAACTTTTTTCCTATAATGACTTCTTTTCCTCCGGATAGATTCCAAGGAGTGGGATTGCTGGATCAAATGGTAGATCTACTTTCAGTTCTCTAAGGAATCTCCACACTGTTTTCTATAGTGGTTGTACTAGTTTACAATCCCACCAACAGTGTAAAAGTGTTCCCTTTTCACCACATCCATTCCAACATCTATTTTTTTTTTTGATTATGGCCATTCTTGCAGGAGTAAGGTGGTATCACATTGTGGTTTTGATTTTTTTTTCATATGTTTTTTGGCCAGTTGTAAGTATTTTTTTAAGAATTATCTATTCATGTCCTTAGCCCACTTTTTGATGGGATTGTTTTTTTTTTTCTTGCTGATTTGTTTGAGTACCTTGTAGATTCTGAATGTTAGCCCTTTGGCAGCTATACAGATTGCAAAGATTTTCTCAGGGTTGTCTGTTTACTCTGCAGATTATTTCTTTTGTTGTGCAGAAGATTTCTCATTTAATTAAGTACCATCTATTTATCTTTTTGTTGCATTTGCTTTTGGGTTCTTGGTCATAAAGTCTTCGTCTAAGCCAATGTCTAGAAGGGTTTTTCCTATGTTATCTTCTAGAAATTACATGGATTCAGGTCTCAGATTTAAGTCTTTGGTCTATCTTGAGTTGATTTTTGTGTAGAGTGAGAGATGAAACCAGTTTCATTCTTCTACATGTGGTTTACCAATTATCGCAGCACCATTGTTGAATTGGCTGTCCTTTCCCCACTTTATGTTTTTGTTTACTTTGTCGAAGATCAGTTGATTATAAGTATTTGGCTTTATTTCTGGATTCTCTATTCTGTTCCATTGGGCTATGTGCCTATTTTTATACCAGGACCATTCTGTTTTGGTGACTATGGCCTTGTAGTATAGTTTGAAGTCAGGTAATGTGATACCTCCAGATTTGTTCTTTTTGCTTAGTCTTCCTTTGGCTATGTGGACTCTTTTTTGGTTCCACATGAATTTTAGGATTATTTTTCTAGTTCTGTGAAGAATGATGGTGGTATTTTGGTGGGAATTGAATTGAATTTGTAGATTGCTTTTAGCAGTATGATCATTTTCACAATATTTATTCTACCCATCCATGGGCACGGAATGTGTTTTCATTTGTTTGTGTCTTCTATGATTTCTCAGCAGTGTTTTGTAGTTTTCTCTGTAGAGGTATTTCACCTCCTTGATTAACTATATTCCTTTTTTTGTGTGGTTATTGTAAAAGGGATTGAGCTCTTGATTTGATTCTCAGCTTGGTTGCTGTTGGTGCATAGCAGTGCTACTTATTTGTGTACATTAGTTTTGTGTCCTGAAACTTTGCTGAATTCATATTCCAGTTCTAGGAGATTTTTGGATGAGTCTTTAGGGTTTTATAGGTATACGATCATGTCATCAGCAAGCAATGAGAGTTTGACCTTCTCATTACTAATTTGGGTGCCATTTATTTCTTTCTCTTGTCTGATTGCTCTGGCTAGGACTTTCAGTACTATGTTGAATAGAAGTGATCAAAGTGGGCATCCTTGTCTTGTTCCAGTTCTTAGAAGGAATGCTTTCAAGTTTTCCCCATTCAGTATAATGTTGGATGTGGGTTTGTTATAGATGGCTTTTATTACCTTAGGATATGTCCCTTCTATGCCACATTTTGCCGATTTTGCTAAGGGTGTTAATCATAAAGAGATGTTGGATTTTTTCAAATGCTTTTTCTGCATCTACTGAGATAATCATATGATTTTTGTTTTAATTCTTTTTATATAGTATATCACATTTGTTGACTTGCAGATGTTAAACAATCCCTGCATCCTTAGTATGAAACCCACTTGATCATGGTGGATTACCTTTTTGATATGCTGTTGGATTCTGTTAGCTAGTATTTTGTTGAAGATTTTTGCATCCATATTCATCAGGGATATTGGCCTGTAGTTTTCTTTTTTGTTATGTTCTTTCCTGGTTTTGATATTAGGGTGATACTGCCTTCATAGAATGATTTAGGGAGGATTCCCTTTTTGGAATAGTGTCAATATCTTTTGGAATAATGTCAGCAGGATTGGTACCAATTCTTCTTTGAATGTCTGATAGAATTCAGCTGTGAATCTGTCTGATCCTGGACTTTTTTTATTGGCAACTTTTTAATTACCATTTCAATCTTGCTGCTTGTTATAGGTCTGTACAGAGTTTCTATTTCTTCCTGGTTTAATCTGGGAGGGTTTTATATTTCCAGGAATTTATCCATCTCCTCTAGATTTTCTAGCTTATGCATGTGAAGGTGTTCATAGTAGCCTTGAATGATCTTTTGTATTTCTGTGGTATTGGTTGTAATGTCTCCCATTTCATTTCTGGTTGAGCTTATCTGATTCTTCCCTTTTCTTTTCTTGGTTAAGCTCATTAATGGTCTATCAATTCTATTTATCTTTTCAAAGAACTAGGTTTTTGTTTCATGTATGTTTTATATTTTCTTTTGTTGTTATTTCCATTTCATTTAGTTTTGCTCTAATCTTGATTATTTCTTTTCTTCTTCTAGGTTTGGGTTTTGTTGGTTCTTGTTTCTCTAGTTCCTTGAGGTGTAACCTTAGATTGTCTATTTGTGCAATTTCACACTTTTGATGTAGACATTTAATTCTGTGAGCTTTCCTCTTAGCACCTCTTTTGCTGTATCCCAGAGGTTTTGATAGGTTTTGTCACTATTATTGTTCAGTTCAAAGAATTTTTAAATTTTCTTCTTGGTTTCATTATTCCTGCAGTAGTTCTTGGAGAAAAAGTTGACGATGTGGGTATCCACATGCTGCTCTGTCCCTCCAAGTGGGAGCTGCAACCTAGTCCTGCTCCTATCCACTAATTTTTTCTTGAACTCCTCCTAAATGTGTATTTTTATTAAGCCATTAAATTTGTGATGTTTTTACACAGCATTAGAAAACTAATACAAATGCATACTGGATGCTGGCATCATATTCTATAATGATGATTCCATGGCAAGGGAGATAAGAAGCTTGCTCTCATACATCATAATGCTTAATGAGGGGGAGACAGATGTAACAAGAACAATCATCGTGAATGTCAAAGGAAAAGGGAGGTAGAGAAGCATGTCGCAGGACCCTAATATAAGGTCAGAAGAAGACCTTCTTTGGGAAGTGAAGTTTGAAACTTGAAGGATGAGTAGAAGTTAGCCAAATGAAGAGATGGGGAAGAAATCTCCAGGTGGATGAACCAGAGCTCCAAGGAGAACAAGGAATGTAAAAAAGAGAATGAAGAGAGAGACAGGCAAGGAGACACAGATAGGAGAATCATATGAAACAGACTTTGCAGGATTTGTCGAGTAAGAACTGCCTGCAAAGGAAATAGAGGAGGCAATCAGAGAGTAGGTCAAAGAAACATGTCCTCGGGTTCTGTATTTTAGATGAGTGAGGCTTTATTTTCCTTAAATGATAACAGGAAGAAGGTGATAGATAGGGAAAATTGGAGATAATCAATACAGCAAGTCCATGAGGAAGTCAGACAAGATGGGGTCCATTTCACAGGTAGAGATAGAGGCTGTAAATAATAAGGTCTTACTTCCACTATAGCAGGAAGAATGAAAAAGAAAAAAGGTGGGGGAAAGCAAGTATGTTTGCAGTTTTAGTGGTGGCAATTTCAGAGAGGTATCTTCTGCTGGTTTCAGTTTTTCTCTACTCCCACACTAGAGGTCATCTGCTAAAAGTGAGCATTAAAAGTTTGAGGAGAGAGGAGAGGGTTTGAAATTGCTACTGCGGAGAATTATACAAACAATTTATTGGAGAAGATAGGATTGCCAATAAGTGCTAAAGATGTAATTCAAGGGTTACAAGAAGTAATTAGTTGAGCTCTATAATCCTAAGTGAATTAACACGGGAACAGAAAACCAAATATCGCATGTTCTCACTTATAAGTGGGAGCTAAATATTGAGCACACATGGACATAAACATGAGAACAATAGACACTGCAGATTACTAGAAGTTGGAGGGAGGGAGAGGGGCATGGTTTGAAAAACTACCTACCAGGTACTATGCTCACTACGTGGGTGATGGGATCCATACCCCAAACCTCAGCATAACACAATATACCCACGTAACATACCTACGCGTGTCCCCCCCGCATCTAAAATAAAATTTGAAATTAAAAAAAAACTCTGGCACAAATACAGACATGATTCATTAAGGGTGCTTTGGGCAGTGAGTCAGAGACAGGAAACTGGGGAAAATGTGAGAGAAGACTGGCAAACTGAGGACGTGTCATTTGGATGGGGCCAGAAATTAAAGAAAAAAATAATCATATAGTGAATGAAATGGCTTTAGTATCTAGATTTTAGAACAAAGAAAATTTCTGTGAATGGACCAGAACAAGCTATTGGTCTTAGATGCACCTAAGCTCTCTGGTTTTGGTTTTTTGTTGTTGTTGTTTTAGAGACAGGGTCTTGCTCTGTCACTCAGGCTGGAATTCAGTGGCACAGTAATAGCTCATTGCAGCCGTGACCTCCTCCCCTGTCAGCCTCCCATGTAGTTAGGAGCTTTTTTTTTTATTACTATTTTATGTAGAGGCAAAGGTTTCTCTGTGTTACCAAGGCTGGTCTTAAATTCCTGGTGTCAAACAATCCTCCCACCTCAGCCTCCAAAAGTGCTGGGATTATAGACCTGAGTCACCGCATGTGGGTTTTGTTTTGTTTTGTTTTGTTTTGTTTTAGGAGAAGAGAAAACACATTCAGGCATCCAGGTTCAGGGTCCAAAAACCAACTCACCTCTGCAGACTTTATAGATGCCCTAGATTCACTGCGCCCCTCAAGGGAAGAAACCTCAAACCTCTTTACGCCTCCCACAGTGGGTTTCTCCTATGGTGTGGTTCTCTGTTCCCATCTTCACTGGCCTCCTCTGCCCATCTTTTCTTTTTTAACATAAGATCCCTATGTCATATTGACCCTTTTCTCTCTGTTGCTCTTTGGTCTCTCATATGTCACTCAAACCCCTAACTTTGGGGGGCCACTCAGAATCCCCTTAACTCTGTCTCTGTTTTTAGATGATTTGGACAGTGGCTATGGGATGCTGCACATCTCCCCAACATATGCCAGTGTGAGAGAAGGGCTGAGCACCCATCACAGCTCTTCTCCATAGGAGAGAGCCCTCCCAAACCCCGCAGCTCCCACCCACCAATGTAGGACTCCTGTTTGTTAGTCACTCCTCAGGCAGCATCTGGATTTCAGATCAATGTCTCCAACTGCCTGCTGGAAATAACCACCTCTACATCCTTAAAGGATCTCAATATAGCAGGCCACCTGTCTCCTCATGCAGGACCATGCTCTTGATACCTTGCACACAAATGCACTTGTTATCCTCATATTATCTTTGAGAATCACCATCTTACCTGTTGTCCAAGTCAAAAACTTGGGAGAGTTATCCCTGACATCTCCCTTGCCTTTCTTCTTACAGTAAGTATGTCCAAATCTTACAGATGTTACTTCCTTAGTATCTCTCAAATCAGAAATTGGATGGTGTTTTGTTTACTGTAAAAGCTTCAATGACACCCCCTCCAATGCCTACAAGGTAAAAATCTAAGTTCCTTTATAGAGCAGGTCAGGCCCTTCATCTCTCAACATTTGCCTGCCTATAATAGAATAATATTTTATGGCATTATTTTTCCTTTTCTACAATTTATTTTCTACCTTCAAGGTTTGCTTATTTACATATATTTTCCAGCCTATACCACACTTTCATATGCTTTTTTGCCTTTTAATAAACTATGTGCTCAGTTTTACAATATCCTCCCCTAATTTGTCCACCTCTCTGGTGTTACTTCTCCTGGCACTACCACTCAGAATGTTTTATTTTATGTTTTCGTGGAGCTTACTGCTCATCTCTGTTATAGCAGTTATCAAAAGGTATTGTAATTAGCTAACTGATGGCCAAGGTCATGTCATAGTCACTCAGGCATCCTTAGCAAAGGCTGTGCCTACTAAACAGCTAGTGGTTAATTTTTGAATGAATAAATGAATGAACAAACACAAGGTGAAGAGGTTGCTAAATTTCTCATTATCCTCAAAGTTTACATGACAAAGACAGCAGGAGTCATGGCACAGGTTCTCAGCTACTCATTTTTTTTTTTTAATCAGATGTTTCCTCTTTGGATTTTGTTCCAAAATAACAAAGATGAAGAGAGTTGTAGATCCAGTGTAGAAATTATGAAGAGGTGGTACTGAGGGGATATGGGAACAGAGACGCCTCAGTGGGTATCCATAATTTTCAAGATCCATCTTGCATAGCTATGAACACCTGTGAAGAATCCTTCACTTCCTAGGGTGACACTTCCTTCTGCCCAGGACAAGATTCCATGCAACCTCCCATTGCAGATGGCTGGGGCAGCCGAAACATCCTTATAGAGAGAAGGAACAGAAGGTCAATGTGTCCTTGTCCTTATGGAACAAGAGTAAATGCCAGCTGGGCGCGGTGGCTCATGCCTGTAATCCCAGCACTTTGGGAGGCAGAGGTGGGTGGATCACAAGGTCAGGAGATCAAGACCATGCTGGCCAAATGGTGAAACCCTGTCTCTACTAAAATACAAAAATTAGCCGGGCGTGATGGTGCGTGCCTATAATCCCAGCTACTCAGCAGGCTGAGAATCACTTGAACCTGGGAGACGGAGGTTGTGGTGAGCCAAGATCATGCCACTGCACTCCAGGCTGGGTGACAGAGTGAGACTACATCTCCAAAAAAAAAAAAAAATAGTAAATTCCAAAAAGCGGCACATAACAGTAGCAAAACCATCTAAGAGAATGGGCTTATTTTTCTTGAGAGGTGGCAGACTTCTCTTTACATCCACATAAGTCTTACTTCTAAGGTTCAAGCTTGACCCAACCCAAGTGCAAGACAAAGGACAAATAGTTCTACCCCAAATCTCTCCCACTCTGAAAGATGAGAAGGGCAATGGTTAGAAACCCAGAGGTGAGTAGGGAGAGGAGAGGGACTCCAGCTCTCTGCTTCTCTCTCTTAGGAGGCCTTTTGGATGAGTGCTCTTTGATTCTGCATTATCATCACTCCTCCCATGGGACTCTTGCTATCTTCCAGTATAGAGAAGGGAGAAATACCTTGTTTTTAGATAGGATCCTTAGAGGGTGTCCTACACAAATGATGTTTCCTGCCTGTTCTTCTTTGAGTCTATCCTGACAGTCACGGAATGGAAGAGAATATTGGTTGATCCATGTCAGGATGTCAGGATCACTGACTGTGGGAAAGAGAAAACAAACTCCAGAGTGACTCTTCTTATCACAAGGGCTCTTCTAACCAGATCCTGTTTTGTAAATAAATTCAGTCCTGAGAATATTCAATGCCGGTAGCAGCAGACACTCCATTCTCCGTAGGATTCCTTGTTCAGTAATCTCCATGTTAGAGAAGTAGGTTTATAAGTCCCCTTTGTCAGATATCAAATCCATAGTTCTTTCTGTGCTATGCATCATTTATAAAATTTTGAAAAAACTGTGAGTTATTAGTGACCACAAGGAGAAAGAGACAGTAACGAAACCATTGTCTCAAAGATTTTCCCCCTACACACACACCTTTATTGGGCATCTACTTGATCCTTTTCACGTTTAGTTATAAAGGGAGAAACTATTTTTAGTGCATATAAAACTGCTTTTTGAGTTACACAGATTATTTATAAGTGTTTATAGTATGTGTATTGATATAAATATACATATATATTTCCCCCAAGAAGTTGTCATGTTGTTCATCTCCATAATAGCAATTGCTATTATACTGTCAAATTCAGGATACAGGGACTTTAACGAAGGTATCATGTAATTTAAATTTCTGGTAGAGAATAGCAAAGAGAAAGGAAACAAAAACGCTGACCAGGCCGGGCGCGGTGGCTCACGCCTGTAATCCCAGCACTTTGGGAGGCCGAGGCGGGCGGATCACGAGGTCAGGAGATCGAGACCATCCCGGCTAAAACGGTGAAACCCCGTCTCTACTAAAAATACAAAAAATTAGCCGGGCGTAGTGGCGGGCGCCTATAGTCCCAGCTACTTGGGAGGCTGAGGCAGGAGAATGGCGTGAACCCGGGAGGCGGAGCTTGCAGTGAGCCGAGATCCCGCCACTGCACTCCAGCCTGGGCGACAGAGCGAGACTCCGTCTCAAAAAAAAAAAAAAAAAAAAAAAAAAAAAAAAAAAAAACCGCTGACCAGAGATTGCTCAAGCTAAGTCCAGTGTTGTTTAAGGAGCAGGATTTTTTCTGATAGAGTGTATCCAATCAAATGCCCTAAAGCAGATTAGGCCAGAAGTTGTCAGGTCAGAGAAGAAAGAGAAATTATGTTCAGTTTTATGTTTTTATGGGAACTAAATTAAAATATGTGTAAAAAACTAGGTGAAAGTAACTTAAGTTACTTGAAATAATGAATTTCTAATAAATATTGGAAGCCCTGCACCAGAAAGCTTATAGAGGTAGAGTTTGTCACTGTGATTTTGACATGCAGAGCCTATATACCTCTGAATAGTTTTGTTTTGTTTTCAAATTGTACGTAATAAATTACTTCTGTAAGTTGTAATTCAATTACTTTGAATAAGACTTACAAAATCAAGGACAAAAATCATACAAGCTGTAACTGTTCAGAAAACATGTTCACTTAGATTCCCAAGTACTTGCTTCTAAGTGGAAAAATGAATCTGCAAAATACTGAGAATATAATAGTTTCTGCTTTTTATTTCTGTTTTTTACCAAAGACTGACTTCTAAAATTCCACTTTTATTTGCTTTTACAGAGCACGTGCATTGTTCTGTAGCCACCAGAGAGAGATTTAAACCTGATTAATAGATCCAGGACAACTTGCTTGAGTGAACATAACTTTTGCAGTATAATCAATGTCAGCCTTCACTTCTTAAAACCAGCTGATCAGGATCAGAGGTCCTCTGAAAAACACGCCTCAGAGCACCAATCAATCAACAGCAATCCCCCTGAAGTAGCCAGGCCTCAACAGATGATGGAACCCATTCATACCTCTGAAAGTCCTCCAATCCCTCAACTCCAAGCTTCCCACAAACCCCTTATGCTAATCAGCACTCCATTCTGCTTAGTGGGATGGTGCCTGGTCAGCATTGCTCTGACTTGCTGTAATAAGCAATAGATTTACATTTGTCATTTCATTTCAGATATCAAGTGGTGGTATCCTCATCCTCAACAATACCTAAGGAGAGAATAATGGAGTAACAGCCAACAAGGACCAACAAACTTATTAGAAAGTAGTTTTCTTCACAGGTGTTCTTTATTAGACAGACTCCTGCTGAGACCGGATCTTTCTGCTCATCCCAATTTCAGCTCACAGGGGAGATGGGTGTGTGCTTACAACATGGGCTGCCACTGTTTTTCTTGTGAGGCATGTCAGACCAGGGAGATAACAACTGATTATGTCATAATAATCAATTTCCCTACGAACCACCAAAGTCTCCACCCCTAAATGGGAACTCTGGGAAGAAGCAGTGGGTATGAGTAGCACTCTGTGCAGGGAACCAGCTCTGGTGACAGGACAGGTACTCCCTCAACCATTCTCTTCTCTCCCAGGGTTCTCTGCACATAACTGGGTTCTCTGCGGAAGGTGTAGGAAGCATCTTCTGCTGCTTCACCGCATCACATATATTTTATGTTCATTTCCCCCACTGTTCTTCCATTGTGTGATGGGCTTTCAGCAACTATCAATGGGTGTCACCCTCCCGCAGGCTGTCTTCATACTGTCTTTGTGCACGAGGACTCCTATTTCTCCCACCTGTATTTCAATCCAGTTCTCTGGACTCTTGTCTTCAATATTCTAGAGATATGAAAATTACTGTCTGCTCCATTTGTTGGTGTCAGAGTGGCTGCCCTTTATCAGTCTCTTTGAATTTTATCTTTGACCTCCAGTGATGGTGGTTTGGGTCCCTGGCAGGAATCCCTCTATGGTGGACAACATTGTCTCATAGCAGCGATTTCCATTAGGGACATCCCTCTACATTTTCTCCCAGCTCCAACCTCCTCAGCATAAAGAACACAGCATCCAACACATACGGTTTTTATATTCATTCCAGGTCCAGGTTGGAATAAAGCAGGATTCATTAAATGGAATGGGTTCCAAGGCTATGGCTATAGTCCCCACATGGGGGTTGAGTGAAGCAGGTGTTGATAGTTTGATCATCATTAGGTCATTGTTCAAGGATTTTGCATCAAAGTCAGGGTAGGTCACAATCGATGAATAGTTTCATATCTGTTGTTTCTTGTTTGTGATGCTAGGTTGAGAAACTCCCAGTCGAATTTCAACACTTTGGAAGAAAGAGGGCAGAGAGATGAGAAGAAAGAGAGTCATAAGATAATGGATTACAAGAAATCCTACGGGCCACCCTCTTTAATTATTTTAACTTTATTTCTTAACCTGAGAACTGACATGGCCTTCTTTTGTCTATAAAACAATAGCAGTAATTTACAGAATTGTTGTATTAGAGACATAAATTTGTAAAATGTCTGACATCGTGTCTGGCAACTAAAACACAAGTCAGTGGAGCCTTGTTATTAAGATTTTTATCATCTGAATTAGCAGCTAATAGAGAGGCAGCACACATCCAGTTCATGTGTTAAGTATGGATGTAAGAAAGAACATCTGCCTTTTCAATTTTTATTCTGGAAGGATGTGAACTGTGTATTTCCTTTGTATTTCCCATATACCACAGAGCAGAGGTTAGTCTGCGTTAAACTAAACTGCCTTGAACAGCCAGATGGCTAAGATTTCTGAATTTGAAAGAACCGTTCTATACTCATGAAACTGAGTAGGTCTTGATCACACAGCACATTCTCACACACAACAGAAACACTGAGATTTGCAAGGAATTGCTTTATTTTGTATCGTGCTCCCTTGCCCTCTACTGTCACTGCATGATATGGCTTCTGCCTAAGTCTTTGACCTCATCCTATGAGCGATCCCCCTGCTCATTACCCTTAATTCCTGCCGATTTCTCAGCTTAATATCTTTGTTACTTCAGGGAGTATATGAATATTGTTCCCTTGGCCTGGAATATCCCCCAGGATTTATTCATTTGGCTGGCTCCTTCTCTTCCTATGGATCTCACCTCTTCAGAGATGATGGACATGACCACATTAACTAAAGCAGATTTCTTATTTCATGCCCATATATTAGAGCTTGCCATTAAAAAAAATACTTTGTTTTTGGCCATTTATTTGTGGTGGCTACTCCCTCTACCAAAATGTAAGCTCCATGAGGGAACACTTATTTTCATCTTGTTCCTTCACTGTTTCATCAGTGATTAAGTAGCCCTTGCTAGATAATAAATGTTTAACAAGTATTGTTGATGAATGAATATTATTTACTACCCATGAGAGGGAATCCTCTGACATCTTCCTACTGATCTCCTCCTAAACTGCCCAAATTTGTGTTCTGTTTCCCAATGGGAACAAGAGTCTCTCTTTTTCCGTGTCTTCTGATTTTACTAAAAATTTTCTGGGATGCTTCACCAGATCTACATTTGTTTGAACAGATTCCTCCCAGCTCGCAAGAGAAAGGGATACTTACGGTAAGGGGCAGTGGGCAGCTGTCAATACCCAGTCAAGGTGAATGAGAGACCCCACGCAGGGTTCTGGGAAGGACTGAAGATAGACCATGTAAGGAATAGTAAAATTATATGTCAGATCCTGATTATCTTTAGAGTCTTTAGCCAGAGCAGCTCCTGGAGAATCAAGGGGCCATAGGTGGAAAGGGAAAAAGAAGTTAAAAGGCCAGAACTGGCTAGGGTAGTTTTCCCTAACCTAAGGTTTTCAAATGTAATGTAAAGGTCTTCAATTTACCTTTCATATTTTAATCAAGGAAAATTATGCATGTCCTCTAAGTTATACACAATAAGAAAATTGACACATGGTTTTGCTGAGATGAAATTACATTAAAATTCTGTGAAACTTACTTACATGCTGATCAGAAGCTCCTATTGGCAGTGCTGTGTGTTACAAAGATGAAAAAAATAATGACTACTTGAAATTTTTTTTTAATTCACTTTTGCCATAAATGGGGGTAAAAAAGTATGGCGTGATTTAAATTTTTTTAAATTCACTTTTGCCATAAATTGGGGTAAAAAATTACTGCCTGACTTTGGTGATGAAAGAAATAGAAAAGCTTAGGGCTTCCAGAGCCCCTGACCCAGCTCACCCCCCTTTTCCAGGCCCATGTTCTCTAATGTGGTTCCTTTTGTTTTCTTCAACGGTTGTTTTATTTAAATGTCCTCCGCTTCCTAGCTGTTTAGTTGTGCCCAGCTACTCCTCTTTCCAATCTTTCATAGACTATCCTGGGTGTCACAATAGGCAGAAACAAAGCCCCAAACTCTCACCAGCTGCACTCAAGAGAGCGACGATGAGAAAACCCTTCGTGGCAGACAGATCTCGCCAGGAACAGACAAGTTGATCAAGCTGTAAACTGTCCCAATCTTTAGTCCAAGTGTCCTTGCCAAGAACAGCTGTGGAGATTATGGGCAGAAGACAGATGAGAGGAGAGCAGTCTTCACATGAGTCCTTATCAAGACCCAAATATATACGGCATTGCTGGGAGCCGTCTCTGATGTGGGTGAAAGAGAGTGGCACAGACCAAGCCGAGGTCCTGGTGCCTCCTTTCCTATCCTACAAATCTTGCCTGGAGTTATTATGTACCTGCTGATTTTCCTTCTCCTCTCTATGACACAACCTTTCTTTGTTGTCTCCTTCTCCCTCTGTGACTTAAACCGCTCTCCCTGCCCATCTTGCTGCCATCTCACCTCTTCCAGAGACTTCCAGAGGATTGGGGTATGAAATGCACTTAATAAATCATTGCTTTTTTCATTCCTTGTAATTTTAGTGATGAGGAAGCTATGGTTCTCTTGGAAGTTAGTGGCAAAGTCAGGACTCAGAACTCAGTCTCCATATTCTCTGTGTCAAGGCTGAACTCTATCTTAGCCTGTGTTCCCAGAAAAGAGCAATGGTTAAGAAATCCCTCCATCGTTTTGTGTTCTTAGAAATGAATTACCACAAAGAGCTACCTTTCCTATATGACTTAAATAAGACTCTCTGCCCCTTCTTTCTCCCGGCTCCCAGAAAATTTTGCATGGTTCTCTTGCTTACCTGTGATGCATCAAATACAGACCTTTCCTCTTTTGCCCGGACTTGCTGACATGGCCAGACATGGACCATCCAACTCCCCATTTTTTGTTTCAAAAATGATTAGCTGAGATTAGAATGGTTTGTCTCTTCGAAACTAGCTACATTAAAAAATAAACATTTCCTATTCAGCCAACTAACTGAGGCTTCCCCCTGATTGTAAAACAACCCCCACTATAAATCTCCCCACCTCAAACTTATCTTTTTCTCCCTATAAAAATTCCAGGGCAAAACCACCCTGCCAAGATACTTCATAATCTTCAGATCTTGGATGCTCTCCTATTGGATGATCTGAATGCAACCAATCTCCTTACTAGTTCACTTTTTGTCTTCTATGCTGATTACTCTCAAAATGCATCCCATTTTTTCTTTTTATTAGCTACCCTTATATGGTAACTTCCAGCCTGTCCCACAGAGACGGGTAATAACAGTAGGTTCAATCCCACATTTTATATAGAGTAGACTGGAAAAATGCAAACTATATAGTATCAAACTGATCTTTATCAGAGTAATTAAGGAGCTGATCAGTTATAAAAGTCCATAAACATAACATTCCTATATCTGTAAAAATTATAGGCAGACTTAGTTCTCCTAAAATTTAATTATTAACTTAAAACCTCATCAGTATGTTCCCATGTACTCTAAACTTTTGGGGACAATATTTCTTTAGTACCCAAAGGTTTTAAAATAATAATTATTAAAATAATAAAGTCAGTATTTGTTTTGTACCATGTGACAAATACTGTGCTATATGCCCAGCATGTGTGACCTAATTTATCCTTTATCACAGGCCTATACATTAAATATCGTTATTATCCATTTTCAAGCTGAAGCTCTGTATGGTTAAAAACCTTGCTCACAACCATACTGTTGAAGCCCACGACCCCCAACATTTTAGGAAATCCAGCATCCCTCTACTTGTTCCAATTATTTATCTGGTAGGACTGGGCCTTATTTCTGCTAAGTTCTTTGCTTATCTCCAGCCTTCTTTGTCCCAGCACATGAAAACAGCTGTCTTCATTTTATTTCTTAATTCACCACTAACCTAATTCTAGGGTGGGTTTCAGACTTTTACTGAAGCTTTGGAGATATTACAGGAAATTTTGGCACCAGCCTGAAAACATCTTTAAATAGTATATCAGAAATCACTTTGTGAATGTTTATGAATCACCTACAGTCCACGGAGTCTGTTAACCTATAACCTGGTTTCTGCCACATTGCTGGAACCTACCCTGAATTCCTTTTTTATTTTCTTGTTTTCTTCATGTCTTTAGTCAGCTCACATTTCTGCTGCCCAGAAGCCCCAAGTAGAGAGAGACAAACATCTACCCTTTTAAGCTATCGGAGGAGAACTGAAAATTTTTGTTACTATCTTACATTGAGAAATCCATATTTTCTCTCTCTATTCTCAATCTCTGCCTCCCTCCCACAAAGCCTCACCAATGAGAATATGAAGGCGACTATTGTTAGTTTCCTTTCTTTTAAAATGTCTTTTTCTTTTCTTTTCTCATGGAAAGAATAGGCTAAATACAACTATTTGCTTTGTAAAGAAGTGAGACGATACAATTTATTTAATGGATATAAGAGATTATAGTCACTATCTTCTTTATAATTTCTCGTATAATATTCTAATAAAGGTCACTCAATTGTGACCTCGGCAAGCATAATTCACTGCAGAGGCAGTGGCCTAGAGCTGTCAGTTTCCCCTGGAGGCTCAGTCCAGGGAGTTGCTGAGTTGGTACTGGCATGACAGTTCTGGTGAGGGGTGGCTGGAGGCCCAGGCCTGGAGGACCTGCCCAGTGAGGAGATATGGGAATAGGCACCTACGTACCAGTCTGGCCACTTTTCTGTAGGGTTGCTGCAATATGCTTGGGGCCTGCTCCAGTCTCTAGTCACCTTGGATTTTCTAGAACCTGGAGGTGTCACCAATGAAGGCTGCAAAACAGCAAAGATGGTAGCCTGTCCCTGCCTCTGGGAGCTTTGTCCCAGGGAGGTGCAGACATATTGGCAGCCCAAAAGCACCTGTAGGATGTGGCTGGAGAAACCTTACAAACCAGAAGAGATTGCAGGTCTACATTCAACACAATTAAAGAAAAAAATCTTCAACCAAGTGTTTCATATCCAGCCAAACTAAGTTTCCTAAGTGAAGGAGAAATAAGATCTTTTTCAGATAAGCAAATGTTGAGAGACTTTATTATCACCAGACTTGCCTTACAAGGGATCTTGAAAGGAGCACTAAATATAGAAAGGAATGATTGCTATCAGCTGATACAAAAACACACTTAAACACACAGCCCAGCATCACTGTAAAGCAACCACACAAACAAGCCAACATAATAACCAGCTAACAGCACAATGACAGGATCAAATTCACACGTCAAAACTAACCTTTAAAACTAAACAGGCTAAATACTCTACTTAAAAGGCACAGAGTGACAAGCTGGATAAAAACACATGACCCAATGGTATGCTGTCTTCAAGAGATCCGTCTCACATGTAATGACACTCATAGCCTCTAAATAAAGGGATGGAGAAAAATCTACCAACCGATTAGAAAACAGAAAAATGCAAGGATTGCAATTCCAATTTCAGACAAAACAAAGATCAACAAAAGACAAGGAAGGGCATGACATAATGGTAAAGGGTTCAGTTCAACAAGAAGACCTAACTCTCCTAAATATATATTCATCCAACACAGGAGCATCCAGATCCATAAAGCAAGTTCTTAGAGACCTACAAAGAGACATAGATCCCTACACTATGATAGTGGGATACTTCAACATTCCACTGACAGTATTATATCATTGAGGCAGAAAATTAACAAAGATATTTAGGACCTAATCTCAGCATTGGACCAAATGGATCTGATAAACCTTCACAGAAGTCTCCACCCCACAACAAGAGAATATACATTTTTCTCATTATCACATGGCACATGCTCTAAAATTGACCATGTAATTAGACATAAAATAATCCTCAACAAAAGAATCAAAATCATACCAATCACACTCTTGGGCCACAGTGAAATAAAAACAGAAGTCAACACAATGAAAATTCCTCAAAACAACACAATTACATGGAAATTAACATGCTGCTGAATGAGTTTTGGGTGAACAATGCAATTAAGGTGGAAATCAAGAAGTTCTTTGAAAATAATGAGAACAAAGATACAACAAACCAGAATCTCTGGGACACAGCTAAGGCAGTGTTAAGAGGAAAATTCATAGCACTAAATGTTCACATCAAAAAGTTAGAAAGATCTCAAATTAACAACCTAACTTCCCAATGAAAGAATTAGAGAGGCAAGAACAAATCAACCCCAAAAGAGGATAAGAAATAACACAAATAAGAGCTGAAATGAAGGAAATTAAGACACAAGTAAACCATTCAAAAGACCAAAGAATCCAGGAGTTGGTTTTTTGAAAAAAAAAAAAAAAAAAAAAAAAAAACAAAGCCACTAGTTAGCTAATTAAGAAGAAAAAAGAGAAGGTCCAAACAGACACAATTAGAAATGATGACGGGAATGTTACTACTGAACCCACAGAAATAAAAACAACCATCAGAAACCAATATGTACACCTCTACACACACAAACTAGAAAACCTAGAGGAGATGAATACATTTTTGGATACATACACCCTCCCTAGACTGATCCAGAGAGAAACTGAATCCCTGAACAGACCTATAACAAGCTCCAAAATTTAATCAGCAATAAATAGCCTACCAATCAATAAAAGTGCAGGATCTGATGGATCCACAGCTGAATTCCACTGTATGTACAAAGAAAAACTTGTACCATTCCTACAGAAACAATTCCAAAAAATTGAGGAGGAAGGACTTCTCCCCAACTCATTCTATGAGGCCAGCATCATCTTGATACCAAAACCTGGCAGAAAGACAGGAAAAAAGAACACTTCAGGCCAATATCTTTGATGAACAAAGATGTAAAAGCCCTATACAAAAATACTTACAAACTGAATCCAGAAGCGTATCATAAAGCTAATCCACCATGATCAAATAGGCTTCATCCTTGGGATGCAAGGTTGGTTCAACATACAAAAATCAATAAATGTGACTCATCTCATAAACAGAACTAAGGATAAAAATCACATGATTATCTCAATAAATGCAGAAAAGGCTTTTGATAATATTCAACATTACTTCATGTTAAAACGCTTAATAAACCAGGTATTGAAGGAACACACCTCAAAATAATAAGAGCCATCTATGACAAAACCACAACCAACATTATACTAAATGGGCAAAAGCTGGAAGCATTCCCCTTGAAAACTGGCACAAAACAAAGATGCCCTGTCTCACCACTTCTATTCAACATAGTATTAGAAGTCCTAGCCAGAGCAATCAAGCAAGAGAAAGAAATAAAAGACAACCAAATGGGAAGAGAGGAAGTCAAACTATCTCTCTTTGCAGATGACATGATTCTATGTCAAGAAAACCCCATAGTGTTGGCCCCCAAGCTCCTTCAGCTGATAAACAGCTTCATCAAAACTGCAGGATACAAAATCAATGTACAAAAATCACTAGCATTTCTATACACCAACAACAAACTGAGAGCCAATTGGAAAGTTAGTCCCATTCACAATTGCCATGCACAAACAAAAAAAACCCCAAAACCTAGGAATACAGCTAATCAGGGGGGTGAAAGATCTCCACACTGTGAATTACAAAACACTGCTGAAAGAATTCAGACAAGACACAAACAAATGGAGAAACATCCCATGCTCACAGATAGGAAGAATCAATATCATTAAAATGGCTATACTTCCCAAAACAATTTATAGATTCCATGCTATTCCTATCAAACTACCAATGACATTCTTCACAGAACTAGAAAAAATATTTTAAAATTTATATGGAACCAAAAAAACAAGCCCAAATAGCCAAGGCAATGCTAAGCAAAAAGAACAAAGCTGAAGGAAGCAAGTTACCTGACTTCAAACTGTACTACAAGAGCTACAGTGACTAAAACAGCATGGTACTGGTACAAAAACAGGCACATAGACCAATGGAACAGAATAGACAGCCTAGAAATAAGGCTGCACTTCTATGACATCTCATCTTTGACAAAGCTGGCACAAACAAGCAATGGGACAGAGCCTCTCTATTCAATAAATGGTGCTGGGATAACTGGCTAGCCAATGGAGATTGAAACTGGACCCCTTCTTTACACCATGTACAAAAATCAACTCAATATGGATTAAAGACTAAAATGTAAAACCCAAAACTATAAAAACCCTGGAAGACAACCTAGGCAATACCATCCTGTACCTAGGAATGGGCAAAGATTTCATGACTGTATTAGTCAGTTTGCATGCTGCTGATGAAGCCATACCCAAGACTTGGCAATTTACAAAAGAAAGATATTTAACTGGACTTATAGTTCCATGTGGCTGGGGAAGCCTCACAATCATGGCAGAAGGCAAGGAAGAGCAAGTCACGTCTTACATGACGGCAGCAGGCAAACAGAGAGAGCTTGTGCAGGGGAACTCCTCTTTTTAAAGCCATCAGATCTTCTGAGACTTATTCACTATCACAGAAATAGCATGAGAAAGACTTGCTGCCATGATTCAGTTACCTGCCACCGGGTTCGTCCCACAACACATGGGAATTCCAGATGAGATTTGGGTGGGGACATAGTCAAACCATATTAATGAAAAAGACACCAAAAGCAATCACAACAAAAGCAAAAGTTGACAAGTGGGATCCAATTAAACTTAAGAGTTTCTGCACAGAAAAAGAAACTATCAACAGAGTAAACAGACAACCTTCAGAATGGGAGAAAATGTTTACAAACTGACAAATGTCTAATATCCAGCATCTATAAGGAACTTAAGCAAACTTACAAAAGGAAAACAAAGGACCCTATTAAAAAGTGGGCAAAGGACATGAACAAACACATCTCAAAAGAAGACATACATAAGGCCAACAAGCATATGAAAAAAAGCTCAATATCTCTGATCATAAGATAAATGCAAATCAAAACCACAAGGAGATATCATCTCACGTCACTGAGAATGGCTATTATTAAGTCAAAAAGTAACAGAGGCTGGCAAGGTTGCAGAGAAAAGGGAACACTTATACACTGTTGGTGGGAATGTAAATTAGTTCAACCATTGTTGAAAGCAGCACAACAATCCCTCAAAGAGCCAAAAGCTGAACTACCATTCGACCCAGCAATCTCATTACTGGGTATATACCCAGAGGAATATAAAGCATTCTACCATAAAGAGACATTTCCAGAAATGTTCATTGCAGCACTGCTCACAATAGCAAAGACATGGAATCAACCTCAGTGCCCATCAGTGACACACTGGATAAAATAAATCTGGTACATATACCCCATGAAATATAACGCATCCATAGAAAAGAATGAGATCATGCCTTTTGCAGGAACATGAATGGAGCTAGAGGCTATCATCAAATTAGCAAACTAACCCAGGAAAGGAAAACCAAATACCACATGATCTCACATATAAGTGAGAGCTGAATGATAAGAGCTGATGAACACAAGAAAGAAACAAGAGACACTGAGGTCTACTTGAGGGGGATGGTCGGAGAAGGGAGAGGAGCAGAAAAGATAACTATTGGGTACTGAGCTTAATACCTGGGTGATATAATAATATGTACAACAAACCCCATGACACGTGTTTATCTATGTAACAAACCTTTACATGTACCTCAAAACCTAAAATAAAACTTTTAAAAAAGCATAATTCAGTTCCCAAGAGATTTTTCCTGGATGTGAGATGATGTGTGGCTTAGAAAGTATTCCTTTATTGTTTGGCTCTCTTCCCTACAAAATGTAAATTCTAATTTCGTTCCTCTTAAATATGAACTGGCATAATTTTGGAGAACAGTTTCTAAAAGTCAATAAATTTCCATCTGGCTCTCTTCTTCAAATATTCTTAGAGTACATCTGCTTTGCTATAAGTAAGCTGAAGCCATCCCATCTGGAGGCAAATAGAGAAGGCATGCACAGGTGCTGTGGCCAAAAATCAAGCTGAAGTCCCAGCTGACAGACAGTATCAGCCACCAGACCTATGAGTGAGGAAGTCTTTGAGATGGCTCCAAGCCCAGCCACCAGCTGCCTGCAAAGCATGAGAGATTCCCAGCAATGACTGCCTATAGGAGCCCGGTCAAATCCTAAAGCCATGAGAAATAGTGATAACAAGTGATTGACATTGCTATATTCTGCTAAATTTGAAGTGGTTTTCTATGCAGTAATCAATAACCAGGACTGGAGTCAAATCATTTCCAACTCTACTCCGTTTTCTAATGGTGATAGGTGAAGCAAGTATGCCAAGAGGGTGATTCTGCCTGAGTGGTTCCGGGGTCCCTGTTGTGTCCTCCCAATCCTGAAGGACTGGAAAGCAATTTATCTGGGTCCATTAGTTTGCTCTAATTTCACGTTTAAGCCTCAATTCTGGGGAGTGGTGGCTTGATGGACGGAGGGATCAAGATCATCCAGAGAAGGGTTTGGCAGGGCAGTTTAAAGTGAGCATGAGGTGTGATTCTTTCCACCTTTAGAACTAAAATAGAAAAAGGATTAGACAACGCTCCTATGAGAGAAGATGTTGGAATCTACAGTAGAAAAGATAAGAGTATGAGTGTTCATAATACACTACCTGTAATTCTCATGGTAGCCTCTGAAGCTTGATCATAATGAGCTCTGATTATGACACATTTTGTAGCCATACGCCCTTGGGCAAGTTTCTTATCTCTGGCTTTATCAGTTTCCTTTCTTGTAAAATGAAAAGCCCATTACATCGATTGTTTTTAGGAAAATGAAAAGAGTTAGTGTTTTTAAAGTGGCTTTGGACACTGCCTAACAAATAGTAAATGCTAGTTAAATGTTGGTTAAATAAAATAAAATAACTGTAACTTTAGGATTCCCATATTTTCCAGGCTTTCAGGGACAGTAATTTATCTTATGTCAAAATATTGTTGTGAAGTTCTTAAATCTTTATGATATTTTCTTGTTTCTTTCTTTGTTTTTTTTTTTTTTTTTTGGTTAACATGGTGAAGAGCGTGGAGAAGGACGTTTAACTACCTTAAGCCTCAGTATTCTAAGCTATAAAATGGAAAGAAGATTAGTACTTACCTCATAAGATAGTCATGAGGATTAAATATTATTTAAAAACACTTAAGCACCGTATATGACACACAGAAGATAATAAATGTGAGTTATCATCACTATTACCTTTTTCACCTCTGCAAAACTCCTGAGTACTAGAAAGGAGAAAACCTTCTGGATGCTCCTGGTTCACAGGATTGTGTGATTTGGCTCCAGCAATGTCTTGGAACTGGGTCCCTCCTGAGGTCAGTGATTCAGAATTACTGGACTTCTTAGGTTTCAGCTCTTCCTAGCTCAATACCCCTCTCTCTAAAGAGAAAAAGTATTACCCCCTCCAATTCCACTCATGTTTCACTAGGGACATCTCGTGACTAGCATGAGGCTCAGAAAAGATGTGGAGGGATGAGAGGGTGGAGCAGGTCAGTGCTGGGAAGCCTCCCAACCTGAATGGGTTGCACTCATTGTCAGCTGGCTTTCTTCCTGCAGATTAGGGTGGATTAAGGGATTTTTGTAAGGTGAGAAAGATTAATACTACATTTTATAAGCCAGACATCCTGGAAATTTCATTAAAGACAAATGTTATCTTTGTTTTATAAAACCCAACACCTGTTTATCAAGAAAAATGCAGAAAAGGAACAACATAAATATGAAACAACAATAAAAACCTGCAACTCCTTTTAGAGTTGCTCGCATTGACATGTCAGGCACCACAAAATGATCTTTTTCCTTTACCCCATTCTTTATATTTTTTCCCTCGCCAAAAAAGTAAATAATTCTTTTTTCTCTAGTGATTCTCCTGCCTCAGCCTCCTGAGTACCTGGACCTGCAAGCATGCACCACCACACCCCGCTTATTATTATTATTATTATTATTATTATTATTATTATTATAGATACAAAGCCTTGCTATGTTGTCCAGGCTGGTCTCAAACTCCTGGCTTCAAGAGATCCTCCTGCCTCAGCCTCCCAAAGTGCTGGGATTGCAGACATAAGCCATTGCACCCGGCCAAAATTTAATAGTTGTTTATACTAAAATTTCTTCTCTTTATATTGCTGATGTGGTTTGTATTTCCTGAATGAATCTGGAGTAATACAATGTCTGAGGAAAAACCTTTGGTGGAACCCACAGCTATGGGAAGATAAATTTTCTATGGTGTGAAGACACTTTATTTCTAATATTTGGTAATGTCAATATATGATTGACAAAGAAATATACCTTCCCCATCCTGCCTCATTCTTGTTACCCAGATGTGGGTCATCTTTTGCCCAAAGCCAGTGTTTAAAGCTCATCTAACTACTATTTTATTCCATTCTCCAAATCAGATTCAAAACTAAAATACAGTAGCAAAAATAAAAATTGTTCTGGACACTACACAGGAAACTAAAGAAAATAATTTGTATTATATTACCACACAGCATAATTTTCTAAAGACCTATTTTAGTTATTTTTATTCTTTTTTGAAATTTCTTCCTAAGTCTATCCTACCTTACCTCTTTTCTTCTTCTACATCTCTAATGTCTCTCTCTCTCTCTTTTTTAAAAGATTATTGTCTTCTCCATTAGATCCAGCCTTCAGTTTGCATATCTCACTCAGTAGAACATGGCAGGTAGCCATCCTGTGGGAGGGTGTAACTCTCCCATCCCATGTGGCTTATGAAGTTATTGATTGAACAAAAATGTAGCTGATTTGGGTTGAAAGAAGGGGGTTAAATTACATAGCTAAAAAAAAGAATAAAATATTTTGTTATGCCTCTTTCTCAAATGAAATGAGAGATTTTGTCTTTTTTTTTTTGGTAAACACATGTAAAACAATGTAATAATGTGGAGAACATGCTAAGCTACAGTGAAGAAAATTTATTTTTCCTAGACATGGCAGTAAATGGAAATTTCTTTATCAAGGGCAAAATAATCCTAGTAGTTAAACAGGAAGAAGAAAATGAAAAGGACTTCAGGGGATTAAGGAGGGAGTTACTGATTTCAAAACTGCAGTTTCGGAGTTCAAAGTGTTGATCATCAAAAACGGAAAATGTGATTTTGAAGTGAGGAAACCCCAAAAGAAAGTTAAATGATAATTCAGTGGTGAGAGTCACATCGGAGCAGTGTCTATAATTCTGTATGAGTGCTCCTTGGAAAAGAAAATGGAGGAAGAGGTCCTGTGGGAGAGGCAGTTATGTGTAAAGAAACTTTAGAGGCTTGGAGAGGCGTTTCTCAGAAATCTGCCCAGCCTTTCCATTCTACATGCAATAGAGAGAAATGCAGTGGGGTGATGAGGGAGGCTTCTAACACGCCAGGACAACAATCCAGTGACTCCCAGGGAAGCATAATCTTTTGTCTTATAATTTTTTAAACTGCAGATATAGTACATGAGTGGTATGAGAAATTACCACAACACAAAGTTGTGTGAACTGTGAAAGTTCCCCTTACGAATGAAGACAAAACTAACTTTCCAACAGTTCTTCAGAACATATGGCCTTATATTTTCTGTTTGGAAAACAGTGTACTCTACTGCTATCAGATCTTTGAGCCAGAAGCTGGCCTTGGAGGAAACCTGTGGCCTTTCACTGCATGGGTCCCTCCAAGTCTAATAAGAGTCTCAGAGGCAGAGCTGGCAAGGGCTAAGAACACTGCAAATAGAAATGGACCACAAAAATAGGAAAGTCATTTAAAAAATGAAGTTGGATTATGCACACGGACGTGTCCTTAAAAATAAACTCTGTTAAGTAATGAAGGCTTTGCATGGGGACTGTGTACATAAAATCACAGTAGACTGTTGAGGTCATGTTAGAGCGCTTATATAACTCTCGGGTAAGTTTTGATGAAGGGATTTGTGCCTTGCAGTGAGAAGATGAGATCAGTTAGTAAAGGAGAAAATGAATTGATTTATTCTGTAGAAGTAGGGAACTTGTTAAAAAAATGGAGAAACTAAGAAATTATTGAAAACTATGATTTCTTCAAGATGTCTGGAAATCCTATAGTTTAGATGGCATACAAATAGAAAGTGGTTAGACTGAGCTAGTCAGAATAAATGAGTATCTCTAGGACTAAGACTTTTGTATTTGTGCCCCATCAACAAATTGACATTTTAAATTGACTTTTAAAAGTGAGACTAAATAATATGAAGATAGAAAATATTTTATTTTTTAAAGACCTTTTAAAATTTGATTTCAAAACTAAAGTCACTTTCCATGAAAGATAAATAGTGGTGTTACAGCAAAATAATAAATTAAATAAGATTTATAGGGAAAAAGAGATAATTTATTTATAGAGATAAATTTAGCAATTTATCTTATTAAGACAAATGTTCTTATATAAATATTCTTGAAGCCCTCCCTACTCCTAAGCTTCCATTTGTGAATTTTTTAAAGACTTTATTAGTCAGATATTCTGTTCCTTGCAACTTCCTAAGAGATGTGTTCACATTTATACCTTTTTTTTTAACTTAAACGCTTATTTTATTAGGGTGAATTTATAAAAGCTAAGTTGTTGTTTAAAATGGCATATGACATATACAGTTTAATAAAAATTCACAAATTGTAAAGCATTAAACAAAATAAGAGACTGAAAATGGCAAGAATAAGTACTAAACAAACACTATTGGATAACATAAAGGATTAATAATTTGTTTGCCTTTTTCTTTTCTCTGGACCTGCCCTGATCTCTCATCTTCTGTGTATCTCACACTTCCTGTTAAGTCTTGGAACCTTCCCTCTATCTGGGGTGGGAAGGTGAATAGGTAGGTATTGATGGTGGTAATTAAGTGGAGCAGAAAAGTATTTCAGAGGGAACAGGGAAAACTTAATCTCATTTTGTTCAAGGCGGAAGCCCAAGATGTTTTAGTTGGGGTAGATATAAGGCTACCTATTTACACAAAGAGAGCTATATATGAAATTAATTTAGATTATACACAAACATAAAAACAATTCAATGAGAACAAAGGAAATAAGACAGAAAAGGTTAGTTGTGATCAAATATTTGAGAATGTTGAATGCAAGGCTAAGAAATTTTGGCTGCATTTTAGGGGCAGTGATAAGGCAGTATTAAGAGCTCAGCTTTTCTCTACAAACGTGCCATCCATACTTACAAAAGGATAGAAAATTGCTAATGGGCACGTATACCTTTCAGTACTCTCCTCCTCTGAAATATTTATTATGGACTGCATGTTTGTGCCCCACCTCCCAAATTCGTATATTAAAAATTTAACCTCCAATGGGATGGTGTTGAGGTGGAGTCTTTGGGAGGTAATTAGGTTTAGATAAGGTCTAGAGGGTGGCCCCCATGATGGGATTAATGTACCAATTTGTAAGAAGAGAAAAAGGACTAGAACTGGCTCTCTTGGCCATGAGTGGATGCAACTAGAAGATGGCCATTAGGAAACGTGGAAGCTATCCTCACCAGACACCAGACTACCTGGTGTCTTGATCTTGGACTTCACAGGCTCCACTGCGAGAAATAAGTGTCTGTTGTGCAAGCCACCCAGTCTGCGATATTTTTGTTATAGCTGACTGAGCTGCCTAAGACAGTACCCTTCCTTCACCTTATTACTGAACCACAAATAAACTCCCATTTCCAACTGCCTCCACCTGTACCGTTCTGTTTTCTGATCCCAGTGTGTCTTTTCCTTTGTCTCATTCCAGATAACCATGAGAGTCACGTGCAGGGTCTTCTGCTCCAAGCCCTCCTTTCAATGCCACACAGAACAATGAAGATTTGAGGGACGACTCGTGGAAGAACTAAAGCCAGAGTCTGTGATGCACTCTTCAAACAGGACTGAAGAGAATAGATAATATATCTGTAGCCATTTATGACCTCAAGGCACAATATCTATTTTCTGCAAACTTATCTGAATTTGTACCTTTTTGTTTCTGTTTGTAGTTTAAATTAGTACATCATGTGGGCTGGGATTTGGGGGAACTTGTGGTGAAAAAGGGACACAGATTGTCTCCAGAGACCAGGCCTGCTATAGCAAATTTCTAGTTGGAAAACAAGAAAGATCTTGGAGGAAAGGAATATACAGGTAGGTGAAACCTTGGAAAACACAGGAAACCTGTGAATTTTAAATATTTCTGCATCTACAGGTTTCTGCTACCTAGCTTCCCAGAGTTTCAGATAGATTGAAGAAAAAGGAAAGAAAGACCATTCTGTTCTATCAGCAGCAATCCACTGGGAATGCCCACTTGGGCTTTATCTTAGCTTTACTGTGAATCTTTTGAATGATTTTGGGCAATTAAGTTTAATTTTCTGCATTTTAGTGTCATTATATCTTGTAAGGTATGAATGCATGATCTACCATAAAAGTTCATGTTTTCAATTAATTGATTTTTATTTTTAGAGATAGGGACTTGTGTCTCCTAGGCTGAAGTGCAGTGGCACAATCAAAGCTCACTGCAGCCTCAAACTCCTGGGCTCAAGTAATCTTCTCACCTTAGTCTTTCAAGTAGCTGGAACTACAGGCATGCACCACCATGCCCAGATAATTTTTTAATTTTTTGTAGAGGCAGTGTTGTCCAGGCTGATCTCTTAACTGTTGCCCAGGCTGATCTCAAACTCCTGACCTCAAGTGATCCTCCCAACCTGGCTTCTCAAGGAGTTTGGATTACAGGCATGAGCCACCACACCTGGCCCCAGAAATGCAAGTTAAAATACATACTGTGGCCAAATCTTAAAACAAAATTTATCTGACATATTTTTAGAGTTCTTGATTTTGTAAAAAAACAAAATGTGGTGGTAACAGTGACCTCTAAGCTTGTTCACCTTTTTATTCTCAATGTATCACATAGAGTTTGGCATATAGTTGGTTATCAGTAAACTTATATTGATTAGGTTGAATTAATGACTAAATAACTGCATTAGTCCATTCTCACACTGCTATAAAGACATGCCTGCAACTGAGTAATTTATAAAGAAAAGAAGTTTAGGCAGCTCATGATTCTGCAGGCTGTACAGGCTTCTGCTTCTTGGGAGGCCTCAGGAAACTTATAATCATGGTAGAAGGGAAAGCAAACACATCTTCATGTGGATGGCAGGATTAGGGGGGTGCAACCCACTTGAAACAAGCTGGTTTTGGGAGAACTCTATCACAAGAACAGCAAGGGGGAAGCCTGCCCCCACGATTCAATCACCTCCCACCAGGCCCCACCTCCAATACTGGGAATTACAATTCGACATGAGACTTGGGTGGGGACACACAGCCAAACCACATCAATAACCTTTCACATTTTCTCAATATAATAGTTTGGCCCTATGTCCACCTTCTTAACAGCTAGTTTCAAGAGAAAGTTAATCAATGCCGACAGGGACCATTCTTGAAAAGACGTGGTACAAGACAGTATATTTTTATTTAGATACTGTGTTTTGGCATAGAAAGAAGGTAAAGTTGATGAATAGGATATGGAACATGAAGAGATAAAGGTGTTTAGTTGGCAGCAATGGTCTGCTGAATCCATTTCACGTAGTTGCAAACTTTAGTGTAGACTCCAGGTTTGTTCTTCTGAGGACAACCATAGCCCCAGGAGACAATGCCCTGGAGTTCTCCGTTGCAGACCACAGGAACACCAGAGTCACCCTGGGCAAAAAGGAAGGGATATTCAGAGATCTTATTTATGCCCAGATGGGAGAATGGGCCGTAAGATGTTCTTCCATTGTGCTGGAGCCATTGTCCCACACTGCTGATCCAGCATGAAGCACTTTCTCTTCCTCTTGAAACCCTCCAACCCTCAATCTACTTACTATATCAGTAGTTAGTCTTCCTTATACCTTATTTGAGCCCCTTCTCTTTCCTTGGTAGGCCAAGTGGGCCAAGAGGAGGTTTCATGCTGCTTAACTAGCTCTGCTCCTTCCACTAGAGTTCCTTTCCACAGTTTACCTCCTCAGAAGGGCACTTAGAAATACTATTTGCACACCATCTTCTGTGCATCTTTTAACTCTTAAACCTAGACATTAATACAATAAAAATAAAATATTTAATTTGTCCCAAGGCTATCCCTCACCTCTCACAATCAGTTATAGGGACAGTTTTACAATCTTCTGTGTTTCTGAAAAGGGGAATTATGGTGGAGAAGACTAAGAATAAGCTGGAATTGAGAAGCAGTACAAAGAAACTAACCTGGCAAGAGTCCTTTCAACCCTCCAGGAATCCCAGACATATCATGTTTGTAGTAATCTTGTCTGGGTAGGCTGTGCGGCAAGCAGTGTTAGAGAGAATGGGAGCCTTCAGACACTGCAGGAGATCAGGGTAGTTGGCCGTGGAGTGGAAGAGTGAAAAATGCAAGATTACTCATGAGGTTTCCAAAATTTTCTTTCTCAATACATCTCCCCTCTTCCCCAATACTCTCACTTTTTCTTTCAATTAGCCAACGGCTTCTCATTTGAGAGAACAATACTTTCTTTTCTAGAAGCTTTCCCAAATAGTTCTAATCAATGAATTGTTCCAATTCATTCCAATTGAATGCTCCAAGCAAGACCAAATCCCTGAGTCTTTGTTTTGTTTACCTCCTCAGTTTATAGTTCTCTGCCCATCACTAATCACACTTCAGTTAAATACCCTGATATCTTCATAGTACTTCATTATTATGTCTTCTGCATGGTTCCAGCAAAGGAATCTTCTTCATTTCAATTATTAATAGTATATTTCTGAGATTCCATGTATCCAAAAACTATGCTCTGGGAACTTAACCTTAAGTGAGTTTGGACTAGCTGACTTTCCACATGTCTTTCAGCTCTAAAATTGTCACACTTGGTACTTCTGTTTCAGGCGACACTAAAGCCACTGCTCAGGGTGTTGTCCCAGCCAGAGATGAGGCACTGAGTACCAGCCGCTGCACAGGATCTTGGCAGAGAGATGGTGGCCACTTGAGAGTTGATGGTGGCGACTGAGCTCAGCTTAATCAGCATGATGTCATTATCAATGGTGGCTGAGTTATACTTGGGGTGGCAAATAATCTTGGCTGCATTTATGAATTGTTCATTGCCTTCATAGACCTTAATGTTGTATTCTCCAAGATGCACATGGATTCGGCTGGATTAAAAGATATAAGAGGTTCCTAAGTATCTAGCTTGAGTTATTTCCACTCCTCCTGACCCCCCATTTATGAGCATAAACACAGACACCATCCTTTTCAAGCAATCGGTCATACAGTAATTGTGCACTTAAGGTAGCATTCTGCACCACCACATGGTACAGGTTAGAGTTTTCCTTAGAGAAGTGTCACTGCAAGTGCAGACTCACTGCCCGCCATCTTGTTAGAATAGTAAGGAATGGGAATGAGAACTCAAGGACTTGAATAAAACAGTTGGAGATAAAAAGGAAGTTGGTGGAGATTGATCAGCATTTGCCATTTCTCTCTGGTTGGGATCACCAGTTATCACAGGGAATGAAGCAGGAGTCAGAGAAATGGCAGAATGTTAAGGGAACAGAATGAATCATGCATATTTTTAATGTTGCACTGTAAATTCTCTGTATTTTATTACTTCCATATACAGTTTATACTGGCTGAGCTACAGTAATTAGCACTATGTACTGATTCATGTCATAAGCTATTTCTAGGGATAGTTCATCACTCACTATTTCCCTTCCATATCTTGAATACCATCATTTGGGAAGACATCAGGGAACCCTGAAGGGTACCTCTCCATGCAAACCCCCCTTTATACATCAGATAATGCCTGAGAAAATAAGAAGTCTCTGGAGGTCTGAATGCCTCACCCTCAAGCACAACTCTGCAGTTTACTCTGGATTGTGTTTTGTCAGGGATAGAGGATTAATTAATCTTAGTGCATAAGAAAGTGAGTATCAATGAATTACGACTTATAGCAGTGAGCCGTGGACACCTCCCATTTGTTATTGATGAGGGAGCCACCACAGAAGTGATAGCCAGCATTCAGGGACCCTGATGGGGACAGCATTCGTCTGACAGGTGTAGCCCCCCAACGATCTTGTCATCATCATCACTAGTGGGGAAAGTGGCTGACAGAGGAAAGTTGGGAACTATCAGTTAAACAGATTCATCTTAAAGTTTCTACAATACCATGAAAAGTTTTCTCAGATTTACCAAAAGAGCAGAACGTTCTCTTGTCTCACATAATCAGGAAATGGTGGCTTTAAGGTAATTTGGGGGGGAAATTTATTATCCCATACCTTTAAATTGTACCCCACTTATAACATTATAACTATCTATTTTTTAATTTATGCTTTAACTTTGATAAATGCATTCTTTTTTTAATATATGTACTATTCAGACTCACACACACACGCGCGCGCGCACACACACACTCAAAGATCAGAAACTCTTGACACAGTAAATGTCCTGAATATCACTTCCTGAAGACACAAGGAAATTTTTTCACAGAACTCTGCTCCGCAGCCATACAATTAGGTGTAATGCTTTTCAGTAGTCATGCTGATGTTGGTTTGTGGTCGTTGGTAGGATGTTGGTATGGGAGAGAAAGCCCCATACGGTAACAGAAAGGAAGCTTTAAAAAGGCACCTGAGGCTGGTTGCGGTGGCTTATGCCTGTAATCCCAGCACTTTGGGAGGCCGAGGCAGGCGGATCACGAGGTCAGGAGATCGAGACCATCCTGGCTAACACGGTGAAACCCCGTCTCTACTAAAAATACAAAAAATTAGCTGGGCGTGGTGGCGGGCGCCTGTAGTCCCAGCTACTCGGGAGGCTGAGGCGGAGCATGGCATGAACCTGGGAGGCGGAGCTTGCAGTGAGCCAAGATGGCACCACTGCACTCCGGCCTGGGCGACAGGGCGAGACTCTGTCTCATAAAAAAACAAAAAAAAACTAAGGCACCTGAGAATTTTCTCGTCTGGAAGGAAATTAGAGATTTATATTTTTGCTCTCCTAATTTCTCTTCTTGATTCCAGTCTAGAATTTTTATTAAAATCATTTTACAGAGCATTATAGGATGACCCTCTTCAGCCTTTCCTCTTATCCCAATTATCTTTCCAACACTTACGAATTTATTCAGCTTTTAAAGTCTAGCCCACTTTATATCTTGTAGCTCCAAAAGTTTGTGATTATATTTTATGAGCCCCATTGTTCAGATATTTTTAATAGTTTTAGGAAAGAAGTTAGCAGGTGTGTAGACAGATGAATTGAATTTATACCTGCCTAACTTGAGAAAATTTAGTATTAAGTTTTAGTCTTATAAAATTTAGTAGTATAAAAGGAAAACTCATCATTTTTCTATTATATTCATGATGAAATGACATGTTACTTTACACCAGAGAGATATCCATGGCAAAAATATCGTAAAACACAGCCCATAGCTTTTATTCATGAGAAAGAAAATTGCTTTTCCCTTTGGCTTTATATCACTAGCCCTTTAGTGTGGAGAAGATGCAGGCTCTGACACCTGCAGCCTCTTTAAGAGCACACGATTAGTTTCAATTATTAACTCCAAATTCTTGGAAAGGTCAGGATAAGCGCCTCCTTAATCTGGGCTATCTTTTCCTTCTCTCTCCTTCTTCCTTAATATTACCCAGAAGTTGAGAGCAAGTCCTGTGTCTTTATATCTTCTACCCTGATCACTTTTGCTCACTGTGAACTTCCTCCAACAAGTGAAATTTAATTATCCACAAACATGTATTTTGCACTGTTGTTTCAATATTTTAAGCTTCTTGAATACAGAGACCAGATTCAACATTCATTGTTGTCTTCCAGAGTATAAAGTACAAACTTAAGTTTATGTTCGACATCCGCTGATTCACTCATTAAAAGATACTCACCAGCAGCTCCCAGGAGAGCAAGGAAGATGAAGGTCTTCGTGGTTGCTCACTTCACCTGGACTTGGAAATAGGATGACACTTTTCTTCCACAGCCATTTATACCAACGGACTTGTCTTGACATTCATGGCCACAGGGGCCAGAAAAGTGATTTCACTGCAAACTCACAAATCTAAATCTAAATTCTGTGACAGATGCAAGATAACTCAACATAAATTCTAAACATTAACATTTGCCTACTTTTCTAGAGGGTCATGGGACTGAAAGTAATAAGCCCACCTGGTAGAAACTGTACCCCATAATAGGTAAGTAAGGTGGAGTAAGGTCACAGGACAGAGTTACAGGTGTCCAGATTCCCAGATAAAAAATCTTAAGTAGTTGGGCATCTCAACTGTATATGTTTATTCTAAGAACGACTGCACTTTTGAAGTTTCATAATGTAGACTCTTTTACAATTATATACTTTGTCTTTTGACTGCTCTGGTCTTATATATCCATGTTAGCTTTTCTCTTTTTAAAATTTCAACTCTTATTACAAATTAAAGGGTACATATGCAGGTTTTTTGCATAAGTAAATTACGTGACACCCAGGCTTGGGGTCCCAACAACCTCATCACCCAGGCAGTAAGCATAGTACCCAACAGGTGGTACTTCACCTTCTCATTGTTAAAGGAACAGCTTGTTTCCCTTAGAAAAAGAAGATTGCTATTAATTGAACTTATAATAGAGAAAAGGAGGAAAGTTAAAAAATGCTAATAACTTATAATTTTCTTGAGCTTATAATTATCTTGAGCTTACTGTACTTATTCTAAGTACTTATTGAATAAGTCAGTAAGTATGTAGAATACTGACATACACGTATGTCAGGGATATTTTAAG
This sequence comes from Homo sapiens, assembly GCF_000001405.40. Taxonomy (NCBI): domain Eukaryota; kingdom Metazoa; phylum Chordata; class Mammalia; order Primates; family Hominidae; genus Homo; species Homo sapiens. The sequence continues at coordinate 254,354 of NT_187562.1, forward strand.
TATTTGCCCATATTAATTTAGTAATCTTCACAACAACCATATAAGATACCTATTATAATTCCCACTTTACAGATGTGGAAACTAAGGCACACAAAACTGTAGGGGATTTGACCAAAATCACATAGCAAATACACGGTAACATCAGCATTCCAACCCAGAAAAATCTTCCTTCAGAGTCTGTGGTCCTGACCACTATGAAACACTTCTCTCAGTAAGTTCACCAAAATCTGGATGCCAAGATAATGCAAAATTCTTGGACAATGATAACATAGCTGAAATTTTTAAAGTATTTACTATGTGTCCAGCACTGTGGAAGTGGATTACGTGCATCAACTCATTCAGTCTTCACAAGCAGCATCGTAAGTGTTAAACTACAAATTTCACCATTTAAGAGATGTGGAGAAAGAGGCTAAAAGAAGTCAAGTGAGTATATCAAAGTTTCATAGCTGTTAAGTGGCCAATCTATGGTTAAAACTTAAGCAGCCTCACTTCAGGGTTCATGCCCTCAACAGTGATGCCGTGAATATAATAAGAGAGAACAGGGCTGGGCGCAGTGGCTCAAGCCTATAATCCCAGCACTTTGGGAGGCCGAGGTGGGCAGATCACGAGGTCAGGAGATCAAGACCATCCTGGCCAACATGGTGAAACCCCGTCTCTACTAAAATACAAAAAAAAAAAAAAAAAAAAAAATAGCCAGGCATGGTGGCGGGCACCTGTAGTCCCAGCTAATCAGAAGGCTGAGGCAGCAGAATCGCTTGAACCTGGGGAGTGGAGGTTGCAGTGAGCCGAGATCACACCAACCAACTTTATCGATATTCCAAGACCTCTGGGAAACAGCAAGAGTATGATAGGAGACATCCAGACATTCATCAGGAGGATTCTTCATTTTTCAAGTATGGCAAATATTGTTGCTGAGGTTATTCATAAACATGCCTTCAGAGGGAAGTATGGGATTTACAGACCTCATCTGGTTAAGGACTACTCTTGGCTTTCTTGATTTAATAGAGTTTTACTGTGATGACACAAAGCACCGTTAAACAGAGCTGCGTTACTCGAAGAATGAAATACTTTCAATACAACCAATGGATAAATTCTTCTCTCACTGTGCACATTACCTCTCTTGGCCTTTTTATAATCTAATTTCTTATCATTCATAATCAGTCCCTCAAATACTGACTCTCACCTGAGCTCTTCTCAGATCCAACTTCTACTGAACATGTCTGCTCCCATACCTAGGGTCAGCTAGTCTAGCGCTGAATTCATCATAGCTTTCTCTTTCTATATTTTCTGTCAGTGCAATGAAGCTACACACATATGGTTAGCCAAACTTGAAACACAGAAGTCACCCTTAACTTTTTTTTTTTTTTGACTGAGTTTCACTCTTATCACCCAGGCTGGAGTGCAAATGATGCGATCTCGGCCCACTGCAACCTCCTCCTCCTGGGTTCAAGCGATTCTCCTGCCTTAGCCTCCCAAGTAACTGGGATTACAGGCGTGTGCCACCATGCCGGGTTATTTTTGTATTTTTAGTAGAGATGGGATTTTGCCATGTTGGCCAGGCTGGTCTCGAACTCCTGACCTCAGGTGATCCACCTGCCTTGGGCTTCCAAAGTGCTGGGATTATAGGCCTAAGCTACCACACCTGGCCCACCCTTAACTTCTTTATCCACCTTGCTTACTACCTGTATTCAAAGTATTGACGATTTTACCTGTCTTAAAGATCCTTGACTTTTCTTTGAAGATCCTTGATTTTCCTTTCAAGTCAACCACCTATGACTTGGTTCAGTATCACATTTTCTCTCCTGAATTATTGAAATCGTGCTAAAACCACTTCCTTGTTTGTGGCTTTATTCTCCTTCAACTCACTCTCCACATCAGAGTAATCTTTCTAAAATGCACATGGATCATTACATTTTCTGCTTAAAATGCTTTGGTGGCTCCACATTGACATCAGGATAAGTTTAAATTCCAGCACCAAAGTTCATGTTCTTGGACACTGTATGCTGTTTTAAACCTCTGTGCCTTCCCACACACCTTACCTGGTTAACTCCCATCATTCTTCAACTCTAATTGTGGAGAACTCTGAACTCCACCTGCATTCTCCAACTAAAGTCAGGCCTTCCTGAACTTTCTAGGCAGCTTTACTTTCATTACATTTACTTCCAGTCACATATTACTTGTATAAATATCTGCTTAATGTCTATTTTTTCCAGGTTGTTTAAAATTCCTGAGGGCATAAATGATGTCTGATTTGCTCACTATTACACCTCAAAGCCGGTATGTACGTGGCACATAGTAATTGCTCAGTGAATAACTGCTGAATGAATGAATGAGGTTACTTTCCCTCTTTGCTGGTGAACTTCTAGTCATCCATTAAATTTACCTGAAGTATCATCTCTATCTATAATTAATCTCTGACATTAACCTATGACCTCCCCTAACTCTACTGCCATAATGCCCCAATTGGTTAGATGCTAATCCGTTCTATTTCTTATCGGTGCCATTTTGAAACCCTGTGCATGTTGCTATTATAACTTTTGAATTTTGTTGCAGGCTTTGATTTCCTTTTCTCTTCAACTAGAATATGAGCTTCTGAAGAAAATATTGTATGTTAAAATTTCCAGTTTATGACACTGTCTCTGGCATAGAGTAGATGCTTAAGTTCTTCTGTTCTTCTTTGCCCCATTGGGCACTTAAGCCTTGTCCAAAACATCTTCACCAACAGTCATCCAGCCTCTATTCTGGACAGGAAACCACAGGACCTTCTGGAAACTTCTTCCTTCTGTCGAGCTGGAAAATCGTCTTGTTAGAGCTTTGACTCTTTTTCTCTCTGTCCTATAGCTTGGGGACATAGGATCAGGAGAGAGATAGTAAGAAGATAAGTAGACAACAAAGCGAAAAGAAGATTGTAGGTTCTAAAATAGTTAAAGATGAGTCAGATAAGTGAAAACTCCAGCCCAGCAAATATACATTTTTCTCTTTAGGTAGCAGTTACAAATTGTGAAAGGAAATCAAAAAAGTGTCTCCCTGTTACTGGGAAATAGCATGCCAGGTAGTAGTAGTCAAAGCTAATGCTGGCTTCTTTGTAGACAATTCAGCAGAAATAGTTTCTTAGAAAAAAAATACTTGGAACAGGATTAGATAGATTGCCCTAAGATCTGGCTTAGAGTACTCTCCTTCAAAAAACCTTCTCCAATTGCATCAATCCCCAACTGATAATTGGTTTTCTATATAGTCTATGAATGCTGATGAGAATAGTTTGGGCCCGATTATTTGATGGTCAGTCAAATATCATATAGTGATTTTAAAAAGTTATTTCTTCTCAATATTGGCTCAGTCACACCATCTAGAATATTCACACACACTGAAAACCAAGATGAATAACCTGTAGTTTTTTTTTATTTGTATGGATTTATTTCCCCCTTTCACATGGTACCCATTGCAATCAGGGTCCTTCTATATATTTGTAAACCCGGACAAATCAAGTACAAACAAGCTCATTAGCTGCAACCACCACCCTGTACACTAAGAAGATCTTCCTGAAAGGTCCTGAGGTCTTCCCTGATCATCGCCCATGTCAGATGCCTCAAGTTATGCAATAAACACACAGCGACATGAAATACAGAGGACTAACGTGCATTTCTTTGTATCTGTGTAGAAGGGAGGCCTGTTGGAAGGTGACAGAGACCATGCAGCATGTGGAAGGTGTCTCCCCAAAAGTGGGGTGGAGTCAAAAGGGGATGAGGAAAGCAGCCTCCTGCAGATTGTGGAAGCCCCAGCAGACTGCAAAGGGCACCGCGTGGGGCAAGGCATCCCTCGTGTGGTGTGTCAGAAATTGGACTGAGGTGAGGAGAGTTTCAACATGGGTGGTCTCCATGGCACAGGAAGTCAGAACTTGAACGGAGAGAGGAGGCCATTTACAAAGGAGAGATGATGGCAGCCACAGCACACATTTAGTTACCTGTAAAGGGACTAATCAAATATGTAAATCTATAAGGATAACAGAACCATGTTTCTCAGTTATTGGATAAGAGAGTTGCAAATATGGAAAGAGAAAACACTAGAACACAAGAACATAAGAATAAACCTTATAATACGGGATTGGAACTAGTGTGAACTCATCGCTTCTCAATATGTATAGACAGGAATTAAAGATATCTGTAAATATATGTGTACTGTGAAAACATATGTGTATGTACAGCTCTGTCCACTGTGATACCTAAGAGTAGTTCCCCCCAAAAGCACCCCAAAAGATCTAGTATCCATATTCTGTTTTCTAAATACCACTGTCCACTAGAAGGAACCAGGACTTTTTGGACATATAGTAGATACAAAGACAGGCAGGAAAAGCCTAGAACCCCTTGTGCCATAAAGTAAGGAAATGCTGAAAGAATGATGGGGACCCTGACAGGAAGGAGAATTTAAGAATTAACAACCCCTCTATTTCCGTATCATCTTTGCACAATGCTTCATCAACATTGAAAGATTATTATTCATAAATAAAACCTTTGAAATAAAAATTGTTTTTATCAGTTACATTCCAGCCTTACATACTGAGACTATGACCCGATTTCTGTAGATTTGCAGATACAAATATACCAATGCCAACCATAGCAGATTAGAAATACAATTTTTAAGTGCTTAGACCTACCTTTTACATATGATTTTTACTGTTTTCCATTCCATCTATCTATTCATTGACCAACTAAGCAAATATGTATTAAGCACCCGCACTCTGTAAAGTATTTTGACAGTGGCCATGAACCATGTAAGCTTCTGGCACAGCAGCCTAGTGAAGTCTACCCTGCTTGGCTTACATTGTTTCGGAGCTGGGTAGACAGTTGGGGAAAATTATTTCAGCCTCTCCCCACAACCAGATTTCAAGATTGAGGCAATAAGAAGGTCAGTAGATGAAATGATTTAGGCACCTAAAACCCTTTAACCCTCCTAAAGCATACCCTGTAAAACTTTCCAAATTAGATGTTATCTCTAAACATGTCAAACATGTCTTTCTTTTTTTAAGATGGAGTCTCAGTCTGTCATCCAGGATGGAGTGCAGTGGCACAATCTTGGCTCACTGCAACCTCTGCCTCCCGAGTTCAAGCGATTCTCCTGCCTCTGCCTCCTGAGTAGCTGGGACTTCAGGTGCACGCCACCACCCCTGGCTAATTTTTTTGTATTTTTAGTAGAGATGAGGTTTCACCATATTGGCTAGGCTGGTCTGAAACTCCTGACCTCGTGATCCGCCCACCTCGGCCTCCCAGAGTGCTAGGATTACAGGCGTGAGCCACCATGCCCAGCCCACGTCAAACATGTCTTATAGCTCCTGTAATCCCTGAAGCACTTTGAGAATGTGAATATTATTCACAAAAGCTGTTTGAACAAATTAAAATGGCCCATGTGCCCATGAGAGTTGGTTTTATTCACTGTTATATTCCTGGTCCTCAAACAGTGCCTGACATATAGTTATGTGTTCCATAAATACCTATTGGATAATATTATTTTGATATCTTAAGTGTGTATATGGAGGTTGTTGGAGGCGTTTCACCAGTAGGTGGTAGTTAGAGTTGCTAAACCTTTACTTCGGCGTTTCAAATGCCTTCTTGTTTTGTGCATTCCCCTGCGGAATCCCTTTGTATTCTATTCTCTCAATGCTGTATCAGGAGGACTGAGGGCAGATGGCTGACATGAGGGCAATGTGCCTCTTTCACCTCCAGGAGGAGCTACGACTTTAGTGAAATTCCTGAGTCATGTGGAGGGAGAAGAGAGGCAGGAGGGAGGAAAGGACTAACGAAGGAATCAAATGCTCTGGTATCAGGGTTTGCTCCTTGTTGTAGTTGAGAGACCATGTGTGGACAACTTGAAGACACTAAAGTCCGTTCCACCTGGACCTGCATCTCTGCAGTCCCTCTGCTCATGCCCTTAGGGCCTCCTGTTATTCTAGTCTGTGTTCAGGTCCTGCATCCTAAGTAGGTGAGATGCTCCCTGGGGGTAGGGGTCGCAGATTATTTCTCTCATGTCCCCTCGAGCACCCACTGAAAGGTGCTCCCTCCCTAGTTGGCATTACCTTACTGGGTCTTAAAATGATGCACAGCTGGCTCCAGGGAAGGGCTCCACTGAGCTAGGTGAGGTGTCCTCCTGGAATTCACTGAGATGAGGGAGGGGAGCTGGAGTGTGCTCATCCTGGGTCCAAGACAGGCATCGGGAAGGCATCTGCCCAAAGGGAAGGGGTCTGTGTGTTAGGGAGGAGGGGAGCCATAAGTAGAAAGAGGAAGGGGAGACCCATTCATTCGTTGTGGGAAGGGCAGGCAGCTGCTAAGAAAAAAGCAACTGTCTAAAGAACCCGCCCTGCACACCTGGCCCTGAGAAGCTAGTCTAAACCCACCTCTTGAGGTGCCAGTGCCAAGCTTGGAAAGGAAAGAGGAAGTGTGAGCTGTAGACACTAATAGTGACACCAACAGGAGCAGAGACTTCCCAAGCAGCCCCTGTCTCAGGGCCAGGGAAGCACACCCAGACGACAAGGACACAGAGCAGGGAGACACAGGGTCCCCCTGCCTGTGCCCCGGGTGACCCTGCCATGGGCTGAAGTCTCCACTGTGGTGTGGTCCATTGTCTCAGGTGAGTCCTGGGCACAGGTGGGACATTTCTGTCCTTAAATTTTTTGCTTTTTTCATGGAACTGCTTCAGAAGACTCTGTCCTAGGCTTAGTCTGAATTTGGCTTCTTATTTTCATAGGCTCCATGGATACTGGAATTACCCAGACACCAAAATACCTGGTCACAGCAATGGGGAGTAAAAGGACAATGAAACGTGAGCATCTGGGACATGATTCTATGTATTGGTACAGACAGAAAGCTAAGAAATCCCTGGAGTTCATGTTTTACTACAACTGTAAGGAATTCATTGAAAACAAGACTGTGCCAAATCACTTCACACCTGAATGCCCTGACAGCTCTCGCTTATACCTTCATGTGGTCGCACTGCAGCAAGAAGACTCAGCTGCGTATCTCTGCACCAGCAGCCAAGACACAGCCCTGCAGAGTCACCGCCTCCCTGTGCACAAACCTCCTGGATCTAATCAGAAAACCGTGGGGGCAATGCATCCAGCTGAGCCTCAGCACTCAGTTCAGCATTCTGTAAGACCTCAGCAGACATCTCAGATCATAATACTGTCATTTATTGGATGTGGCAATGCTAAATTGCCCAGACTCCTGCAGCCTGTGGCCTGAGTTTGTCTTGAATGAGACTGTGCCTGAACTTGAATGTAGGACAGATGCCGTCAAGTTTAAGTTTTTCCAAGTATCTTTCAGTCGGTTTGTGCCTCTGGGAAATGTTGTGTGAGGTATTTAACACTCTGGCCTCACCAATCCACCTTCCAATATGGACTGTTTTTTGACTTTTCTTTTGACTCAAGTTAGACCCTGGATCTCAGCCCTCATCCCAGCTCCAAATATGTATGGTCAGACCTTTTCTTTTCTTTTCCTTTCTTTTTTTTTTTTTTTCTTTTCTTTCCCTCCCTTCCTCCCTCCCTCCCTCCTTTCTCTCTCTCTCTCTCTTTCTTTCTTTCTTTGTTTCTTTGTTTCTTTCTTTCCTTCTTTCTTTTTTGAGACAGAGTCTCACTGTCTGGAGTGCAGTGGCGCGATCTTGGCTCACTTCCACCTCCATCTTCCAGATTCAAGCGATTCTCCTGCCTCAGCCTCCCGGGTAGCTGGAACTACAGGCGCCCAGCACCACGACTGGCTAATTTTTGTATTTTTAGTAGAGACAGGGTTTCACCATGTTGGCCAGGATGGTCTCAATCTCTTAACTTCTTGATTTGCCCCCCTCGGGCTCCCAAAGTGCTGGGATTACAGGCGTGAGCCACCGCGCCCGGCAGGTCCTTTTCTTTTTCTTTCTTTCTTTTTTTTTTGAAAAACTAAAGAATACCCAATCCCCTCCTCAGGTGGCTCTATCACTGCCTCACCCTGAGGACAGTATTTCCCCATGGGGTTTGGATCACTGTTCTCTAGTTCCCTCTCCCTGGGGCATGTGCAGAGTTTCAACTTCTTGTTGGCTGCTCTCTTCCACTCAGGATTTAAAACATTCACACTTGATTATTTTTCCTTCTATCTCTTTAATCCTAATACCAAGTTTTCTTGGCATTCATTATCAGCCGTGGAGTCTGTTGTACCTGAATTGTTACTCACAGCAGGTAATAAGAGAACAAGACCTCCTGGAATTTCTGAGCCAGACTTTGTACTCAGGGTTACCTTGCTGACCCCCATATTTTCCAGCATTGCTCTTATTAATTAATGGCCCTCAGTCCTGCACACACCATCAGATCCCAGGGGCTGAGCACAGCCCTGCATTGTCAGGTTCTGCAACAACACAAAGGCTCCCTCCTCTCTCCTATAGAGGGCGCTCCAGGGATGGTGGGTGTTGCCAGAGACACCAGTAATTCTGCCAGACCTTGCCTGTGGGGCCATGGGAGCTCAAAATGCCCCTCCTTTCCTCCACAGGACCAGATGCCTGAGCTAGGAAAGGCCTCATTCCTGCTGTGATCCTGCCATGGATACCTGGCTCGTATGCTGGGCAATTTTTAGTCTCTTGAAAGCAGGTCGATGCTTAGACTCTAGGAAATTCTTGCTTTGAACTTACCTAAGACAATTCTAAACCATTCTCTTAATCTTCTTCTTTTCTCACAGGACTCACAGAACCTGAAGTCACCCAGACTCCCAGCCATCAGGTCACACAGATGGGACAGGAAGTGATCTTGCACTGTGTCCCCATCTCTAATCACTTATACTTCTATTGGTACAGACAAATCTTGGGGCAGAAAGTCGAGTTTCTGGTTTCCTTTTATAATAATGAAATCTCAGAGAAGTCTGAAATATTCGATGATCAATTCTCAGTTGAAAGGCCTGATGGATCAAATTTCACTCTGAAGATCCGGTCCACAAAGCTGGAGGACTCAGCCATGTACTTCTGTGCCAGCAGTGAAGCCACAGCCTTGCAAAGACAACTCCAGCCTGTGCAAAATCCCTCACAGAGCTGCCTCCCTCCCAGCCGCCAGCTCCCACTTCCTGCCTAAGAAAAGGAAGTCTCTGGTTGGGTTTGTTCTTGCAGCTGTCTCCAAATAGACAGATATCTGAAATTAAATTACCAAAGGTATCTTGGGCAGAAATGACCAGACACTGTAGGATTTGAAGAATGTTTACAGATACTACAGAGTGTGAGTGTGATGGTGGGCTCTGAATATGAGAGAATTGTACACAACCAAGTAACTTATATCTTCTCCTCATTCCCATTTGGCCATCTTTATTAGAATTGTTTTGTTTTAGTTGCTTAGGAAAACATATTTTAACTTCTAGGGTGGCGAGATGATTCCTGAGTGGGAGTTCAGGTATTTCCATGAGAATATAGAGGGTGCTCACAGAAATCTTCAGAAGAAGGGGCTTGGTACAAAGAACTCAATTATCAATGACTCTTGCTCAGCATGTGGTCAAGAGCAGAACTATCTGATGACCCTGTGAACCTGGTGTGATGCATTTGGGCTAATGATGCTAGCTCACAAAATAACAAGTTAAGAGAGTAGAAAACATGGAGTCTAATATTTCACACCATTTCAAGGTCAACAGAGTTCTAGACCAGCATGAGAATCGCCAGAATAAAGCAAGGCAGTGCAGGAACAGAATTCAGCAGCAAAAGTCAAGAGACACCTAGAGGCAGAGGCAGGAATGAATTTGTCACTTTCAACTTAACCTGAAGCAGCCAGATTAACTTCTTGAGTTTCATTTAAGAAATTATTCCTCTTTTAAACATACCTATTGAAGTCTAAATTTTAGGTATTTTATATATTTCAGTTCTGGAATTTCCATTTAAATCTTGCTACAATTTCCAGTTGTTTGCTAAAATTGCACATTTTGTCATTTACTTTGTTGACTATATTAACATCTGTCATTTTAAAGCCAGTTTTTGATAACTTTAACATCTGAATCTGTTTGGGTCTATTTCTTTTGTCTGTTTTCTCTGTTCAGTTTCTGGGCACGTGATTTTGTTTTCTCATACAACTAGTAATTTACTTGAATGCCGGATATTGTATATAAAAACTATAGAGATAATTTGAGGCTCTGAATGATTTCATCTTCCTCAAATGATTCACTTTTGCTTCTGCTGGGATTGTAGCAGGGGCGGATCACCTTAATTGAGCTGATGAATGAGCTGGATCAGACCTGAGCTTCAGCCTGCATGATGGCTGCTCGCCTTTGCTCTTAGCCATGTAAGTTCCAACTAGATGTCTGAAGTTTAACAGCTAAATCAAATTGTAAATTACATAACATAATATTTGCCCATTGCAAGCATGCAATTCAATGAATTTTGATAAAATTGTGGAGTTGTGCAACAATCACCATGATCCAGCTCTAAAACATTTCATCTTTCCCCACCCGGAAAGTTCCTTCGTGCTCATTTTCAGTCAATCCCTGCTTCTACCCCCAGCACCAAGGACTGGGGTCTTTGCCAGGCTCCTCTCCTATTCAGTAGTCACTGAACGTAAATGTTCTCCAGACCAGAAAGGTGGTGGATGCTCCTCAAAGCCTGCTACACTCTCAGTCTTCCCTTTTCTTCTCAGCTACTTAGCCAACGATATAAAACTGGCAAATGACTTAAGGCGAAAGTGGTCTGTTAGATCTCTCCTTTCTCGTTGAGATCCCAATCCCTTAAGTTCTTACTGCCTCAGTAGCTCCAAGTGCCTTCAAACGTTTATTTTTATATTTTGTTAAGTTTTTCTAGTTGTTTTTGGTGGGAGTGTTGTTCTGCAAAAATCAGTCTATTAACTCTGAAAGCCAGTTTCTATATTTATTAAAGGTGAGGTGCAATGTTTTATGTTTTTATTTTAGGTAGAAGTATCTTGAAGAAAGGAAGGAGTGAACCTCTCTGCCTTCCCTTTTTTTTTTCTTTTTGAGACAGATTCTCACTCTGTCACCCAGGCTGGAGTGCAGTGGGGCGATCTCAGCTCACTGTAACCTCTGCCTCCGGGGTTCAAGCGATTCTCCTGCCTCAGCCTCCGGAGTAGCTGGGATTACAGGCGTGCACCACCACACCCAGCTAATTTTTGTATTTTTAGTAGAGATGGGGTTTCACCATGTTGGCCAGGATGGTCTTGGCCTCTTGACCTCATGATTCGCCCGCCTCGGCCTCCCAAAGTGTTGAGATTACAGGCATGAGCCTCCATTCCCGGCCAGATTATCTCTATTTCTAAGAGTTCTATTACCCTTCTGCCTTTGGTCCACCATGGGACAGAGTCTTGACACGTTTGACCTTTTACCACAAGGAGGAGCTGTGACTCTACTGAGATTAAGGGAACTCAGAGGAAGGGCAGAGCATTCTCAGGATGGGAGACAGTTAAAAGAAATATTGGGTTTATTTACAACAGGGGAAAATGTGGTCTGCAGAAGCTGTGTTAATGCTGAAATGTGAGAGGATAAATATAGACTATTCATTTGCCTTGCTGTGCAGGTGCTTTTGATCTAGCAAAGAGCCTAGACTGCCAGATTTGTTGCATGTGAACCTGCATGGGATGAGAAAGGGAGAGAATTTGAGCTGGGAAAGAGCAGAGCTCACAAGCAGATGCCAGTGGAGGAACTCTTCCTGAGAGGAATAAGAGAGGCTCTGGATGCTGGGCCTCTTCTCCAGTTCAATCCTGCCATGAAATGACTTCCTGGAACCTGGGCAGTGAGCCTGACAAATCAGGGCTTCCTTGAGGGATCTTGCAAAGAGAGTAATTACCAAGGGAAATCTACCTATCAGGCCAAAGAATACCTGGAGCACCATTCTCCTGACTCTAAATGATGAAAAACCTAAGCTAGAAAGGGTTTTTTTTTTCTTTTTCCTCTTCTGAATGTTCCTCTAAGTTCTTGGAGTGAGGGCTTCTTCGAAGGATAGGAAACCTGTCTCCTGGGTCTGAGCTAATGGTTCTATCAAAACAGCCTCACCAGACTCCCTTCCAGCTTCCAGCTTCAATATCTATCCCTGTCTACCAAGACCCATGGAAGCTAGACTTGTCCAGATATCAAAAGATGATGCCAAACACCTGGAGATGGGAAAGAAGGTGGCGTGGACAGACCTCCAGGATGCACATCTGAAACAGGCTCTTCATTTTGTTTTGACTACAGCCTCCTGTTTCGCCTTTTCAAAAAGCATTTGGAATTTCCCTTACTTCTTGGAAATCCAAAAATACAGCAAAGATACATTTTCTATAGGCTCTAGTTATTCAGTAGGAGGGAGCTTCAGAATATCTCTATACTCTACTATGCATATTCTAGCATGCTGCCCGGAAGTGAAAGTCTAGCCAAACAGTTTAACAGGAAAACCGTTAGCTGTCCTGTGGAGGTTAATTTTGCAGTTTATTTTGGAATGGAACAAAAGAAGGTATTGAAGATAGGAATCTCATTTCTATATGCTAGAATCTAAATTTCTTAACTTTCTGTAGTATGGGCCATTTTCAAATCAGCTAAAGTCCTAAAACCAGACTATGGGAAACACACACTTCTAAGCTCAATATTAAATATCTAAAGTGACTAACTAACGTAGGGTTGGAGAGGCAGGGTCCCCCTGGACTTTTCAAACTGCTACCCTCACAAAAAATCTAGAACTTCTTCTCAGTAACAAAAATAAGATGACGTATAATCATTTTTCATTGTTAATAAATAATCTCTATCCATCATGGCATTGCATTGAATTTGTGTTAATTGTTGCTAAAAAATGACTGTGGGTTAAACATTTGTGATTCATATAATAATAGAAATAATAAATGTAAATGTTTTAAGTGAACAAGCGAGATTTTAATAGCTCAACAGGCAAATAGCATGAACTGATGCTCTGCAAAGGTGAGGGACACCTGGCCTGAGACAGGATGTCTTATCTGATTTTGGTCTGAATTTGATTTGGAAAACTGGCAGCTGCTGGTCAACCTGCAGGGATATGATCCCATGAGCTGATATGCAATGTTGACTTTTGTATTTTTGTCAGCATGAAATAATTTTTTTTTTTAAATCAGGGTCAGAGTCTCGAGTAACTAGCAGCCAGCTGATAGAATGGAAGTGAAACCATGGCCCTCGTCCCCTTGCAAACCTGGAAACCCAGTGTTGAGCATGTGTGAAGAGAGAAACAGAATCAGGTGAAATGAAATCTTCCTAAGACCCTGCTCAGGAAACTAAATTTGACGTAATTGGACACAAGAAGTTGTTCATCCATTCTATTCCGCCAGAGGAGACAGGACAGATTTCCCGTGCGTTCTTGGGGAGCTGGAAGAGGGAGACAGCTCTGCCAGGTGGAGTGATATTCTCATGAGAAGTGAAAAAGAAGAGGCAGAGATGGAGAGTTTGGTTCTAGAAGGGTGGAAGGTTTTGCTTATAAACATATCAACACACTTGCTTTTCCCGCCAAGACGCAAACTTTGGGGAATTGCTCAAATATAAGATGGGGTTTAAATATTGGACAGCCAAAAATATGACCCATGTTCAAAATATGCATCCTGGTATCATTCAGTTCGACGTGTTCTAGTTCTTCTGCAGCTTTCTGTCTCATTCCTTTTGCCCCTACAACTCTCCACCTTTTTGTGGATTAAGTTATCTCCATGATAAAATTATTATGTTGTCTTCCCTCTTTGACTTTCTTGTCGGCAGCCTGGCTCTTCCCAGGGATCCCAGCGTCTATCCTCTCTCCTTTCTGTAGCTTTTTTCCGCTTCTCCAGTATGGCGGGCCCTGTCAGAAAATACGTACATAATCAATTTATTTGTCCTTCTTATCCTTTGGACAATTCTTTTGTTTGTTTGTTTGTTTGTTTGTTTTTGGTTGAGACCAAGTCTCGCTCTGTAGTCCAGGCTGGAGTGCAGAGGCAGGATCTCGGCTCACTGCAAGCTCCGCCTCCCGGCTTCAGGCCTGCCTCCGCCTTCCTAGTAGCTGGGACTACAGGCGCCCGCTCCACGCCCAGCTAATTTTTTTTTTTTTGTATTTTTAGTAGAGACGGGTTTCCCCGTTTTAGCCAGGATGGTCTCGATCTCCTGACCTCGTGATCCGCCCACCTTGGCCTCCCAAAGTGTTGGGTTTACAGGCGTGAGCCACTGCACCCGGTCTAGACAATTCTTGATGGACAATCAAACACTTTTGCTTTTCATATCTCCTGTAAAACACAAAACAAAACAACAACCAGAACTAACATTGCCTCATATGAGGCGAGTTTCTTTCTATCAGTTTCATTCCAGTGCCTCTCCCAGACGCTGTCCGTCTGATTTGGTAAAAACTCTTGCGTAAAATAGTGAAATACATATTTATTTAAAGTCTACTCTTTAAGAATGGTTACATCTTTACATAGTTATGATCATCACCATTGAATGTAGCCTCTTGTCATTTCACTATCTTCCCTCCCCACCCGTTCCTTCTTTGAAAAGGTTCCCATGTCAGCTGTGTGGTGCAATGTGGTAGGTACTGAATAAGACCCACAACTACGGGGGTACCTGGTTATGTTCACAGAATTGTAGAGCTAGACAGAGTGTTGAAAATTATTTATTTCTGCCCATTGTTTCATAGATCAGGAAATGGGATGCTTTAAAAAAAGTATTTAAATGTAAATAGTAACTATTTTGCTGGCCTCCATGTAATATGTATTTCATATTCTTAGTCTACAAGTAATGTGTGAATGTGTTTTTGCTCCTATTGGATTATAAGCATCATGAGAGTGAGAATATTGTTTACTCATGCTTTGCACTAAGTAGCCATTCAGTGACTATAAACAAATAAAGCATGCTTGAAGTTCCAAGAAGGATGGTGGTCATTTTTCTTTTGTTTAGTTCAAGTTCTGTGTTTAGTAAATCACAAATGAACCATCAAGGTCTGTCTTTGCAGGGGATTCACCAGTAGATGACAACACTACCAAAGTGTGTGTGTGTGTGTGTGTGTGTGTGTGTGTGTGATACCTTTCTGGCAGTGCTGGTCTCTGGTTTTCCTCCTGGAGGTTCCTGCCCTGGGGCCATTGACTGAGGCACTGAGGTCTGAGTGCTGGACCTTGCTGACCAGAGCAGGAGGAGCTGCAGCCCTGCCACACCCCCGAGGTTGGGTGGTTGATGGCTGGCAGAGGAGAGGAGTACCATGGGCAAGAATAAAGGGGACTGTGGTCCTCAACATTAGATAATTCACAAAACGCGAAGGCATTTTCTGTCGTCACATTGCCATCAGGTGGGTAGGGCCCAAGGATGCCGCCAAGCATCCTCCCTACACAGGACAGCTCCCCACAACAAACAATCACCTGATCCAACATGGCAGTAGTGCTGAAATTGAGAAACCCCGCAATAAGCTTCGGTTGTAAACTTTGTACCAAGAAGGAGAATTCTCTGCAGACAACTCAAGGGGCAATACCGTCAACTACTTTTGTTTTCTCTGACTGCCGTGTTGTTGACCTTCATCGCCATTCTTTCCCAGCACATGGTGTCTGCATATTTTCCAGCAGCCTCCTGTTTCCTCATAAATCTGCCCCTTGGACAGATAAGAACATCACAGGGAGCAGGGCTGCAGTTCACTCCCAATAATAACGCCTCAGCAGGGTTTGCTCTGCAGTAGCATCACAGTCATGTGGAGTAGGTGGCTATGGCTGGTATTCAGGTGAAATCTCAGGCCAATCTCTCCTGAATCAAGGGGACCACTGATCATTAATGAGACCTTCAAGTGAGCAAAGATTCAAGAGAGCAAATTAATGTCCTGCGCTATTGTGAAGGGACGCAAAGGATCCAGAGAGGAAACCAGCTGACTCTGAGAGAAGGGCCTGAAAAGGAGAGGAAGGGAGGAGGTGGTCAGATCCCCGGGAAGGAGCAGGGAGGGAGGGGGCTGCTGGCCCAGGAATGACTGTCAGAGACACATCCTGGAGGTCACAATTCCACCCTCTCAATTATTCCCAGAAATTCCAAAAACTCCTTTAAAGGAGCAAGTGCAGGGCATGAAAGGGAGGAGCCATGCTAGAGGAGACCCTGGGAATGGGGGAATGATTACAGGCTGTGACCTCACTGGCGCAGCACCTCTCAGCGGCAGTGGAAACCACAGCCTAGTCCTCTCACCACTGCAGACCAGAATCCTGCCCTGGGCCTTGCCTGGTCTGCCTCACTCTGCCATGGGCTGCAGGCTCCTCTGCTGTGTGGTCTTCTGCCTCCTCCAAGCAGGTGAGTCCCGGGCCCAGGTGACATGATCCTATTGGAGTCCCTAAGCCTTTTCACCATGACAACAACAGCAGGCCGTCTCCTAGGATTTGCCTGAATTCTGCTTCTTTCCTTTGCAGGTCCCTTGGACACAGCTGTTTCCCAGACTCCAAAATACCTGGTCACACAGATGGGAAACGACAAGTCCATTAAATGTGAACAAAATCTGGGCCATGATACTATGTATTGGTATAAACAGGACTCTAAGAAATTTCTGAAGATAATGTTTAGCTACAATAATAAGGAGCTCATTATAAATGAAACAGTTCCAAATCGCTTCTCACCTAAATCTCCAGACAAAGCTCACTTAAATCTTCACATCAATTCCCTGGAGCTTGGTGACTCTGCTGTGTATTTCTGTGCCAGCAGCCAAGACACAGCCCTGCAAAGTCACTGCATCCCTGTGCACAAACCTCCCGGCTCAGCCAGGAAGCTGCAGGGCAGCGTGTGCACCTGCACCCAGGGCTCCAGTCTCCATTCCCTGATGGCCTCTGATGGAGTTTCAGTCTGTAGTACAGCCAGCTAGTGCACCCAGTGGAGAAGTCCTCCATCTTATGCACACAAAAGTCTCACAGAATTGTTTATCAGCTAGAGCAGGGCTTCACAACAAAGCCACTAAAGTATTAGGGCTCCACAAACAAAAAAGAGCCTGTCCTATGCACTGATGATCTTAACTGATGGGGGAAGCTCTTTCTTTTCTTTCTGTGTGGCACATATTGGTACGTATTTTATATAACATTATGAAAAAAACACGATTGCTGAAAATGGTTGATGAGCACAAGCATAAAGGAGGGGGAAGGAAATATTTCCAAGATCAAGAGACAATTCTGATGATCAGTGAGTACTTTATTCAACAGAAAAATATTTGGAGAGGCATGAAATTCCATGGCAATAGGTAAACTGGAAAGTGTTGAGGAGATGCCGGTGGAGGTAGCCTTGTGCGTTGTGGGCTCCTTCTCTTCAAGAAGGGTGACCAGCAAGTGTCTCTCCCAATTCTGATGAATATCATCTTGAACTGTCCTCAACAGCAGGCAATAGCCAGATGACTGGGGATATTGGGAGACCTGAAAGGACTTTGGACACAAATCTCTAGGCAGTGGTGAGCCATTGGTCCTACTCCAAGTGAAACAACATGATGAAACTGATATTTTGGTAGAGGAACACTGGTAGTAGTATGGATCAGAAAGGAGATAGATTTTTGGGTGGCATGAATGATTAGGAGACTTCTAAATATCCTACATGAAAGATTAGAAAGGGTTGATGTGAAGCATTGTGGACAATATAGGCTTGAGGCTCTGCATTATGTTATTTCTTGGAAATGTATTGGGTTTTATTCTGGGAGGGTTGAATGTAGGACTTGCTAGGGTCTATTTCAGCCTTGCCCTCCCTCTTAGGGAGCCCCAGCATGTGGTCATCATTGCTAGTGCATGGCCTTTCCAGGGTCTTAGTGGGAATCACAGTCACCCACCACGACTCTCCACTCTCACTGGGTCTGAATGCCATTGCCTTCCTGCCCTGGGTATCCTCTGAAATCCCTGCCCGTGTCTACAGCCTTCCAGAGTTTGTTCTCTGCTGGGCCTTCGGGAGTGCCACCCTCTGCATACACAACTTAGGACCTGGCCCAGAAAGAAAAATAAAAAATGAAAAAAGATTTTCTTACACAGGTTCTCAGGGCTCCTTGGTAGTACTCTGTGTCCTAAATCCCAGCTGTCTTGGAGTCAGTTATGTCCTCTTATCTTCAATCACATATACTACTTCTATTTTATATAAATATGTTTACTTAGCTTTTCTTCATATTTACCATTCCACTCTTCACTCTTCTTGCAATTCACATGGTCCTGAGATCATTTTCCTTCTTAGATCCATCCCTAATTCAGACCACTTGAACTCGCTGGTCACCACCCCTTGTTGTGGGAAATGCTTATGTTAGCTGTTGTCCTCAGGACAATTAAACCTTTCGCTTTCACCATTATTCAAGTTTTCAGTTTAAATTCTATTGCTTTTTTTAAATTGTCTTTGCAATTTGGTTTACTTATTGAGAGCCAAACAATGCAATAAAATTTTATTCGTTCAAATTTGTTGTACTTTGTAGAAGGGCCAAAGTGTTTTCTTGCTGAAGTAGATACCAATGGAAACAATTTTAATGGTAATAATACTAGTGTTTAAAATAAGGCTAATTTTAGGTTTTTATCTAGTGAATAGAATATCTCCAACTGTAGCAGGATAGAGATCGATCCTATATGTAACCTGTTGAGGGGGAGAATACTCAACCCCATTAAATTCTAATCTACATGCTTTACATTTTTTGTTTGTTTGTTTTATGGGCCACATTGAAAATCTGATGAAATTTTTGCATTAGAAGAATGCTACAATTTTCCTCCTGACTGAGAACATCCCCAGGTTAAAACAAATCTAAATTATAAATCCTTGACTTAAATCATGGATAAGTATCTTCCCTCAGCCCCATGTAGATTTACATATAACATAGATTTACGACCCTAATCTCATGCCTACAATTATAATTATCATCATGAAAAGGTAACACTGATGTAATACAACAATAAATAGATGGTAAAAATCACTTTGAAAGTATGAATCATCTCATTTTTGTGTTTATTTGTGTTCATTTGTATCTCCAAATGCTCTAGAATGAAAAGCCAATATTGGCATAAAAGTACCTTTTAAGAAAATTGATGATATTCCAATTCTTAACTGGTCACAAAGCATAAATAGCTTATGCAGTGAAGTACAGAAGACCCATAGGAAGTCATCCAGCTGGTTCCTAGTTGGAAAGTTCTCCACAGAACTGATGAACTAATGTGGTTTCTAACATCTTAGAAATGGCAGGGCTTTAGAGATCATCTCATTTCAGTTCTCCTGATTTAATATATGAGGAAATATGGCATCACATATATGAAGTGATTGAACAATGACATACTGATTACATTTCTCAAACTTTATGTAAGATATATTTTTATTCTCTAGTTGTTTTCTGAATATGTTGAATTGCCTTACACAAATAGAATTCTGGGGGTGAAAATGTTGGTGATTTTCTGCTTGCTCCTAGCTGTTGCTCAAGGAGTATTTGTTGAACAAGTCAGACTGGCCCAAGAACTCAAGAGGGCTGGGATACTGTCTGTTCTGCACATTACTAGAGATCCAGGCATAGACAATTTTCTGTTCTTTTTTCTTTTCTTTATTTCATTTCATTTCATTTCTTTTCCTTTTTTTTTTTTCTTTTGAGGGGTGTGGTGGGAGCAGGGTCTTGCTCTGTCTGGAGTGCATTGACACAATCATGGCTCACTACAGCCTTGACTTCCATGGCTCAAGCAATCCTCCCACTTCAGCCTCTTGAATAGCTGGGACTACACACAGGCACCACTACATTCCGCTAATTTTTGTAGAGATAAGGTGTTGCCATGGTGCCCAGACACAGACATAGACTATTTCTGTTGAGTAAAAATTTAGAATGTCTTATGTGTGTGGATACCTGGCGTTCTGGCTGCTGACTCTCTGTGTTGTTGCCAACACCTCCTTCGTCTTCATTCTCCCCTGGCCTTTCAAACCCTTCTCTGCTGCTCAGGGTTGTGAGATGTGGAACCCATCTGGATGCTGACACTGGGTCGGTGAGTGGCCAAATACTGTTTTGGCCACAGGCAGGAGCTGTGCTCTGGTGAAACCTCTAAGGCAGGGACCTGGGGAAGGGATAGAGAATAAGAGGAGAGATGGGCCAGGAGGGATCTTGCCCATGGGGAGCCAACCGTGCCTCAACTGAGAGCATGGCTGTACTCAGCCCAAGCACACTAACATCAGCTTCAAGCTGATTTCCCTTTCCTTTGCTCCACACACCTTGTGTTGTTCTTTTTCAGCATCCTGTGTATGTTAGCTCTAAGCCCAGCCAAGCCCCATGCCCTCCACTTCAGGGACAGAGGGTGGCTCATCCCTTTTGTGCTCCCTCAGCTCCCTCCCCAGTGCCTGGTGGCTGGTTGGCAACACAGTCATGCCCTTGAATGATGGGAGCTGGTGCACACTGCATCCGTGTTCATGCAGTCACCCTCCCTCCACAGAGCCGGGCAGAAAGGGCTCCACCACACTTAGACATTGAGGGAAGGGACGTTTTGAATGGCACTGTTTTATGTGATCCCGCAGGACAGAAGGAGATTTCTTGAATGGGAGTGGTCTGTTGTTGAGAGGGATCCTGAAAGACAGGGAGACAAAGATAGAGGGAGGATCCACATAATTAGGAAGCAGCTGAGAGCAAAGGAGCCCCTGCCAGAGGAATATCCTTGAGGGGTAAAAAGCCGGCTCTGCCCTTTCTCCCCAGCCGATTCATCCTAGCCCAGCAAATTCAAATCTACCTTCTATCAGAACTTAGAAAGGATGTAAAGCAGTCAGGAAGAAACATCCCCTGGGTCTGGGGAAACTATCAGGAGCAGTGACATCACAAGAAAAACCACCAACCAGGGCCAAGGAGACCAGAGCCCAGCACCTCGCCCAAAGGACCCCAGTCAGAGGCCCCATCTCAGACCCGAGGCTAGCATGGGCTGCAGGCTGCTCTGCTGTGCGGTTCTCTGTCTCCTGGGAGCAGGTGAGTTAGGTTGAAATTGTCTGTCCTTGGACTCCAACCCTTTTCCTTGTGGCTGCAGGAACAACCCTCTTCCTGGGCTCTGCCTGAATTTTGTCCCTTTCCTCCTACAGTTCCCATAGACACTGAAGTTACCCAGACACCAAAACACCTGGTCATGGGAATGACAAATAAGAAGTCTTTGAAATGTGAACAACATATGGGGCACAGGGCTATGTATTGGTACAAGCAGAAAGCTAAGAAGCCACCGGAGCTCATGTTTGTCTACAGCTATGAGAAACTCTCTATAAATGAAAGTGTGCGAAGTCGCTTCTCACCTGAATGCCCCAACAGCTCTCTCTTAAACCTTCACCTACACGCCCTGCAGCCAGAAGACTCAGCCCTGTATCTCTGCGCCAGCAGCCAAGACACAGCCTTGCAGAGTCACCGCTTTCCTGTGCAGAAACCTTCGGGGCCTGCCAGGAAGCCGTGGGGGCCACGGAGGGCTCGGGTGAACATTTCCTCCAAGAGCCCCGAAGAAGCTTCAGAACATCATAGCACCTGCTAATTCATCCATGTGGCAACTTTACATCCTATGACATATTTAGAGTGTGGGTTTCCTTTTGCCTGAGTGTGACTCTGCCCCGTCAACTGATTTGAAAAAAGAGAAACATATTCAGATCTAGTTTAAAAAAAAAAAATTTTTTAATCATGAAATAGGCCGGGCATGGCGGCTCATGCTTGTAATCCCAGCACTTTGGGAGGCCAAGACGAGCGGATCATGAGGTCAGGAGTTTGAGACCAGCCTGGCCAACATGGTGAAACCCCGTCTCTACTAAAAATACAAAAATCAGCTGGGTGTGGTGGCATATGCCTGTAATCCCAGCTACTCAGGAGGCAGGAGAATCACTTGAACTCGGGAGGTGGAGGTTGCGGTGAGCCGAGACCGTGACATTGCACTCCAGCCTGGGCGACAGAGTGAGATTCTGTCTCAAAAAAAAAAAAAAATTCCTGAAATAAAGCAAGCATGCTGTAAGGATTGTGTAGCTTAAAATTTTATAAGAACCCTCTAAACAATCACCTGTGTCACCACAGAGGCACACCCTGCACTGGGTCAGACACTGTCCTGTGAGGAGCTGTGTTCTCCTGACACTTCATGTCCAGTGGTTTCCATGACTCTTCTTTGGGGCCAAGGGTTCCCTTTCATCATAGGTTGTTGTCATGCAGAGTCAAGCAACACTGAGCACTGGGAAATCAGAGAAGGAACTTCCAGGCAAGGGTCCCAGTGCAGAAGCCAGCTAGAGAGGACAGTAGTAGACTCACCCTTTGGGAAATATGTTTGAGAAATATGTATCTATTTTCACCAGTTCTATTACTCTATATTCCAGCTTGTCTATTCTCTAATTTCTCATTTGTACACTGAAAGCTAGACTGTGAATTCTAGCCCTGATCAAAGCTCCACATATACACAGACACCTTCTCTGAACCCTGCAGGCAGCAAACTTGCCTCTGTCTGCTCCCCTTGCTGCAGAGTCCATGGATCATGGTCTAGAAGTTTCCTGACTCATCCACTCTCCTTCTCTTGGCTGGAAGCCTCCTTGTTGGTTTCAGATCTCAGCGCCTCCCTGGATTGCCTCTCCAGACTGACACTTGAAGGATTATTTTTCCCCCTTTGGTCTCTTTATTCCCAATGTGTTCAATCATCAGGCTCAGAGCCTGATGCCTCCAGAGCGCAGCTCTACATTAGCTTTTAGAGAGGAGAGTGGGTCCTGGCTGTTCTGTTTATCTGTTTTCATTCACTAATTCATTCATTCATTTATTATAGAGACAAAAGATTCCCTATCCCAAGATATATGGTCATCTGTGCTGTATCAAAAGAGAAGATATTCTTCTCACAGTTTTATGAAATGAGGTAGCTTCGCAACTTGCGGGGAGCAGCCTCTTAAGTTAGTTGTCAAAATTAGGCTTTTGCCTAAGTAAAGTTAGGATCCTAAATTAGGCTCCTACTCTCCCACAAAAACTGGGAGACAGGGCCTCTATCTTCCTTGACGATTGTATCTCAAAAAGATGGTTCCTAGAGTCTTGGGAAAGACACTCCTGGGTCATAAAGCTGGCTAGAGGTTTACAGAGATTTTAATAGGATTGTCAAAAAGCCTTTTCTGTGTTTATTGAGATGATCATCTGGGTTTGTTTTTAGTTCTGTCTATGTGGTGAATCACATTTGTTGATTTGTGTATGTTGAACCAACCTTGCATCCCAGGAATGAAGCCTACTTGATTGCAGTAGATAAACTTTCTGATGTGCTGCTGGATACAGCTTGCCAGTATTTTGTTAAAAATTTTTGCATCGAATTAAATAATTTTTAAATAAGGTGACTTACATTAATTGCTTTTTAAATATAAAACCAATTATGCATTCCTGGGGCAAATCTCATCTACTGATTAGATATTAACCTTTTTATACATTGTGAGTTAAATTTACTTTATTTTTGTTAAGGATTTTTGCTTCTATGTTAATATTAGTACTATTTATTCTTCACAATTTGTAAATTGATAAACTTGCTCAATTTCATCAATAAAGTAAGCTGGGCCTGGAGTTTTCTTTCTGGAAATGCTTTTAATTATTATGAGTTCAATTTTTAAAACCACTTCTACATGTATTTTTTAATATCCCTATGGACATTCAAGTTATCCACTTTTTGAGTGGGTAATTGTGTTTTTTGGGGAATTTGTTTATTTTGTCTGCTTTTGAATTTATTGGCATAATATTAATCTTTCATTGGAGTTCTAATTTGCATTTCTCTAAGGATTAATGATGTTGAGGACATTTTAATGTTTTTATTACCATTTGCAGATATGTCTTTTTCATATACCTATTAATGCTTTTGCCCAGTTTTAAAGGTTAAATTATATATCTTTTATATTGATTTATAGGAATCCTTTATAAAATATAAAGGATTTTTATATTATATAGAATCCTTTATATAATCTGGATACAATATTCTAGTCTGATATATGTATTGTGAAACTTTTTCCTCAGTCTGAAAATTTTCCTTTCCACTTTCTTGGTAGTACCTGGGCACAACCCCTATGAAATGAGAGTACCCTTCTGTCTCCTTTAATTTTGTCTCTCTACCTTCACCCTTATCAGTATTTGGCAGGCAATTAATTCAGTCAGATTGAGAGAGTGCAAAGGCTTCTAGCTAGCCCTCACAACACTGGCTTGGGTACACCTCTAATCTCCAATCACACGAAACAATTTGCCAGCCCAGAAGCTACCCCTGCTATGTATTCTACCATGAGTAGACCTTAAATGTGCACCTCCCACTCTCTCCATAGTACATATGGTAGAATGGTGATGGATCCTTCTTTTGGCAGACTTTCCACAATGCATGGAGCTATGCCTATCCAAGCACATCTCTGCATGGACAAAGGAAGGGGTGGATAATTGAGTCAGTGTTTCTGCTTCTTGCTTGTGAGTTTTCCCCAGTAAATCTTGTTTTATGTGTATATTGCACAGGGCTAGTGCTGTCTACATGTCCCTTCATATGATGGTGCTCTCACAGAATTCTGAGGCTGGAAGGAACAAACAAAAGTTCTCATAAAGAGAAATTTAATCACCTCTAGAAAGAAGTCCGTGCTTAATGGCTTTGGAGTTTCTGTGAAGAAAGGGTTTCCTCCTGCCTTAGAAGGTGGGCAAAGTGAGCAACATCTTCACCAAGTCAGGAACACTTGATTTCAGCCAGAGGCAGAAGTGGGGTTCTATGATAATGCCCGATTGTGGTTACAGAGGGACTACATGAGCAAGGCCATGGAGGTGAAAATGGATTCATTTGGGCTGAAATCCTGTAAATGAAGTAAGCGGGAAAACCCAGCGCACATTCCAATGGAAGATGCAGCTTCCTAATATTGTGCTTTCAACTTAGATTCTGTCATCTGTAATTACTCCACACACTTTCTCAAATCATTAGCACAACTGTGGGCCAGGTAATCATTTAGCCCCTTTGCTTGGTACAAGGTAGCCATGCTCTCTACTTAGCTCCCTATTTTTCTCTGGGAAGCTTTTGCTGAGACCTGCAGTGACCATGCTTCTCAGACTTCTCTCTTTCTTATTGTCATTTCCATTTATATTTTAACTTTAATTGTAGTTTATTTGATTAACATCTGACATGTTTATGTTTCTCTTTTGCTTATTTGACCTCACTTAATGATAACCCAGGTAACTGGTCAGCTGCTGCTAATCAAGTTATATTTTCTGGGGTTACATTGGTTATTTTTTCCTCTAAAGTTTCTATCTGTGTAAGAATTGAGGTAGCAGAACCTTCTCTCTCTTTTTTTTTTTTTTTTTTTTTTTTTTTTTTGAGACAGAGTCTTGCTCTGTTGCCCAGGCTGGAGTGCAGTGGTGCGATCTCGACTCACTGCAAGCTTCGCCTCCCGGGTTCACACAATTCTCCTGCCTCAGCCTCCTGAGTAGCTGGGAACCTTCTCTTTTTTGGAAACAGGGTCTCACTCTGTCACCCAAGCTGGAGTACAGTGATGCAATCATGGCTCACTGCAGCCTCAACCTCTGAGATTCAAGCAATCCTCCCACCTCAGCCTCCCAAGTAGCTGTGACTACAGGCACACACCACCACCACTGGCTAACTTTTTTGTTTACATTTTTGGTAGAGATGAGGTCTTGCTATGTTGCCAGGTTTCTCTCAAACTCTTGAGCTCTGGTGATCCTCCCGCCTTTACCTCCCAAAGTTCTGAGAATACAGGTATGAGCCACCGCGCTTAGCTCCTCCTATTGATTTCTGAAATTTAAATGGAGATCAGACTGTCTCCACGCAAGGAGGAAGTCAGACAGGGCAGAGCTTAACCAATGTCCACGGTTTGTTTTCTCACTGCAGTCTTGGACTTACCACTCATCTCTTCATTCTCTGGCTCAAAATAGCTTCAGTCTTCCCAGAAGATTCTCATGATTTTCAGTTTGTTTCTGGTTTCTTAGTTATTTCTTGTCTCATCAGGCTCCCCTGAGGAAGGAGCCAGGAGATGCTACAAGTCTGCAATTTTAGGGGGAGTCAGATGGAGTGCACTGGTCTTTTGCACTTCTTTATAATATTATCTAAGCCTCCTCTTCTTTGAAATATAATGGCTATTCATCATGGGATATGAGGCATCTCAGAAGCAATCTAAATATCTGTTTGTTTCTTTTTCTAGTAAAGAATTGACCAGTATTCTAGCAATTTTATTTTAGGTATTCCTTTAAAAGTAAAAAATACATAGTTTTTCTTAACGTGACTTCTATTGATAGTTTATATTTTTATGATTTTGTGTAGTAGCTTTACCTTCCCTAGGATCAGAAACCACATCAGATAATCAGCTTCTATTATGAAAGAAGCTGATTCTTCTATTTGGAGAGTGAGGTATGCAGAAAATCCATAAAAGGTATTAAGTTATAGAACACCACCATCTGATCCACCATCTGATCTTGAGAGAATTTTAACTGGTTTATATCCATGAATACTCCCTCAGTAGGGTATTTTTGTTCTCTGGATGGCATCTTGGAAGAGGTACTGGTCATTGATCATATCTCACTGGCACATTGGCTAGTGACCGCTAATGTCACATGCAGCTGGATTGGAATCTCTTCTCATTGCTTTCTCATGGGGTCATTTGCCTTTGGACTTAAAAATCAAGAAATTTCATAATGACAATATCTAGATTTACTGTATATATGTAACTATTCTTAAAATTTGATAACAGATATGTCAAATGTAGATATTTAAAGAAATTTGGATTGGAAATACACTAAATCAGAAGTAGCAAGTGAAGGATAGCGGTTCTGTAATGGAATCTTTCTCAGATTCTGTTTTCCCTAGTCTCATGTTTCTTTTTTAAACCCAGTCTGGCCTCTCCTTCTTAGCTTACTAAGTATAGAACCACAAATAGAAACTTAGAAATTTAATCATTTTCTGCACATATCTTTACTCATATATGGGAAAATGGGCAAGAGGATATTGTCAGTGAACTCAGGCAAAAAGAGGATTTCTAAAAGAGAGAGTATAGATGGGAAAGAAACAAATTCCCCAGCAGCATGGGAACAGTGGGTACTGTTTTGTTTATTTTTGGATAAGCTGATTAGTTGGCATGTAGCACAGAGTGGTCTGAAAGGTCTTCTTGGAGCAAGCTGGCTGGAGTCATCACAGAAAAAAGAATAAATCATCCACAAATCCCTGAGAGTCTGCCTGCCGCAAGGGAGATGGGATGACTTGATGTGATTCTGGCACAGTTCTTCCTGCAGCACACCTACCTGAGCTAGGCCAGGTTTGCATCATCTCCTTCATCAGCATTTTCTCAAAGGCAACATTTCTTTTCTATCACTTTTTTCCCTTTTACAGTGCAAAAAGTGATCTTGAAGAACATAAATTTTAAAATGTGGGGGTTTCTTTTAGTTCCCCTAGAGAAACAGTATAATAGTCAAGATGGTGAAATTGTTCCTAATTTAAATATGTCCCATGTCTCTTGCACCATGTTAGAAAGGCTGTATCCATCAGCTCAGACAGCCACAGCAAATAGCACAGACTGCATGGGTTAAATACAAATCTTTTTTTTTCACAACTCCAGAGCATGAAATGGGGATGCCAGCATGTGGGGCTCTGGTGAGGGCCCTCCTCTTGGCTTGCAGAGCACCCTCTTCCAGTTGAATCCTCACATGGTGGAGAGAGAACAAGCTAGCCATCAAGTGTCTCATCTCAGAGGGCATTAATCATACTGGATCAGGGCTCCACTTTTATAAACTCATGTAAACATAATTTTCTCTATAAAGACCCTATTGTCAAATATTGTCTCCCTGGGGGTTGTATTTTGGAGGGACATCAATATTCAGTCCACTAACAATGGCAAAATCTTGGTTACTGCGCAGTGGGCCACATGGGGGTGCTGTGGAACCACTGAGCTCCAAATGTCTCTGGGGCATGCACAGAGCCAGGAGCCTGGGACAGGGAGGGTTAAGGAGCAGCCTTGCTTGATGTTTGTGCTCACTAAAAAATGTGATGACGGATACATAAAACTGCAGGTGTGCCTCTCATCAGGGAGCCATGCACTTCAGCTATGCCTGGGTTAGGAAGCCTCTGTGAGCCGAAGAGGGAGAATGAAGATGGGATGTCCCATGCTGGGATGGGACAACCTGCATGTCCAGGGCAGGGACAGATAGAGGAACAACTGCCTGGAAGGAAAAGCAAAGGAACTGTGGGGGGGACATGCAGCCTAACCTCAGTCCAGCCCCACATGGTATGTGAGAGTATTAACAGCACAAAGCAGAGGTCCTGGATCGGGTAAGCCAGGGGCCTAACAAGGAAGGCAGGATGCATGGGAACCCGCAGAGATGACATCAGAGTAGTGATATCACAGCCTAACATCCGATCAGAGATGCAATGCCCAAAACCCCAGCTCTCAGAGGACCAGTATCCCTCACAGGGTGACACCTGACCAGCTCTGTCCCACCTGGCCATGGGCTCCAGGTACCTCTGATGGGAAGACCTTTGTCTCTTGGGAACAAGTGAATCCTTGGCACAGGTGGGATGTCTCTGAAGCACGCCTCATCCAAGGCACCCTCAGGCTCCCTCCTGTGTTCTTGCCCTAGCCTCTGTCTCCCTCCCTCACAGGCCCAGTGGATTCTGCTGTGCAGAACAGAGAGCAGTGGACCTCAGGAGGCCTGCAAGGGGAGGACATAGGACAGTGACATCACAGTATGCCCCTCCCACCAGGAAAAGCAAGGCTGAGAATTTAGCTCTTTCCCAGGAGGACCAAGCCCTGAGCACAGACACAGTGCTGCCTGCCCCTTTGTGCCATGGGCTCCAGGCTGCTCTGTTGGGTGCTGCTTTGTCTCCTGGGAGCAGGTGAGTCCCTGCAGACAGGATAGCGCCCCATTCTGAGCCTGTCCTCACCCCTGTGTCTTCCACTTTACCATGGGGAGGCACCACCAGGCTGTCTCCGGTGCTCATTCTCCATCTGCTTTTCCCACAGGCCCAGTAAAGGCTGGAGTCACTCAAACTCCAAGATATCTGATCAAAACGAGAGGACAGCAAGTGACACTGAGCTGCTCCCCTATCTCTGGGCATAGGAGTGTATCCTGGTACCAACAGACCCCAGGACAGGGCCTTCAGTTCCTCTTTGAATACTTCAGTGAGACACAGAGAAACAAAGGAAACTTCCCTGGTCGATTCTCAGGGCGCCAGTTCTCTAACTCTCGCTCTGAGATGAATGTGAGCACCTTGGAGCTGGGGGACTCGGCCCTTTATCTTTGCGCCAGCAGCTTGGCACAGCCCTACAAAGCCAACCACATTCTGTGCACAAACCTCCCTGGCCCAATGTGGAGCAACCTCAGCCCTGACATATCTGTGAGAACCTGGGGACTGCAGGGAGAAAGAAAGGCAATTTAGAATGCTAGGATCCACAGCCTGGGGCTTTCTGCAACTCAGGGCTGGGGAAAACAAGGCCAAGAGAGCCTGCTCAGAGGATGGTGCTGCTTCCGTAGGTTGACTGCAGCATTACCTTCTTTGCCGACACTGTAAACTACAGGAGTAGAGGAAATGTGTGTAATTTAACAGCTGGCGCACTCTTTCTCAGGACAAGAGATTTAATTTTGTGGTCAAGATTGTTGATAACAGTGTAGTGTAGAAGGGAGAATCACAGGGTTTGCTTTATACAACTTGGGGAGAAGAAATTGAGGTTTTGGGAAAGTCAAGGAGAGAGAAAACGAAAGATGATTGAAAACAGAGATAGAGCAGAAGGTGATGAAAAGTGGTGTTCTGTGCACCATGAACTCTCTTTCCCCCACCCGAAAGTTTTCAACACCTAGAAAAAAATAAGGAAAGGTCTTATAGCCACCGGAATCACCTGGTAGCCGGTCCCAGTCGGAGGCATCACCAAATTGCCGCTTGGCCATTGTGAGAGCCCTGGAGTTGCTTCTGCTGTCTTCCTTCTTCCAGCCCTGATCTTGACTCCTCAGGCCACAGTCAGGTACTTCCCAAAACACAGAGGAAGGTAAAGTCACCCTTCTTCCTAAAGGGGCAAATACTTTCCAGTTTCCCCCCAAATAAATTCTGCAACCCTGGGATTCCTTTCTGACACTCACCTCCCAAATCCAATTACCTTCTATGACCAAATGCTCTTTGAACATTTTCTAAAACTCAGCAGTCTCTACCTCCTCTGCGTTTGTCCTTACAGTTTCCATGGCCTGGGAGGACCTTTGTTCTCCTAAGACGGGGCCACATACTGATCATCTGTCAAGGACAGGTTCACACCTGCCTTCCTCTTCACTTCTTACTGTGACATTCCCTGGGACTGTACTGTATCACTCTCTTTCCTTTATTTTAAAGCCAAGCATACAATTGATACTCTTTGATGTTTGCAAAACTAATAAGTTATTGCCCTCTCATACAGAATCCTGGAGTGTGATTAATTACTGTCTTCTCTTTACAAGGGACTCTACATGAAATATCATGGAGAATGATTATGAATAGTCTTAGTATTTCATGTAACTTCTGTAATATTCCTAGCAATTGTGTCTTCACAGTCAGGATTGATGACCAGTGCTGTCAAGTTCCCAAAGGGTATCTAATGCTGGAATTTGCAAATGTTCTTTTGGAGTGAAGAAAATTATGTTATTTAGGCTGACTGAAGAATCACTAAAGAAAGAAAATTATGGTACAGTAATATTTATAAAGACTCATAATCCTGTAAAAAACTTCCTCACCATAACCACACTTTCCACAGCCACATTTTTAGAGATTTGGTGAGGGTGGAATATAGTCAAAGGTGCTTCTTAATCATCCTTGATGAAATCAACCAAAATCAACCTACAACATTGAAAAAAAAAACTAGCTTTGCTCAGTAATGGAATCTTATCATCCTTGACAATGAAAAGATATTATGTGTTTGTGAGTGTGAATGTGTGTGTGTGTTTTCTTGTGGATACTCACTCACATAGAAGTTTCTCCCCTGGTGGCATTTTATGAGGTGCTGGATCACTGGCAGAGCTCCTAGGCACTTCTAGGTAAGGATAGAAAATAGCAGACCTAACGGAATCTGCCTAAGTTATAGCTGATAAGATAGTTTATTTCAAGATTTTATACATTCAGAAATAAATTTGTAAAATCAAAAAATCCTTTTTATAAAATGTGCTAGCTAAAATTTGTGAATAATTAAACTAAATGCAATGTGTGAAAAGATATGAGTCTGACTAATCAAAGGGAGCTCTGCAATGTAGTATTTTCAGCCCAGATTGGCTTGATATTGTCACACTTTCATCCTGTGGCCTGTATAATTCTGGCTCCTTTCTTCCATCTTAGGATGCTCATTGCAATAATGTAACAGCAATTTCTTGTGCAATCAAGATGTGTCCTTTTGTCTCCACTGGTCAAGGGTGAGTTTGAAGTTCCACCCTAAATCAACCCTTCCGGGAAAGCAATAGACAGGGTGTGTGAAAGAATGGGGGCTGCAGGGGTTGGAGTGGGGGCAACCGTGTTCCTGACTTGGACTATCCTGAGCTCATCAGGTCAGAAGGTGTGAATCCATGGGACTGTGGAATGTTGGCCACTTGGGGGCGCTGTGGCCCCACTATGCTGCAGGGAACCCTGGGGAGGGGTGGGAGGGTGGCCAGGAAGGGAGGGCGGAAGGGAATGCCTGGCTGCCTGCTGACATCAGGAGATTAGGTGGAAATTAGAGTAGGTCCTGGCCTGGGACTGCCCAGGGAAAGGTAGGGCCAGGGTTGGCACCAAGCAGGGAGTGTTTCTGCCTCTGCATGGGCAGAGGAGGGTGTAGGGGCTGGGGTGGCAAGGGCTGGGAATCAGTGTCAGGACAGGGATAGGGTGGGCAGAGGAAAGTGAGGTGTGATGTGGGCATGCGGGGACTGTGACCAGCCACCTCCCCTTTAGTTGAGGGGCTGTGCGGGACAGGAAGGCTGCATGGAGCTGCTGAGCCTGAGTCTTTCAATGGGTGAACAAGGCAGGAGTGGCCTGCAGAAAGAGTACCTGGAAAAGGACTGTACCCGAAGGAATTGGGTGACACTTTCTTAGCTCCACTCAGGGAGTGACCCTGAGGAGGGTGCTGCCAGCCAGAGGGGCTCAGGTCCTGGTGAGCTGACAGGCTTTTCCTCCAGACACTTCCTGTTGTTTCTGTATGTGATCTGGTTTTATGCTCACTGAAATCATGTAAGGTAGGTATGATTTCACCTGTTTATACATCTGAAGGAAAGCAGCTGTTCCGGGTCTCATATTAAGTAATTGGCTGAGGTGTTTTCCTCCAACATCTCTGCACCAGCCCCGTCCCCCGACTCTGTATCTGTCCCTTCATCTGGCTTCCCCTTTCCAGGTCCAATTAGCAGGAGCACAAGGTCATGCCTCATATGTGACCATTGTAACCTCTTCCCTGACAAGTCCAAGGAACACGTGACTTCCAGGCCAAGCATATCCATTCACCTTTCACTGAAGCAAAACAGAAGGATGAAATTATCTGCACTGTACACTTCCTGTAACTGATATAATCTACCTTGAGGAAAAGTAACAAGAAAAATTGTTATTCATTAGTTATTATTTTATTTAATATATGTTTGGAGATCCTTTCTTTGTATAGATATTTTATGACATAAAAAGCAAAATAAAAAAGAACAAATGAAAATACAAAAGAAAAGCTTGAAAGAATAATAAGTGTTTCTTACTTTTTAGAGTATTAAGGTTTGCATTAATTTTTTTAACTTATTCAAAGACGTTTGCTCAGTTTCTGAATTATACACATTTCCTTTTTTTCTTCTCTTTTTCTCTTTAGCCACCTACAGCTTTTTCTGCCAGCTTTTTTAGTTTAATAACCTAAGGCTATCTTTTAAACAGATTTTTAAATGTACAATATAGTATCGTAATCTACAGACACAAGGTTGGACAGCAGATCTCTAAAGCTTCCTGATTCTTCTTTACTGAAATTTTGTAGCCACTGGCGGCAGCTGCCCATTTCCCCCTCTTCCTAGCCCTTGGAAATCACCATTTTCATCTTCACTTACATCAGTTTGACTTTTAGGTTGCCTCATATAAGCACAATCATGTAGTATTTGTCTTTCTGTGCCTGACTTTTTCAACTCAGCATAATGTCCTCCAGGTTTAGCCACATTGTCATGTATGGCCAGAATTTCTTCTTTTTAATACTTAATGATATTCCATTGTATGCATACACCACATTTAAGGTCTGAATATTAAATGTATAGTATCTTATTGTTTCTGCGAAACCATCTGTCACAGGAGTGGCAGGGTCATTTGCAGAACAGTAAGCACTGAGTATATGAATGCACATTCATTCGAAGTTCAATTCTGCTTCATAGAGAAGACTTCAAAAAAATAATAATTTCACTATTTATTGTTATTTTACTATACACAAATAGAATTTCTTTTTTCTTTTTTTTTTTTTTGATACAGAGTCTCGCTTTGTCGCCTGGGCTGGAATGCAGTGGTGTGATCTTGGCCCACTGCAACCTCTGCCTCCCGGGTTCAAGTGATTCTCCTGCCTCAGCCTCCCGAGTAGCTGGGATTACAGGTGTGCACCACCATGCCTGGCTGATTTTTTGTATTTTTAGTAGAGATGAGATTTCACAGTGTTAGCCTGGATTGTCTTGATCTCCTGACCTCGTGATCTGCCCACCTCGGCCTCCCAAAGTGCTGGTATTACAGGTGTGAGCCACCGCACCCAGCCAATACCCCAATACCATAAAATATTTAGCATATAGTAGAAATCTAGCTATTTTTATTTCCTTTGCTAGTCTCGGGCAGCCTCTTCCACTGCGCCAATGCCCAAAGGCAGTTAAAGACACATTTTGCCTGGAAATCTTAGGGTGAGGACTCAGGAAGCCACAGAAATGGAAATATATATGCGTGATGATTACTTTGAAAGTATGAACTAGAGAATGTAGCATATATCCCTCCTCAGGCATTTAAAACTCAGTATTATTGATATATAAGTTATATAAGCATTACACATTTTAAATAAACAGATCGGTTATACGTAACCAAATAATTAACAGAATGAGGAGCTCCTGAAAAGTTTTATGGTTTTAAAAGGGGTTGAAGCCAGGTGAGCTACCAGATCCACATTAGGGACAATTCTATCTGGAGATGGATATTGTGATGAAACAACCTCAGAAGGTCTTCTAACCTGGTACAGACTGATTTTACGAAGTTTATTTATTCATTTTCTTTCATTTCTTTTCTTATCTGCTCATTCACTCCAATTATTTTGTAATGATATTTTGGCGAAAATTAATCATCTTTAAGGGAAATATTTTGAGTTTCATCAGACACACATGCAGCTGAGCTTTGTGTTCACACACTGAGTGCCCTGGGGCCAAACAAAATACGGTAATAGTGACCTTGTTGAGAGATGACGTCACATTGGGAGAAAGGTTCTCTTTGTGTTGACACTAAGTGTCCAATTCATAAAACCTAAGCCTTGAGCTAGGAAATGCCCTTTTCTGCCCTGGGAAGCAGGCTCCTACATTGTGTGTTTCTCTGTCTCCTGGTCTAGCCTGGACACAGACAGTGTACCCACTCACGAACTTGTTATATCCTGGCTGTGAATTTCAGCACCAGGTGGCCCTTTGCTCTGACTTCAATTTCTGTGTCCTTCTCTCCTAAACACCATGGATGCTGAGTGACTCAGACTCCAGTCATGTGCTTTTGCCAAAAGGAAACTAGCACAAGAGGAGGTGAGCAGAATATGAAACAAAACCATGTACTCAGGACCGGCAATGTGACTTACTGGCAGCTCTTTGCTCAAATATTGTAAGGAAGTTGAAGATCATGACAATGTTACAGTAACAGGGATCTCTTTAAGTGTGGGGCTCTGTGCACTAAAATACGGGTTTTTTTTTTCTTTTCTTTTTTTTTTTTTTTTTTTTTGAGACGGAGTCTTGCTCTGTTGCCCAGGCTGGAGTGCAGTGGTGCAATCTTGGCTCACTGCAACCTTGCCTCCTGGGTTCACGTGATTCTCCTGCCTCAGCCTCCTGAAGTAGCTGGGATTACAGGTGCGCACCACCATGACCAGCTATTTTTTTTTTTTTTTTTTTTTTTGTATTTTTAGTAGAGACGGGGTTTCACCATGTTTGTCAGACTGGTCTTGAACTCCTGACCTCATGATCCGCCCACCTCAGCCTTCCAATGTGTTGGGATTACAGGCGTGATCCACTGCGCCTGGCCTTTTTTTTTTTTTTTTTAATTGTTACTGAATTAGTGGTGAGAATCCTGACCAAGGGAATATTCCCTATGAAATATGACACTTCAAATAAAATGAGAGCGCTTTTTCTTATCCTGGAGCCTGCCTCTTCTCTCCTCTCCCCACATCCCTCACATGTCAAGACACCTTTGTGCCCACAGATCATGGGCAGCGTTGGGCTGCCACTATCATCCACACAGAGAGGGCAGTCAGCAGCGTGAGGTGGTTCTGCCTGCTGCGGTCTCACCCCAGGCACAGAAAGCAAGAGCCCTGGGTGGAGCTGAAGGTGCTCAGCTGGGCTTGTCAGGAGTCCCATCTGTCGGTGAATTGAAAAGAAACAGAGCAAAATGACTCCTCCAATGGTGATGAGCCTGCCCCTGGGATTTGGAAACTTGGTAACAGAGAAAACCAATATAGACAAAGGATTTTAAACAGGATTATGGTCAATTAAGCAAATTAGAAAAGGATACTTGAAGGGGGATTTGGGACACAGGAGTCAAAAACACCTGGAAGACATGAGAAGTTTCCCTAAGAGTCTAAATTAGAGAAATATTTAGATAACTGACACCAGTGTATGAATGAGGAATTATATCATCACAGGGATAAGAGTTCCATTGAGTTACAAACTGCTTCCAAAAAGGTTAAGAAAAACTCGTAAGGCTGTGTCAATTCAGACAAAGGCATTCTTCCCATTCAAACGGTTCACCGGTGCATGAATCTTGAATTTGACCATCTGGGGAAGGGGCGTGGCCTCTCCTGACAGGAAGGCTCTGGGGCCCAGGCAGGGAGAATGAAGTCTCAGAATGACCCACTTGAGAGTCCTGTTCCCCTATCACCGATGCACAGACCCAGAAGACCCCTCCATCCTGTAGCACCTGCCATGAGCATCGGGCTCCTGTGCTGTGTGGCCTTTTCTCTCCTGTGGGCAAGTAAGTCCTGGGCAGGGCCCCATGTGTGGATTTCAAGGCCCAGCCTGTTTCCATTGTGGCTGCAGCATCAGCTTTGTTCTTCTCTGCAGGTCCAGTGAATGCTGGTGTCACTCAGACCCCAAAATTCCAGGTCCTGAAGACAGGACAGAGCATGACACTGCAGTGTGCCCAGGATATGAACCATAACTCCATGTACTGGTATCGACAAGACCCAGGCATGGGACTGAGGCTGATTTATTACTCAGCTTCTGAGGGTACCACTGACAAAGGAGAAGTCCCCAATGGCTACAATGTCTCCAGATTAAACAAACGGGAGTTCTCGCTCAGGCTGGAGTCGGCTGCTCCCTCCCAGACATCTGTGTACTTCTGTGCCAGCAGTGAAGCCACAGCGCTGCATGGCCGTCTCCTCTCTGCACATAAAGGCAGGGAGGCTCTGCCCTCCTCCCTCACCCCAGACTCAGTGATGCCCTGGGCAGAGTTCTCTGCACCAGGAAACTTGAAACCCCATCATCATGGGTCTGAGGCCCCCAGGATGAAACAGGATTTGTATTTCAGATCCATCTAGACTCTCGTCTCTCCCTGGGGACCATGTTGCTTCTTCTCTCTAGGGTTTCCCCCAGCCCCCACCCTCATGTTGTCTCTCCCTGGGGACCATGTTGCTTCTTCTCTCTAGGGTTTCCCCCAGCCCCCACCCTCATGTTGTCTCTCCTGTGGCCCACCTTTCCCATCTGGGCAGTCACCCTCCAAGGCCTTGCTGGGTCTCTCCTCCCCTCACTTCCCCACACCTCTCCACAGCAGCCATGAGGGGAGCCCCTCTTCTGTGCCTCCTTCCTTCCCATCACAGAGACTTCAAAGTCCATTTTCTCTGCCCTGGGCTGGAGGCTTCCTTTCTGCAGTGGCCAACTCCTACCTGTGCTTCACATCTCAGCATGATCAGCCCTCCTGTGGGAAGCATGCCCTTGCCTCCCAGCTGAGATCAATTTTTCTGTTATAAGCACTGATGGTAACATGTGCTTGTTAGTCAACAGAGTTGAGCACAGTTGGAGTTTTCCAGTTACTTGTCTGGATATTTTTCTGCTCATGTCGATTTTAAACTCCATAAAGGGGAAGGCTGTGCTTGTTACATTTACCAACAGCTGTTCCTGGAATGAAGGGAGACCTGTTTCACAGATAATGGATGAGTTAATGAATGACAGGCTGATTGAGTGATGAGCGGGTGGATGAACCAATAACAGGAACACTCCAGGTCCGCTGTACCCTGGCAGAAATCTAGAGTTAACTGTGCCTGAGATGCTCTGCTATGAGCTCTTCAAAGGGCACTCGCTTGTTGAACAAGCGTTGGACCATTCATTGTGCAAGCCAGTTTGTCAGTTCATCTAGGAGTTTCCAATTTTAAATATCATATGTTCTTCAAACTCAATGAGGGTAAAGTCTACATTATACAATTCTAAGTTATTTTTTAAAGTTTTGGGTTAGGAACCAAAAAGGAAAGAAGAGGGAATATCTTTAGACTTTGGAGTTTTTTTATTGAAAATGTATTTATATAAATTTTTCTTGGAAGAACAGGTAGGGAAAGTCATGACTACACAGCCTTATAGGTGCTAATTTCTGGAGAAGGTGTCATGAAAAATAACAAAAATGAGAACTGTGTTCTGGAGGGAACATTGTGACTGTCCTGAGAGCGTGTTCTGATCCCAGGAACCAAACCCAGGAGTGTGTTTGGCAACTCAGAGTGCAGCAGACAATTCTTTGCCCCGTGCATTTGGGATAAGACTGGAGACAGCTGGAAAAGCTATGGACTGGACGTTCTGCACTCTCAATGCAGGACTCTCTGAAATCCCACAGATTAATGTCAGGTAAATATATTCCCACTATTAAGACAACTAAAGCAAGAACCAATGAAGAAAAGTGAGTAGAAACAGTAAGCAATTGAAATGTATGAAGACAAGGAATTTTGCCATAAAAAGATATAAAAGTTAAAGAGCTATATTTAAAGGAATACAAAAGCGAATTGATATGTGAACATGAAAAAGAAGACTGTCAGAAATAATCAAGGAAACATTAAAAAATAATCAAAGAGAATACACTAACGATTAAGATTATCATTGAAAACAAAATGGAAATGAAGAAAAGATGACATGCTTCAAAAGAGATTGTTACAGGAGGTCAAAGACAGATCTGAAGAAGTTACCTAGAATGCAGCACAGAAAATTAAACAGGAAACAAGAAAAGGTAAGGGATAAGGAATAAAACACTTGTGGGTTCTAGTGTATTAGTGTATATATAATATTTTGTTGGAACTTCCCATTTTTCTTACACATGATTGAAGTGTCACAAAGAGAAAGTAGAGAGAATGATAGGTGATAATTATGAGACATTAGCTGAGAATTTTCAAGACGTGTTTCAGGACCTAAATCCTCTGTTTCAACAAGTTAAATGAATATGAAGTAGATGAATACATATGTTATGGTGAAATTGCGGAACACAAATGACAAAGAGAAGATTTTAAAAGTAGCCCAAAAGATAACTATCTCCCAGCAGAATAGACTGAAAGGAACAGTGAAAGTCAAGAAAGGAGATTAAAAATAAGCATCAAGTCAGAATTATAATTCTCATTCATTAAATATTGAGATTGAGGTAAATATATTTATAGATAGAGAAAGAAAAAACACGGTGAGTTTGTCACCAAGGTATCCTTTCTGAATTATAGTTAACAAAGATGGGAAGTGGTCCCAGAAGAGGGGCATGAGGTGCCGCTCGTGAGGGAACCCATGTGATGGGACAGCCCCATTGGGCACGTGTGACTGGGGGGATGGAGGAGGCTGGGGCATCAATGGGGATGGCACAGGGGACTCTGACTTGCAGGAAAGACAATGAGCTCACCTTTTGGTGCTTTGTGTTGGCGGAGCTGTTGACACATCCTAGAGAACATGCCCAGCAGACAGAGGAGCGGCTGTGGGATGAGGAGATAAACTCAGAGATGCAGCGTGAGGCCTCCGGGTCCAGACAGCATGAGAGCCCAAAGCGATGATACATGCATTGATGTTGTTAAAAAGGATTTTTTTTTTTTTTTGAGACAGATTCTCGCTCTGTCGCCCAGGCTGGAGTACAGTGGCGCAATCTCGGCTCACTGCAAGCTCCGCCTCCCGGGTTCAAGCCATTCTCCTGCCTCAGCCTCCCAAGTAGCTTGGACTAGAGGCGCCCGCCACAACGCCTGGCTCATTTTTTGTATTTTTAGAAGAGACAGGGTTTCACCATATTAGCCAGGATGGTCTCGATCTCCTGACCTCATGATCCACCTGCCTCCGCCTCCCAAAGTGCTGGGCTCACGCCTGTAATCCCAGCACTTTGGGAGACCAAGGTGGGCGGATCACTTGAGGTCAGGAGTTTGAGACCAGCCGGGGCAATGTGGTGAAACCCCGTCTCTACTAAAAATACAAAAATTAGCCTGGTATGGTGGTGTGAGTCTGTAATCCCAGCTACTCAGGAGGCTGAGGCAGGAGAATCACTTGAACTTGGGAGGCAGAGTTTGCAGTGAGCCGAGATCACACTGCTGCACTCCATTCTGGGCAATGGAGCAAGGCTCTGTCTCAAAGAACAAACAAGCAAAAAGCAAGGAACTCATAAATATTTAAAGGAGTCATTTAAGTAGGTCCTAAAATAAATCCTTTGTTCCTGTCATTGCGTGGATTGAGAGAGGATGTGATGTCACTATGGGACCTTCTGTGTGGGAACAAGGACATCCCTCCTCCTCTGCTCCTACTCACAGTGACTCTGATCTGGTAAAGCTCCCATCCTGCCCTGACCCTGCCATGGGCACAAGGCTCCTCTGCTGGGCAGCCATATGTCTCCTGGGGGCAGGTGATTCCTCAGATGCCAAGCAGTCTCCTGTGTGTGTGTGTGTGTGTGTGTGTATGTGTGTGA
Source organism: Homo sapiens (assembly GCF_000001405.40). Classification (NCBI taxonomy): domain Eukaryota; kingdom Metazoa; phylum Chordata; class Mammalia; order Primates; family Hominidae; genus Homo; species Homo sapiens. The sequence continues at coordinate 294,231 of NT_187562.1, forward strand.
GATGTGTGTGTGAGAGAGAGAGAGAGAGAGCTGACTATAGTTGTTTTTCTCATTCAGTTCCCAATTTCTGTCTCCACAGATCACACAGGTGCTGGAGTCTCCCAGTCCCTGAGACACAAGGTAGCAAAGAAGGGAAAGGATGTAGCTCTCAGATATGATCCAATTTCAGGTCATAATGCCCTTTATTGGTACCGACAGAGCCTGGGGCAGGGCCTGGAGTTTCCAATTTACTTCCAAGGCAAGGATGCAGCAGACAAATCGGGGCTTCCCCGTGATCGGTTCTCTGCACAGAGGTCTGAGGGATCCATCTCCACTCTGAAGTTCCAGCGCACACAGCAGGGGGACTTGGCTGTGTATCTCTGTGCCAGCAGCTCAGCCACAGCACTACTGCTCCAGTGTCAGCTTGGTTCCCTAGGAAATGGGGTTTCTAGAACCTGAATGCTGACAAATAAGAGTTGTATATGTGTATACCATGCAACCTGCGTTTAAAAATGTGTGTACATAGTGCAATGACTAAATCTAGCTAGTTAACATATGCAGTACCTCAATCCTTATCCTTTCCAGTGGTGAGAATACTTAAAATGTACTCTGTTAGCATTTTCCCAGAATACAATCCACTGTTGCTAACTCTAGTCATTTGTTGTATAATAGATCTTTGTAACATCTTCGTCTTATCTGAGTGAGATTTTGTATCTGTTGACCAACATCTTCCCAACAGTCCATCTCTACTCCAGCCTTTGCTAATTACTGCTCTAGTCTTTGAATTTGAAGTAATTTCCCTGAGGTCTTTAGCTCAACAAGATGGGGGAATTTTCTCTATAATGATGCTTACATTATTTTTGCTTTGTTTTTGTTTCGTTATTTTATGTCTTGCAATATAGTGTTTATTGTAAATATAAATAAGTATATTGTAATAAAAATCCTTCACCTCTCTTTGGGTAAAGCTACAGTTCACATATTCTAAATTTCATGCTGTGACCAACGCTGACATAATTATGGATCATGGGTTTCTGGGAGTCCTCAGAGACAGCCCCATAAACCAAGTTTAAGATAGAATATTCCAGACCCAGCCAGGACAGAAGTGCATGGTCCTGCATAGCTCCTTGGAAAATTATAGTTCCCCAAATTCAGTTATTGGATATTGTGGTGCCGCAGACACCAAACGTCTTTCTCTAGCAAATGATGGTCCTTGGCAGGGATTGTTCTGAACCCATTACAATTTTGCCATCATCAAATCACTCCTTGCTGTTACCTTGTGTCTCCTGGGAGTGAGGACGCCCCGGGCACAGATGGAAATTCCCTGACCTTCGGATGCTATTTCAAGGACTTCCTAAGACCTTGTGTCCATCTTTTTCCACCTTTATCCACATGACTCCTGAGACCCACGCTCACAATAGTGGACCAGCTCTGATTCTTAGGCTTGAACAGAATTCAGACCACAGCTGTAAACACTGTTGCTGAAAAAAGATGTAAAAAAGGTGGGCAGGGCTTCCTACCTACACTGAGGGTGAACATACAAGGGCATAAAGGGAATATTTTATTAATAGCTAAAAAAAGAAGAAATACAAGCCCTGCTCGAATGAAATGAGAACTGTAGCTTCACCCACAGAGAGGTGGAAGATTTTATTACAATATACTTATTTATATTCATAACAAATAATATATTTGAAAAAATAAAGAAAACAAAAAGTAATATAAGCATTATTATAAAGAAAATACCCCTGTCTTCTTGAGTTAAAGACCTCAGGGAAATTAAGACACATCAAAAGACTAGAGCAGTAATTACCAGAGGCTGGGGTGGAGATGGGGTGCTGGGGAGATGCTGGTCAAAGGATACAAAATTTCACTCAGATAGGAGGAAGAAGTTTAAAAAATCTTTTATACAACAAAGTGACTAGAGTTAATAACACTGGACTACATTCTGGGAACATGCTAACAGAGTTGAATTTTTTAGTTGAACCAAAGCAGAATGTCCATAAAATTATTTTGAATCAAAGTCTAGAAGCTTTCAAACCAGTTGGCATAGCCTTGTGTTCTGTGATCTCAGCAGCTTCAGAGGACTTGGCAATCCTTTCTCTGCACAAACACCCCTTTGTCCACTCTAAGAACTAGGGACACACACTCTTATCCTATCACGAAAACAACAGGCTGTGCTACAGTTGCTGGTAACTCGTTTTAAGGGTGTTGAGTATGGAGGATTGAACAAGATTGAAAGCTATGCTCCTGAGTCTGGGAATGTGCTGGAACCAGCTTGCATGATTCAGAAGAGCCAAATAGGCAAACCCTTCCCAAATCCTCATTGAATGAAGCCATGATGACAGCTTGAAATCTGCCATAGTGGCTATGCTGATACCATAGGAACTGACAAATGCTACTAGGCATGGCCCCACCCTCACAGATATCCAGTTTACAAGGACATCACTGGAATGTTTTCTGATACAATGATGATCCTATTAGGGCATGTCTTATGGGGCCAAAAAGGCTCAGAATCCACTGTCCATCTGTTTCTGCTCCTAGAAGCCATAGTCTAAGGGAATCTCAAGTGATCCTACTTCTCTCCAATCTCCAAATTCCCTTGCTCTGTGGGTCTGTGTCTCCTATGAGCATGCCAATCTGAAACAAGACAACTATTTGGAATGTAGCTAAAGGAAACAGGGAACCAGTCCATTATTTTCAAATTATCCTTCCTTGCATGAAGTATGCAGATGCTGCAATCACTGAAAACAGAGATGGGGCAAGCAGCAGCTCTGGGCTGTGAGTCACTTTATACTATAGTGCCCCGCTATTCCTCTGTGGCACTGACAGACCCTGCAGCATGGACTAATTTGCATAGGAAACTAAGCAGCCCCTGACCATCAGGTATGACCCTGGATTCATTTTGGGCTGAGAGGTCAGAAGGATCATACTCACCTTAAATATTATCCTCTCCAAGCTGCAATACTCCCACTGTCCATCTTAGTCCCAGGATGTTGTCCAGAGCTCCAGAGAATCCCTTCTCTTGGGGCAGAATCACCAAGGTTGCTCCCTCCAGATTTCCACAGTCTCCAGTGGGTATGGGGCACAGGTGCCATTCTGTGTCTCAGGTAGAGAGAGGCATCATGTCAAATGATATTTGTAGAAGAGGGATTCAAATTCTGAGGCTCCTCTCCGATATTTGACATAATTTTCTTTGCTTCTTGTTTCATTCTACAATCTCACAATTTAGGAGAGTAATTCTTTTGCGGTTGCATTGTTGACAGCATTTGGGAAAGTTTTTGTGGTTAAATTAATTTAAACAATCATTTTAATGGTGTATTTCTTCTGTTCACGATAGAACAGTGAAAGCAGTCATTTACACATCCTGTTGATGAAGGTGTTGTTTAAGGTTCATGATCCACACCTAACTCTCAATCTAGTTGAAATGAAAAGGTGCAGAATTAGGTGGCACGTGAGCAAGCTATGAGAGAGGCTCATGCCAATTACTGTGGGATTTGGAGGGAGGGAGAGATGACCTCTGCTCTAGACCATGCTCCACGAAGAAGGAGTGGGAGTTTGTCCATGGGAGACTGCAGAGGAATAAATACCAGCAGCTTCTAACTGGGGTGGAGTGAGGGCTGCGGGAGCAAATCCTTGGAACAGAAAATGGTGCATTTGAGCTCTCACAGAGGACAGTGGAAAGAAAAGTCATATAGGCCACAGTCCCCCGGCAGGTTCTATTTGCTAATGATACTATTTTGCACCAGTGTGTCCTTATCTCACACCACTCCTCTGCCTCTTCCAGAATAATCTCTTCCCTCTCCGCTGCTCAGATCAGCAGATGTGCCTTGTGCAAGTTACTCATTTCACATAGCAGGCCTTTTGCTGGTCTTAATTATATCCGTCGTTACTTTCCACATTAGATACTGTGTATTGCCTTGCAAATGATCCTACTTTTTATATTCCTATTTTTCACTTGTTAATGCATATTTGACCCCTTCTTGAAGGTCAAGATGACCTTGGAAATATAAGGCTATCTCATTATCTGGTCAGTCTTTTACTAATCTTTATTTTTATCGTAACATTGACTGTCATTTTGGGGGACATGTTTGTTTATCTTGAATTTCATTGAGTTTCCTCAAAGCACGATTTTGAGTTCTTTGTCTTAAAGGTCGCATATCTCTGTCTGTCTAGGGTTGGTCCCTGTTTTATTTTTTTTTTGAGAAATTACCGACTTCACCAGATGCTGTAAGCTACCGGGATAGAGGAAGTTTTTGTGATTTCATAGCTTGGGTCTTCTTTATTCAGGGCAGGGAATTTTATTTTGGGGTCAAGATTGTTGAAAATGGCATAGTGAAGAAGGTAGAGTCACAGGAGTTTGCTTTATATACTTGAGGAAGAAGAAACTGAGATTTGGGAAAAGTCAAGAAAAGAGAACCTGATCAAAGATGACTGAAAATAGTAATAGAGCAGAAAATGATGAAAAGTCGTGTTCTGTGCACCACGAACGTTCTTCTCCCCACTCCAAAAGTTTTCGACACCTAGAAAATATAAAGAAAGGACTGATAGCAACTGGCATCACGTTGAGGCCAGTCTCAGTTGGGAAAAACACCAAACAGCCGCTTGTCTCCTGTAAGAACCCTGAAGTTGGTCCTGATGTCTTCTTTCTGGACTCTGGCCCTGATCTTAACTCCTCAGGGAAGTCAGGTACTTCCCAAAATACAGAGAATGTCAGATTGCCCTTGGTTTTGAAGGAGAAAATGCTCTGCGCTTCTCCCCAAGATAAATTCTGCTTTCCTAGGAATGCTTTCTAACACTCGTCATCCAGATCTGATTACCTTCTGTGACCAAACGGTTTCCGAAGATTTTGTAAAACTCAGCAGCCTTTCACATCCTCTGCGTTTGCACTCACTGTTTCCATGGCCCAGAAGGACATTTATTTTCCCACGACAGGGCCAGACACTGCTCATCTGCCAAGGACGGGCTCCCTCCCACCTGTCTTCCTCTTCACTTCTCATCCCAGCATTCTCTGGCACTCTATGATATCACTCTCTTCACTCCACAGGCCAAACCAAGAATATAATTGGAACTGCCTGATGTTTATAACATGAATCAATTCAAGTCCACTTACATAGACCCCTGGAATACATGAATTACTATCTCCTCTTTACAAGAGACTTCTACTACATGAAACATACTGGAGAGTCTTTAGGGATAGGCTCAGTTTTCTACACAAATTCTGCAATATCCTAAACAATTCTGTCTTCACAGTCATAATTGATGACTTGTTCTCTAAAGTACCCGAACTGTGTTTAAAGTCAGAATTTGCAAATGTTCTTCTGAGAAAAAAGAAAATCATTACATCTTAGTGACATTTATCCAGTCTCACAATCTTGCTGAAAAATATTTGTCATCATAACCACACTTTCCATGACCACATCTTTAGATATTTGGTGAGACTGGAAACATCAACAATGGTCCTTCTCAGAAATCAACTTAAAACACTGAAAGAAAAAGTAGCTGTGCTCAGTAATTGAACCTCATCAGCCTTGCCAATTAAAACACGTTGTGTGCATGTGCTTGTGAGTGTGAGTATGTTTTCTTGTGGAGATGCAAATAGTTTCTGTGGGTGGCATTTACTAAGCATCACTGGATCACTGGTGGAGTTCATAGGCACTTTCCTAACCCCAGGGAGTGATGGGAAATGTCACAGCCACTGAATCGGCCTAAGTTATAGCTGATAGGGTTGTTTATTTTAAAATTTTACAAATTCAGAAATAAATTTGTAAACTCAAAAAAATGGGGCCGGGTGCAGTGGCTCATGCCTGTAATCCCAGCACTTTAGGAGGCTGAGGGAGGTGGATCACGAGGTCAGGAGTTTGAGACCAGCCTGGCCAACATGGTGAAACCCCATCTCTGCCAAAAATACAAAAATTTAGCTAGGCGTGGTGGTGCACCCCTGTAATCCCAGCTACTCGGGAGGCTGTGGCAGGAGAATCACTTGAACCTGGGAGGTGGAGGTTGCACTGAGCCGAGATCGCACCACTGCACTCCAGCCTGCGTGATAGAGCGAAGCTCCGTCTCAAAAAAAAAAAAAAGAAAATCAGGAAATCCTCTCTTATAAAACACATGATGTAAAATTTACTGATATTAATTTAAATACAAAATAGGAAAAGATTGGGCCTGATTAAGCAAAGGGAGCCAGGGAACAATGCAGTGTTTCTGGGCTAGGTGGGCTTGACATCCTCACACTGTTTAATTAAGGGTCTGTGTAATTTTGGCTGCTCTCTAAGTGCAACAACGGTTTATTTTGTAATAAAAAGATTGGTTCATGTGTCCTTTTGCCTCACTTGGCCCAGGGTGAATTTGAAGATCAACCCTAAATTGGCCTTTTGGGGAAAGCATAGAGGGTGTGAGGATGAGGGTTGCAAGGGTGGGAGTGGGGCATCTTTGTTCCTGATTTGGACAATCTTGAACTCATCAGGTCAGGTGTGAATCCATGAGACTGTGGAATGTTGGCCACTTGGTGACGCTGTGGCTCCACAATGCTGCAGGGAACCCTGGAGAGGGGTGGGAAGGTGGCCAAGAGAGGAGCTGAAGCCTATGCTTGGCTGCCTGCTGGCTTCAGGGGAGTGGTTTGATTCAGAGTGGATCCAGAGTTAAACACAAACTCCCCACTACCAGAGAAGAGTAGAGGTGCTGGAGGCCTCAGTTTGCACCAAAGAGTAGAGTGTCCCTGTGTCTGCTTGGGCAGTGGATGGTGAAGGAGCTTCAGCCACAAGGGCTGGGAATCAGTGTCAGGGCAGGGACAGGGCAGGTAGAGGAAAGTAAGGTGTGATGTGGGCATGTGGGGCCTGCTCTCCACCCACCAAACCTTTAGTTTCAGGGCTGTGCGGGACAGATGCATGGAGCAGCTGAGCCTGGGACCTGCCAAAGCGTGCAAGGGGCAGTGGTGGCCTGCAGGGAGAGAAACTCGCAAAGGCCAGTTCCCGCAGGAAGCTCCAGAAACATTCCTGCCCCCACTCAGGAAGTGACCGTGAGAGACATGCTGTCAGCCAGAAGGGTTCAGGCCCTGGAGAGCTGATAGGCTTTTCCCAGGCACTTTCTGCTGCTTCTACATGTGATCTGCTTTAATATTCACATAAATTATGCAGGATAAGTATTATTTTACCTGTTTATGTATCTGAAGGAAATCAGCTGTCCGGGGTCTCATACTTAATAACTGGCTGAAGACTGGGTGCAGTGGCTCACACCTGTGACCCTAGCACTTTGGGAGGCCGAGGTGGGCAAATCTCCTGAGCTCAGGAGTTCGAGACCAGCCTGGGAAAATCGGTGAAACCCTATCTCTACTAAAAATATAAAAATTTGGCCAGGTGTGGTGGTGCACACCTGTAATCCCAGCTACTCAGGTGGCCGATGCAGGAGAATCGCTTGAACCCTGGAGGCAGAGGTTGCAGTGAGCCGAGATCATGCCATTGCACTCCATCCTGAGCAACAGAGTGAGACTCTGTCTCAAAATAAAACAAAATAAAATAAAATAAAATAAAATAAAATAAAATAAAATAAAATAAAATAAAAGTCTCAAGCCTGTTGTGCCAACACCTCTCCTTAACCCCTTCTTTGTAGCTCTATCCTTTCACCTGCTTTCCCCTTTACAGGTCCCCATCAACAGGTTGTGAAGTTCATGCCTCATACGTAATCAGTATAGTCTCTTCCCTGAGAAGTCCAAGGAACATGTGACTTCCAGGCCAAGCATATACATTCATCCTTCATTGAGACAAAAAAAAAAAGTGTAATTTTCTGGCCAGCCATGATGCTTCACAGCTGTAATCCCAGCACTTTGGGAGGCTGAGGAGGTGAATTGTTTGAGCCCAGGAGTTCGAGACCAGCCTGCCAACATGGAGAAACCACGTCTCTACTAAAAATAAAATAAATCAGCCAGGCATACTGGTGGGTGCCTGTAATCCCAGCTACTCAGGAGGCTGAGGAATGGGAATTGTTTGAACTCAGGAGGTGGAGGTTGCAGTGAGCTGAGATTGTGCCATTGCAATCCAGGCTGGACAACAGAGCTAGACTCCCGAAAGAAGGAAAGAAAGAAAGAGAGAGAGAGAGGAAGGAAGGAAGGAAGGAAGGAAGGAAGGAAGGAAGGAAGGAAGGAAAGAAAAAGAAAAAGAAAAAAAAAGGGGTGGTAATTTTCTGAACTGTAGACTTCCTGTAACGGATGCAACATATCTTGAGAAAAAGGAACACTAGTAATTGTTATTCACTAGTTAATTTATTTTATTCTTTTATTCAATAAACTTTTTTGGGGGACCTACTGTGTATAAGATACCCTATGTCGTCAAATAGAAAATGAAAAAGAAAAGTATCTGCAGATGATGGCAGATTTTAAAAAATAAAAAAAGAAAATAAATAAAGAAAGAATATTTTAAAATAAAAAATATTTTTTGGCTATTTATAACACTAAGGTCTGCATTTATTTTCATTTTTCAATTGTTTTATGTTTATTTTCAATTGTTTTATGTTTAGTGTACTTAGTTTTTGAATTTATATATTTCCTTTCTTCTTCTCATTCTCTCTTTGGTTTCTCCTTCTCTCTTCTTTGCCAGCTTGTATTTCTTTTTTATTTAAACTTTTGGTAAGGACATTTAACATGAGACCTATCCTCTGAACAGATTTTTAAGTGTACAAAACAGTATCATAGTCTACAGGCACAAGGTTGTACAGAAGATCTCTAAAACTTCCTCATCCTGCTTAACTGAAATTTTATACCTGTTGACAGCAACTCCGCATTTTCCCCAACTCCCAGCTCTTGGAAAGAAACATTCTCATCTTTGCTTCCATGAGTTTGACATGGTTGCCTCATATAAACAGAAACATGCAGTGTTTGCGTTTCTGTGCTTGACTTGTTCACTTAGAACAATGTCCTCCAGGTTCATCTATGACACATATGGAAGGATTGTTTTTCTTTTCTAACCCTTAATAATATTCCATGTTTCAGATCTGCAGGATTAAATGGATATAACATTTGGCTATTTCTATGAAACTCTCTGTCATGTGAGTGGCAGAGTCATTTGCAGAGCTGCGAGCACTGAGTTTATTCAGGCACATTCACAGATAAATTCTGCTCCATGGAGAACATTCAGAAAAAAATAATAATGCCAACTTTTATTTGTCAATTCACTATATGCCAAATAAAAATCTTTCATTTGAAAAAGTTCAATTAATTAGAAATTCAGCTATCAGAAAAAAACCTTAAGATGCAAATGCTATTCTCATTTTACAGATGAGGGAATTGGCTCATAGGTTAAAAAACTTGACCAAATTGAAGAGCTATTAGGATACAGTATTGGGACTTCAACCTGATCTGTCCAATTTTTGCATTTATAACTCTGTGCTATAGTGCATTTCATAGAGAGAGATGCCTACCTTCAAAAATCAGAATATTGGATCCTACATCCCTTTCAGATCAACTGGCTCTAACAACATGGAAAGAGATCAGTTTACCCTGGAGACAGTGATGTAAGGAGAGATCTCTGGCTAGATGCCATGACACTCAGCCCTGACTCCCATTCTAACACCAACTTGTAAAGACCTGAGGCCATTCTTGACATGCTGCGTTTAGTTTGTGTTTTGGGTTTTTATTTTTTTCTGTAAAATGAGATGACTACTGCCCTTATGAAGAGTTGTACAAAGATTTAATATGACAAAGTATCTAGCATATAGTAGATTCTAGCTATTTTGATTTCCTTTGCTAATCTCAAACAGCCTCTTCCACTGTGCCAATGAGCAAAGACAAATATGAACACATTCTGCCCAGGAATCTTAGGTTGAGGACTCAGAACTCACAGAAGTGGAAATATATATGCTTGATGATTCATTTGATGAAATTACCTGCAGAACATAGCGTACATGCCTTCTCAGACATTTTAAAATCAGCACAATTGATATATAAATTGTACAATATAAACATTACACATGTTAAATAAACAGATCAATGGTTATATATATATATATATATATAGACATATATATGGGTTATAAGGATATATATGTATATCCTTATAACCACTATCCCTATAAAAAGGTCTCTATCACCCAGAAATCTCTCTCATACCCCTTTGCCATGACTCTCTCCATCTCTGACAACCAATGATGTGATTTCTATCACTGGAGAATACATTTTTTTCAAAAAATCTATTAGTAACATTTTAAAACCTGTATTGATTAATCCTTTTCAAATACATACATTTAAGAGTGCAAGGTGCTCCTGGAAAGTTTTATGGTTTTAAAAGAGGCTAAATTTCTGTGAGCTACCTGATCCATGTTAGGGACAATCCTATCTGGAGATAGGTAAGAGGATGAAATAGCCTCAAAATTACTTTCCAGCTGGTGGAAGCTCATTCTCCAAAATTATTTATTCATTTTTATTTATTTCTTTTATCATCTACCCACTCATTCAAATTATTTATTTTATAATGGTATTGTGACAACAATTAATCATTTTAATGGAATTATTTTGAGTTCCCATATCACACATATTTAATTGGCCTTCAAGTTCACACACTGAATGCAACGGCACCAAACAAACCATGGTAACAGTGACTTTGTTGAGAGATGGTGTCATATGTGGAAAAGGGTTCTCTTTGCTTTTACCGCAAGTATCCAACCCATAAAACCTGAACTTTGAGCTAGGAAATCTCCCTTTTTGTTCTGGCCCTACCCTGGGCACCAGGCTCCAGCACCATGTCTCCTTCTGGGTTCTGGCCCAGAGAAGTTCTTGGCACAGTTGTAGCACCCACTCATGGGCTTGCTGGATCCCAGCTGTGAATGACAGTAGCAGGGCCCCCTTTGCTCTGACTTTAATTTCTGTGTCCTTCTCAAATAAGCCCTATAGATGCTGAGTGGCCTGGGCCCCTGCCATGTGCTTGGGCTGAAAGAAAGACAGCACGTGGGGAGGTGAGCAGGAGCGAAGTTGAAGCAAATCTAGAATTGACATGGAAAGGACTTTGGACATAAATCCCTAGGCAGTGGTGAGCCACTGGTCCTACTCCAAGTGAAACAACATGATGAAACTGATATTGTGTTACAGTAACATTGGTAGTAGTACGGATCTGAAAGGAGATAGATTTTTGGGTGGCATGAATGATTAGGAGACTTCTAAATATCCTCCATGAAAGATTAGAAAGGGTTTATGTAAAGCATTGTGGAAGACATAGGCTTGAGGCTCTGGATTATGTTATCTCTTGGAAAGAGTGTTGGGTTTTATTCTGGAAGGGTTAAATGTAGGACTTGCTAGGTTCTATTTGAGCTTTGCCCTTCCTCTTAGGGAGCCCCAGCCTGTGGTCATCATTGCTAGTGCATGGCCTTCCCAGGGTCTTAGTGGGAATCACAGTGTATTCGCCACATCACTCCACTGCAACTGGGTCTGAATGCCCTGGCTCTTCTGAAATCTCTGCCCATGTCTTCAGCCTTCCAGAACTTGTTCTCTGCTCAGCCTTCTGGTCTGCCACCCTCTGCATACACAATTTAGGATCTGGCTCAGGAAAAAAAAAAAGGGGGGTTTCTTACATATAATTTTTGGGTTCCTTTTTACTACCCTGTGTCTTAAATCCCAGCTGTCTTGGAGTCAGTTATGTCCTATCTTCAATCACATAAACTAACGATATTTGGTACAGACATGTTTACTGACTTTACTTCACGTTACCATTCCACTCTTCACTCTTCTTTCTTGCAATTCAGACAGTCCTGAGGTCATTCTCCTTCTTCAGATCCATCTGGAATTCAGATGACTTCAACTCACCTGTCACCCACCCTATGCTTTGAGACATGTTTATGTTAGCTACTGACCTCAGGGTAGTCAAGCCTCTCATTGTCATTGTTATTCAAGGTAGGTTGAATCCCACTAAAAAACAAAAATCCTTGAAATTTGGTTTCCTTATTGAGAGCCACACAATGCAATCAAATTCTTTTTAATTCAATTTTTTTTTCTTTTTTGGTGGAAGGGCCAAGAACTGTTTCCTTGCTGAAGCAGACTCCTATTATAATAATTTGAATACTAACAACATTAACCTTTAAATCAGGTTGATGTTAGGTTCTTATCTAAGAATGAAGTATATCCAACTGTAGCAGGTTGAAGGTCTCTCATATATGTAACCTGTTCAGGACGAGACAATTCAACCACTTTTCTTAAATTCTGATCTACATGCCTTTACATTCTTTGCTTTAAGGGCCACATAAAAATACTCTGAAACAATTTACACATCAGAAAAATGCTAACACTTTCCTCCTGGCCCAGCACATCTCCAAGTTAAAAAAATCTCTAAATTATCAACCCATAGTTTAATCATGGTAACTCCCTTCTACCCCCAACATAGATTTTTATGTAACTGATTTGTAACTACAACCTTAACCGTACAATCACAATTGTCATTATAAAATACTAACAAACATGTGCTATTAACAATGGATGGTTAAAATCACTTAGGGATTATGAATCATTTCATTTTTGTGTTTATTTATTATGTCAGTTTCAAGCTGATTTCCCTTTCCCTTGTTCCACACACCTTGGGTTGTTCTTTTTCAGCATCCTGTGTATGTTAGCTCTAAGCCCAGCCAAGGCTCATGCCCCTCCACTTCAGGGACAGAGGGTGGCTCATCCCTTTCGTGCTCCCTCAGCTCCCTCCCCGGTGCCTGGTTGCTGGTTGGCATCACAGCCATGCCCTTGAAAGATGGGCGCTGGTCCACACTGCATCCGTGGTCATGTAGCCATCCTCCCTCCACAGAACCGAGCAAAAAGGGCTCCACCGCGCTTAGGCATTGAGGGAATGGACATTTTGAATGGTGCTGTCTTGTGTGATCCCTCAGAGGAGAAGGAGATTTCTTGAATGGGAGTGGTCTGTTGCTGAGAGGGATCCTGAAAGACACGGGGACAGAGACAGGGGTAGGATCCACATAATGAGGAAGCAGCTGAGAACAAAGGAGCCCCTGCCAGAGGAATATCCTTGGGGGGTAAAAAGCTGGCTCTGCCCTTTCTCCCCAGCCCATTCATCCCAGCCCAGACAATTCAAATCTGCCTTCTATCAGGACCTAGAAAGGATGTAAAACGGCCGGGTATAAATATCCCCTGGGTCTGGGGAAACTGTCAGGAGCAGTGACATCACAGGAAAAACCACCAACCAAGGCCAAGGAGACCAGAGCCCAGCACCTCACCCAGAGGACCCCAGTCAGAGGCCCCATCTCAGACCCGAGGCTAGCATGGGCTGCAGGCTGCTCTGCTGTGCGGTTCTCTGTCTCCTGGGAGCGGGTGAGTTGGGTTCACATCAGCTGTCCTTGAATTCGAAACTTTTTCCTTGTGATTTCAGCAACAAGCCTCCTCCTGGGCTCTGCCTGAATTTTGTCCCTTTCCCCCCGCAGTCCCCATGGAAACGGGAGTTACGCAGACACCAAGACACCTGGTCATGGGAATGACAAATAAGAAGTCTTTGAAATGTGAACAACATCTGGGGCATAACGCTATGTATTGGTACAAGCAAAGTGCTAAGAAGCCACTGGAGCTCATGTTTGTCTACAACTTTAAAGAACAGACTGAAAACAACAGTGTGCCAAGTCGCTTCTCACCTGAATGCCCCAACAGCTCTCACTTATTCCTTCACCTACACACCCTGCAGCCAGAAGACTCGGCCCTGTATCTCTGTGCCAGCAGCCAAGACACAGCCTTGCAGAGTCACCGCTTTCCTGTGTAGAAACCTTAGGGGCCCTCCAGGAAGCTGTGGGGGCCACCAAAGCCTTCGATGAACATTTCCTACAAGAGCCCCGACAGAAGATTCAGAACATCATAGCACCTTTAATGGCATAAAATATCTAGCATATAGTAGAAGCCTAGCTATTTTGATTTCCTTTGCTGATCTCAGACAACCTCTTCCACCACACCAATGTGCAAAGACAGATATGGACACATTCTGCCAAGAAATCTTAGGTTGAGGACTCAGAAGTCACAGAAATGGAAATATATATGCCTGATAATTCATCTGATAAAATTAACTAGAGGATGTAGCATACATATCTCCTCAGGCATTTAAAAATCAACATTATTGATCTTTAAAGTATATGAAGTTAACAGGACACCTTTTAAATGAACATATCTGTGATTTTTGAGCAACATATATCTATATATGCAACCCCACCTCTATGAAGATGTATCTGCATCACCCAGAAAGTCCCTCACTCCCCTCTGCAATGCCTCTGTCTGTCCCAGCAACCAATGATGTGACTTCTATCACTGGAGAGTCGTTTTGTTGGCAAATATTTTTAATGCAAATGTCAAACCTCTTCTGAATAATCCTCTTGAATACATAGCTAAATCATCAAGGCAGGGAGGAGTTCCTGGAGGTTTTATGGTTTTAGAAGTGGTTGAAGCCAGGTGAGCTACCTGACCCATGGTAGGGACAATTCTATCTGGAGATGGATATTGTGCCGAAATAACCTCAAAAGGTCTTTTCGGCTGGTAGAAGCTGATTCTACAAAATTTATTCATTTTCATTCGTTTATTTTCTCGTCAATTCATTCAATCAAACAATTTTATGTTACGTTTTGACAAAAGTTAATCATCTTTAAGGAAATTATTTTGAGTTCCCATCAGACACACAAGCAGCTGGGCTTTGTGTTCACACAGTGAGCATGCTGGGGTCAAGCAAACCATGATCACAGTGACTTCATTGACAGATGATGTCTTATTGGGAGAAGGGTTCTCTTTGACTTGACCCCATGTGTCCAACCCATAAAACCTGAGCCTTAGGCTAAAATCCATCTTCCTTTTCTCACCCTGCCTTGGGCACCAGGCCACTGTGCTGTGTGTTTCTCTGTCTCCTGAAGCAGAGTCCTGGGCGCAGATTTGGAACCTATTCGTGGGCTTGTTTGATCCCAGCTGTGACTTTCAGTACCAGGGGGTCCTTTGCTGTGACTTGAATTTGTGTTTTCTTTACTCTTAAGTTCCACAGATGCTGAGTGACCCAGACCCTGGTCATGCTCTTGTGCTGAAAGGAAACCAGCACATGGGGAGGTGAGCAGTATATGAAACAAAATCATGTATTTACAACCAGTGGCAAGACTTACTGGCAGGTGCTTTGTTCAAACACTGTTAGGAATTTGAAGATCATGGCAGTAGAATGTGAAACCAAGTGCAGGGTCCTTCCAAATGCAGGCCTCTGTGCACCAAAGATAGACTTTTGGAGCTCATTTTTTTTAAACAAAAACGGAAACAACACTCTATGTTCATGGCTGTAGGCCATGCGAGAATATTTTTTTAAATTTTAATTTAATTTTTATTTTTCCATATATTATTGGGGTACAGGTGGTATTTGGTTATATGAGTAAGTTTTTAGTGATGACTTGCAAGACTTTGGTGAACCCACCAGCTGAGCAGTATACACTGCACCATATTTGTAGTCTGTTATCCCTCACCCCCTCCTGCTGTTTCCCCAACACTTCCCCAAAGTCCGTTGTATCATTCTTATGCCTTTGTGACCTCATAGCTTCGCTCCCAAATATCGGTGAGAACATGCTATGTTTGGTTTTACATTTTTGAGTTACTTCACTTAGAATAATAGTCTCCCATCTCATCCAGGTAGATCATTCCAAATGCTGTTTATTCATTCCTTTTTATGGCTGTGTAGTATTTCATCATACATATATGATATATATATGATATATATGATATATATGTGATATATATGATATATATATGATATATATATATCACAGTTTCTTTATCCACTCGTTGATTGATGGGCATTTGGGTTGGTTCCTTTTTCTTTATCACTAAATTAATGGCAGCAATAAATCCAGAACATTCCTCATTACCCTAAAGTCAGCCCTGTCTCCCAAACTCCCTTACACATCAGGACACCTTTGTGCGCATAGATCATGGGCAGTGCTTGGCAGCCACCACTGTCCACACAGAGAGGGTAGTCAGTAGCGTTAGGTGGTTCTGCTTGCTGGGGTCTCACCCCAGGCACAGAAAGCAGGAGCCCTGGGTGGAGCTGAAAGTGCTCATCTGGGTTTGTCAGGAGTCCCATCTGTCAGTGAATTCACAAGAAACAGAACAAAACAACTCCTTCAATGTTGATGAGACTGCCCCTGGGATTTGGAAAGCTAATAACAGAGAAAACCAATATAGACAAAGGATTTTAAACAGGACTATCGGATTATGATCAATTAAGCAAATTAGAAAAGGATACTTGAAGGAGTATTTGGGACACAGGAATCAAAAACACCAGGAAGACATGAGGAGTTTTTCCAAGATTGTAGACTATAGCAATACTTAGATAACCAATACCAGTGTATTAATGAGTAATTATTAGTATTATTATTTTGAGATGGAGTCGCACTCTGTCATCAAGGCTGGAATGCAGTGGCATGATCTCGGCTTACTGCAACCTCCGCCTCCCTGGTTCAAGAATTCTGGTGCCTCCGCCTCCCGAGTAGCTGGGACTATAGGTGCACGTCAGGATGCCTGGATAATTTCTATATTTTTAGTACAGATGGGATTTCACCATGTTGGTCAGGCTGGTCTCCAACTCCTGGCCTGAAGTGATCTGCTCTCTTCAGCCTCCCAAAGGGCTAGGATTACAGGCATGGGCCACTATGCACAGCCAAGTAATTTGTATCATCATGGGAATAAAAAATATACATTGAGTTACAAACTAATTACCAAAAGATATTTAAAAAATGGTAGACTTGCATCGATTCAGACAAAGGCATTCTTCCCATCCAAACTGTTCACTGGTGCATTGATCTTGAATTTGACCATCTGGGGAAGGGGCGTGGCCTCTCCTGACAGCAAGGCTCTGGGGCCCAGGCAGGGAGAATGAGGTCTCAGAATGACGCCCTTGAAAGACGTGTTCCCTTTTCACCAATGCACAGACCCAGAGGACCCCTCCATCCTGCAGTTCCTGCCATGAGCCTCGGGCTCCTGTGCTGTGGGGCCTTTTCTCTCCTGTGGGCAGGTGGGTCCTGGGCGGGGCCCCTTGTGTGGATTTCAAGGCCCATCCCCTTTCCACTGGAGCTGTAGCATCAGCTTTGTCCTTCTCTGCAGGTCCAGTGAATGCTGGTGTCACTCAGACCCCAAAATTCCGGGTCCTGAAGACAGGACAGAGCATGACACTGCTGTGTGCCCAGGATATGAACCATGAATACATGTACTGGTATCGACAAGACCCAGGCATGGGGCTGAGGCTGATTCATTACTCAGTTGGTGAGGGTACAACTGCCAAAGGAGAGGTCCCTGATGGCTACAATGTCTCCAGATTAAAAAAACAGAATTTCCTGCTGGGGTTGGAGTCGGCTGCTCCCTCCCAAACATCTGTGTACTTCTGTGCCAGCAGTTACTCCACAGTGCTGCACGGCTGTCTCCTCTCTGCACAGAAAGGCAAGGGAAGGTGCTGCCCTCCTCCGCAGCACAGATTCAGCGATGCCCTTGGTCCTAGCACCGAAAACTTTGGAGCCCCAATGGGCCCGGGCAGTGCGAGCCTTCATCTGTGCCAGGTGCCTCTGCAGTCGGTCTCGGCCAGGCCTGGATCGGTCCCAGGACCTCAGATGTCTTCCTTGTTGCCCTCCGGTCTTTCCTCTGAGGTGTCCTTTTGGGCTAGTGCCAGGGGTTTCCCAGCTCTGACTTTCCTAGTCATTCACCTGAGTCTGAGGCCTCCTAGGTGAAATAGGATTTGTATTTCAGATCCATCTAGACTCCCGTCTCTACCTGGGTACCACGTGCTTTCCTCTCTCTATGATTTTTCCTCATGTTGAACCCTACGGTGGTCTCAGCTGCAGCCTGCATTTCCTATATTCACAGTCGCCCTCCAAGGCCTTGCTGGGTTTCTCCTCCCCGACCTCCCTGCCCTTCTCTACTCCAGCCATGTTGAGAGACTCCAAAGTCCATTTCCTGTGCCCTGGGCTGGAGCCTTCCTTTCTGTAGTGGTCAACACCTACCTGTGCTTCAGATCTCAGCATCATCAGCCCTAGTGATAATCACCATTATGCTTCCCTTGGCTCCCAGCTGAGGTCAGTTTCCCTCTCATAATCTCTCATGGTATCATGTGTCTGTTAATCAGTAGAATTTAGCACAGTTGGAATCTTCCAAGTACTTTAAACCCCATGAAGGCCAAGGCTATGCCTGGGTTATAAATCAGCAGCTGAGCCTGGCACAAGGGGAGATGCATTTCAGAGAATGGATGAGTCAGTGATGGAGTGAGTGATGAGTGGATGGATGAATCCATAACAGGAGCACCCTAGATCCATTTTACCCTTGCGGAGATCTGGCTGTAAGTACAAGAACTCTTACCCTTTTGATTGCTGGGCTACGGGAGGTCCTTGAAATTAATGGGGAGTCGCTATCATGGGCAGCCCCACCTTGGTCAAAGATTCCTCCTGAGTCTGCAGCACCAGACCTCCTCCAGGTCTCTGTGCTCTCCTTCAGACTCTTTCCCACAACAACTCTACACAGATCAGAGATCCCTTTCCAGAAACCCATGCATAGAGTTGTGTTATTTTGGAACCACTTCTGGTACCAAAAACTCCATTAGGTTTACATCAATAAAACAGAATCACTAAAAGTACTATGGAGAGGAGGATTTATGACAGGAGTTAGACCTTATATAAATGTAGGGGGAGCTGAGGAAGAGAAGGTCTGGAGGGGAGATATAGCTAGGCAGATTTAATTCATGATTAATGTGACCGTGACCTCTTATTCTACTCAAAGGAGAGCATATGATTTCAACAAAAAAAATATTGATTTTCCTTTGTAAAAGTTTGATCCAAATAGTGAGCTATTTTTGTCCCATAATTGTCTTAAGTTGGCTAATGGTGGAACAAATCCGACTTTGATTTCCTTGAAAGAACAGGAAAAAAACCGTCATTCATATACAGTCTTACAGGCTCTATTTCATGGAGGAAGCATAATAAATAGGAAAGAGAAAATCAGAATTCTCTTCTGGAACCTACATTGGGACTGTCCTCAGAGCAGGTTGTGATGTGAGGAATCAAATCTACAGGGGTATTTCGCAGCTTGGAGCGCAGCAGACTGTTCCCGACCCCATGCATTTGGGGGTGAGACCAGAGACAGTTGAAAAACTATGGAATCTTGACATTCTGCACTCTCAAGCCTGGCCTCTCCCTGAATTTCACAGATTAACATAAGACCAATTTATTCCGACTATTAAAAGTATTAGAACAAAAACCAAGGAGGACCAGTGAGCAGAAGCAATAAACCATTAAAATGGACATCCTAAAGATTTAAAATTTTGCCATCATAAGATGTGAACGTTTGAAGAGCTACATTTAAATGAATACAAGAAGGGACTGAAACAAGAATACACACAAAAAAGAGACGGCCCGAAACCATCAAAAAACATTAAAGAAATAATCAAATAGAATGTCTAGAAATCATTACGATTACTCCACAAAACAAAATGGAAGCTAAACAGCAGATTCAATGCTTCTAAAGAGATTGTTAGCAATATCAAAGGAGGATCTCAAGAAATCACCTAGAATGCAGCACAGAAAATTAAATGTAAAATATAAAAAAAGTGAAGGAACAAGGAAAAAATGAAGTTTCTAGAATATTAGAAAGCATATAATGTTTTATTGAAACTTTTCTTACTTTCTTGTATATAACTGACGTTTCAGAAAGAGAAAATAAGGCAAATGATCTGAGGTGATTGTGTATGTGATGCTAGCTGAGAATGTTCCTGAGATGTTTGAGGACCGAAATCCTCGTTCAAGAATTCAGATGAATTGCAAGACAAGTAGGCAAGTCCCTGTGAAACTGCAGACCATAAATGACAAAGAGAAGATTTTAACAGCAGTCAAAAGGGAAAGATAAATAACTTCCAGTGGAATAGAATGAAAGAAATAATCAAAGTCAAGAAAGAGGATTAAAAATAACCATTCAATAAGAATTGTAGTCCTCATTTATTGAAGATTGAGATTGATTTAAAAAAATCTATAGGACAGGAAAGAAAATATGGAAAACCAAAAGAATTCTGTGAGTTTGCCACCAAGGTATGTTTTCTGAATTATAGTTAACATGGGTGGGAAATGATCCCAGAAGAAAGGCATGAGGGCAGTTTGTGGGGGAACCCATGTGATGGGACAATCCCATTGGGCACGTGTGAGTGTGGGAATGGAGGAGGCTGGGGCATGAATGGGTATGGCAGAGGGCACCCTGAATTGCAGGAAAGACAATGAGCTCACTCCTTGGTGCCTGGTGTTGGGGGCACTGTTGGTGCATCCTACAGTACGTACCCAGCAGACAGAGGAGCGTCTCTGGGATGAGAAGGTGAACTTGGAGATGCAGTGAGGCCTCTGGGTCCAGACAGCATAGGTCAAAAAAAGAGAACCTGATCAAAGATGACTGAAAATAGAAATAGAGCAAAAAATGATATATGTGCCTGATGATTCATTTGATGAAATTAACTAGAGAACATAGTGTACATGCCTCCACAGACATTTTAAAATCAGCATTATTTATCTATAAATTATACAATATAAACATTACACATGTTAAATAAACAAATCAGTGAGCTATATATATATATATATATAGAGTGAGAGAGAGAGAGAGAGAGAGACATATATATATGGGTTATAAGGTTATATATGTATATCCTTATAACCACTATCCCTATACAAATGTCTCTATCACCCAGAAAGTTCTCTCACACCCCTTGGCAATGACTGTTTCCATCTCTGACAACCAAATGATATGAATTCTATCACTGGAGAATACATTTTTCTCAAAAAATCTATTAGTAACATTTTAAAACCTGTATCGACTAATCCTTTTTTAATACATACATTTAAGAGTGCAAGGTGGTCCTGGAAAGTTTTATGGTTTAAAAGTAAAGTTCTGTGAGCTACCTGATCCATGTTAGGGACAATCCTATCTGGAGATAGATAAGATGATGAAATAGCCTCCAAATTACTCTCCAGCTGGTGGAAGCTCATTCTCCAAAATTATTTATTCATTTTTATTGATTTCTTTACTCATTTACTCACTCATTCAAATTATTTATTTTATAATGATATTGTGACAACAATTCATCATTTTAATGAAATTATTTTGAGTTCCCATCTGACACATACTTAACTGGCCTTCAGGTTCACACACTGAATGCAATGGGACCAAACAAACCATGGTAATAGTGACTTTGTTAAGAGATGATGTCACATGTGGAAAAGGGTTCTATTTGCTTTTACCCCAAGTATCCAACCCATAAAACCTGAGCTTTGAGCTAGAAAATCTCCCTTTTTGTTCTGGCCCTACCCTGGGCACCAGGCTCCTGCACCATGTCTCCTTCTGGGTTCTGGCCCAGAGAAGTTCTTGGCACAGTTGTAGCACCCACTCATGGGCTTGCTGGATCCCAGCTGTGAGTGACAGTAGCAGGCCCCCCTTTGCTCTGACTTTAATTTCTGTGTCCTTCTCAAATAAGCCCTATGGATGCTGAGTGGCCTGGACCCCTGCCATGTGCTTGGGCTGAAAGAAAAACAGCACCTGGGGAGGTGAGCGGGAGCAAAGTTGAAGGAAATCTAGAATTGACAGTGGAAGGAGGAGATGAGGAATATCAATTATGGCATTAAGTACCAGTGATAGTAGCAGGACTGTATCTTATTTCCTTAAACCTCTGATACTTGTACAGATAGCAGCTGACCACAACCTTGAAGACCTATTTGGACTCAATGGAAATAATGCATGAGTGGACTGTATCAGTTGCCTCTATTACCACCTCATACTCTCTTGGTTCCACCTTTGATTCCAGCCACAGCTATGATGAACAGTTCTATGCAGACACTGACCTGCTCCATAGTTACCGCACCTCACCTTCAATGTGGCCACGTGTTCCCAAAACACGCTGTTGCTGAGGCATGAGACACATTGGTGGTCTGCATGGCGCTTGTTCATGCACAATGAAGTGTGAGTGAGTTAATGTCCTATGGGGCAATTCTCAACCACTGGAGAATGAGAACTGGTGGATAAAAGCCTTGGCATTAGTCTCAGGCTCCTAGAAAGGCCTAGTTTGATAGCCAGCCACCTATCTATAGAGATGGCCTGATTAATATGTTTTCCTTTGTATTTTCTCTGCTTTTTGTTTCTCTGATTCAGTATGGATATTTTCACCTGACCTATCTTCCAGTTTATCTAGTCTTTTCAGCTTTATCTATCCTTCTTTAAAATATATATATATATTTTTTTCCTAAATTTTATGTATTTCATATATTTCAGTTCTGGAATTTCCACTTCAATCTTGACTACAGTATTCAGTTGTCTGCTAAAATTCTCCATTTTGTCATTTCCTTTTTGATTATATTAACATCAGTTATTTTAAAGGCAGTGTCTGATAACACATCTCTGTTGGTGTCTATTTCTTTTGTCCGCTTTCTTTTTTTTAATTTTTGGTCATGCAATGTTGTTTTCTCACACAATCAACAATTCATTTGAATGCTAGGTATTGCATATAAAAATTACAGAGATAATGAGGCTCTGAATGATTTCATCTTCCTCAGAAAGGATTCATGTTTGCTTCTGCTGGAAATTGTAGCAGAGACAGGTCACCTTAATTGAGTTGATGACTGAGCTGGATCAGAGCTGGGATTCAGCCTTCCTGATGGCTTCTCAACTTTGCTATTAGCCATTAAACTTCCAACTAGATTTCTGGAGTATTTTACCAGCTTATTAAAGTGTAAATTACATAACATAATATTTGCCTACTGGAAGTGTGTAATTTAATGAGTTTTGATAAATTTGTGGAGTTGTGCAACAATCACCATGATCTAGCTCTAAAATATTTCATCCTCCCTACCCAGAAAGTTCCTTCGTGCTCATTTTCAGTCAATCTCTGCTTCTACCCCCAGCACCAAGGCCTGGGGTCTTTGCCAGGCTCCTCTCCTACTCAGTAGTCACTGAACGTAAATGTTCTCCAGGCCAGAAAGGTGGTGGATGCTCCTCAAAGCCTTTGGCCCATCAGTCCTCCCTTTCTTCTTAGCTTCTCAGCCATCAAATGAAATTGACAAATGAATTTAAGGGAAAAGTAGGTTTTTTTTTTTTTTTAGATTTATCCGTTTTCTATGATATCCCTATCTTTTACGCTCTTACTGCCCCAGTAGCTCCAAGTGCCTTCAAACATTTATGTTTTATATTTTGTTAAGCTTTTCTAGTTGTTTTTGGTGGAAGTGTTGTTCTGCCACTATCCAGTCTATTAACTCTGAAAGTCAGTTTTTATATTTATTAAAGATGAAGTGCAATTGAGTTGGTAGGTTTGTATGTTTGTATTATGGTGGAAACTTCCTGAAGAGAGTGAGGAGTGAAGCCCCTCTAGTCTCCCGTCACGTGTCCCTAATAAGACCTCTACCACCCTGCTGCCTTTGTTCCACTACTGGACTGAGCCTTGACACGTTTGACCCTTTGGCCACAAGGAGGAGCTGTGACTCTGCTGAGATTCAGAGAACTTGGAGGAAGGAGAGACAATTCTCTGGATGGCAGAGGGTTAATAGAAAGATTGAGTTTATTTACAACAAGGGAAAATGTGGTCTGCAAAGAATGCTAGTCAAGGCTCTAAGTGTGAGGGTTAAATACAGACTATTCATTTTGCTTTGATATGCAGGCGCTTTTGTGCTATGGAAGAGCCTGGACTGTCAGACTTCCACTGGAGCGTGCATGGGATTAGAAAGGACAAGGCATGAGCTGGGGAGAGTGGGAGCCCACAAGCAGACACAGATGGAGGACCCCTTCCCAAGAGGAATAAGAGAGGCTCTGGGTGCTGGGCCGTTGCTCCAGCTCAGCCCAATACAGCTGAGCCCTGCCATGAAGTGAGTCTGGCCGGCCAGGGGTCCCTTGGGGATCTTGCAGAGAATAATAACTCAGGGAAATCTTCTTATGAGACCAAAGGTGACCTACAGCCCTGTTCTCCTCACTCTAAATTATCGGGGAATTAAGCTAGAAAGAAGTTTTTTCTTGTTCCTCTTCTGGATGGTCCTCTGAGTTTTTGGAGCAGGAGCTCCCCACAGTGATAGGAAACCCCTCTCCTAGGCCTGAGCAAATGTTTCTATCAAAACAGCATCACCAGACTCCCTTCCAGCTTCCATTTCCAAGTTCTTTCCCTATCTACGAAGAACCGTGGAAGCTAGACTTGTCCAGACGTCAAAGGATCTGATGATGCCAAAACACCTGGAGATAGGAAAGAAGGTGGCATTGACAGACTGCCAGGATGCACACCTGAAACGCACTTTGTTTTCACTACAGGCTCGTGTTTCACATTTTAAAAAAGCATTTGGAACTTCCCTGACTTCTTGGAAATCCAAAAATACAACAAAGTTACATTTTAGTAGACTCTAGTCAGTCATCTGGCAGGAAAAAGCTTCAGGATATAAATAAAAGTATAAATAGTAGTATATACATATATATACTAATTATTTATATATAACCTTACATGTATATATACTACATACATGTATGATTATGTATACATATACTATACATAATATAGTGTATACGATACATGTACTATATACAATATATACTATATTATATATATTCTGTATTACATATAGTATATGTATATGCATGTATTACCATATATGTATATATACATGTATGTATACGCATATATTACTATATATGTATATATACATGTATGTATATGCATACATTACCATATATGTATATATACATGTATGTATATATGTAGGCTGGATGACTAGAGCCTACATCAAATGTAACTTTGTTGTATTCTTGAATTTCCAAGAATCAAGGGAAATTTGAAACGTATATATCCAAGTATGTAGTGTGTGTGTATATATATATATACATACATGTATGGTAATGTATATACATGTATATTATATATACTACATGTAATATACATGTATATATTATATATACATGTATATATATACATGTATATATTATATATACATGTATATATATACATGTGTATATTATATATACTACGTGTAATATACATTTATATATACATGTATTTATATATACCACTACCACATACATGTGTATATATATACTACCATACATGTGTATATATATACACTATTTTTATATATAATATATACTACGATACATGTTCTAGCATATTGCCTGAAGTAAAAGTCCAGCCAAATAGTTTAAAAGGAAAACCATGAGCCTTCCTGTGAAGATTAATTTTGCATTTCATCTTGAAATGGAACAAAGAAATCTACTGAAGATAGTCAATTCACTTCTATATACGGAAGTCTACATTTATCAGCTTTCTACAGTATGAGCGACTTTCAAATCTCCTAAAAGTTACACAAATCAGAATATGCAGAACACACATTTCTAAGCTCAATATTAAATATGTAAAGTGACTAACTTGAACGTAAGAGTTGGACGTTCAGGGTCCTCCTGTGATTTCTTCATTCCCACCATCACAAAACATCTACACCTTCTTCTCAGTAACAAAAATGAGATGACATAAAATCATTTTTCATAGTTAATAAATAATACCTATGCATCATGACATTGCATTGATTTTTTGTTAATGGTTGTTTTCAAATGACTATAAATTAAACATTTATAATCTATACAATAGAAATAATAAATGTAAA
Source organism: Homo sapiens (assembly GCF_000001405.40). Lineage (NCBI taxonomy): Eukaryota > Metazoa > Chordata > Mammalia > Primates > Hominidae > Homo > Homo sapiens. Next base: position 319,815 of record NT_187562.1, read on the forward strand.
TATTTTAAGTGGATACATGAGATTTTAGTAGCCAAACAGGCTCACACCTGTAATTCCAGCACTTTGGGAGGCCAAAGTGGGAGGATCACTTGGGCCCAGGAGTTCAAGACCAGCCTGGGCAATATAGGGAGATCCTGTCTCTGTATTTTAAAAAATAGTTATACAGAAAAGTAACATGAAATAGTCTGCAACAGGATGTCCTATCTGGGTTTGATCTGAATTTCCATTTAGAAAACAGACAGGCACTGGTCCATCTGCGGGCATAGGTTCTCATGAATTGATGTGCATGTTGACTTTTGTATTTTGTCAAAGTTAAAGGAGATATTTTGATCAGAGTCAGAGCCACAAGTAACTAGCAGGAAACTGAGTGGGATGGAGGTTATGCCATGGTCCTTGCTTCCTTGCAGAGCTAAGAAACCAGTTGTGAGCACCAGCGAAAAGAGACAAAGTCAGATGAAACTGAAATCTTCATGGGACTCTGTGCCCAAGAAAACCAGCTTGACAGGATTGGGCACAAGAGCTATTCCTTCCATCCTACGCTGCCAGAGCACACAGCACAGTTTCCCCCATGAGCTCTTGGGGAGCTGGAGGAGGGAGATAGCTGTGCTGGGCGGAGTCGTATTCCCATGGGAAGTCCAAAAAGTAGAGGCAGGGATGGAGGTTTTCCTTCTAGAAAGAGTGGAAGATTTTGTTTACAAACGTACCCATACACATGCCTTTCTCCCGAAGACCCAAACTTTGGGGAATTGCCTAAATATAACAAGGAGGTTAAATATTGGACAGCCAAAAATAGGACCGAAGCCAATCTCTTCTGAAGTAGGTGTAGTCACTGTGCATTAGTCAGATATTCAAATGAGCAAAGATTCAAGAGGAAAAAAAAAAGCATTATTGGAAAAGGAAGCAAAAGATCAAGAGAAGAAAACCAGCCTGACTCTGAGAGGAGAGCCCAAAAGGGAGAGGAAGGGAGGAGGTCGTCAGATCCCGGGTAGGGAGCAGGGAGGGAGGGGGTACAGGCACAGGAATGACTGTCAGAGACACATCCTGGAGGCCACAAGTCCACTCTCTCAACTATTCCCAGAAATTCCAAAAACTCCTTTAAAGAAGCCAGTGCAGGGCATGAAAGGGAGGAGCCATGCTAGAGGAGATCCTGGGAATGGGGGAATGATTACAGGCTGTGACCTCAATGGCACAGCACCTCTCAGAGGCAGTGGAAACCACAGCCTAGTCTTCTCACCACTGCAGACCAGAATCCTGCCCTGGGCCTTGCCTGGTCTGCCTGACTCGGCCATGGGCTGCAGGCTCCTCTGCTATGTGGCCCTCTGCCTCCTGCAAGCAGGTGAGTCCTGGGCCCAAGTGACAAGATCCTGTTGGAGTCCCCGAGCCTTTTCACCATGACAACAACAGGAGGCTACCTCCTGGGATTTGCCTGAATTCTGCTTCTTTCCTTTACAGATCCACTGGACACAGCCGTTTCCCAGACTCCAAAATACCTGGTCACACAGATGGGAAAAAAGGAGTCTCTTAAATGAGAACAAAATCTGGGCCATAATGCTATGTATTGGTATAAACAGGACTCTAAGAAATTTCTGAAGACAATGTTTATCTACAGTAACAAGGAGCCAATTTTAAATGAAACAGTTCCAAATCGCTTCTCACCTGACTCTCCAGACAAAGTTCATTTAAATCTTCACATCAATTCCCTGGAGCTTGGTGACTCTGCTGTGTATTTCTGTGCCAGCAGCCAAGACACAGCCTTACAGAGCCACTGCATCCCTGTGCACAAACCTCCCGGCTCAGCCAGGAAGCTGTGGGCCGTGTGTGCACCTGCACCCAAGGCTCCAGTCTCCATTCCCTGATGGCCTCTGATGGAGTTTCAGTCTGTAGTACAGCCTCTGCCAGTGCACCTGATGTGGCAATTCTCCATTTTATGTACACAGAACTCTCAGAATTCTGTTTATCAGCTAAAGCAGGGGTTCACAACAAAGTCAGCAAAGTATCAGAGCTCAACTAACAAAACAGGAGCCTGTCCCATGCACTGAAGGTCTTTACTGATGGGAGAAGCCATTTCTTGTCTTTGTCTGCTGCACATATGGGTCCATATTTTACTAATGTTATGATTATAAACACACTGTAGGCAAAAATGGTTGATGAGCCTAAGCATAAAGAAGAGGGGAAGGAAAGTATTTCTAAGATCAAGAGACAATTTGGATTATCAGTGAGTATTTTGTTTGACAGAGAAATATTTTGAGAGGCGTGAAATTCCATGGCAATAGGTAAACTGGAAAGTGTTGAGGAGAAGTCAGTGGAGGCAGCCTTGTGCATTGTCGGCTCCTTCTCTTCAAGAAGGGTGACCAGCAAGAGTTTCTCCCAATTCTGATGAGTGTCATCTTGAACTCTCCTCAAGAGCAGGTGACAGCTGGATGACAGGGGATATTGGGAGACATGGAAAGGAATTTTGACACAAATCCCTAGGCAGTGGTGAGCCACTGGTCCTACTCCAAGTGAAACAACATGATGAAACTGATATTTTGGTACAGGAACACTGGTAGTAGTATGGATCAGAAAAGAGATAGATTTTTGGGTGGCATGAATGATTAGGAGACTTCTAAATACCCTCCATGAAAGACTAGAAATCGTTTATGTAAAGCATTGTGGACGACATAGGCTTGAGGCTCTGGATTATGTTATCTCTTGGAAAGAGTGTTGGGTTTTATTCTGGGACGGTTGAATGTAGGACTTGCTAAGTTCTATTTCAGCTTTGCCCTTCCTCTTAGGGAGCCCCAGCGTGTGGTCATCATTGCTAGTGCATGGCCTTCCCAGGGTCTTAGTGGGAATCACAGTGTATTCGCCACATCACTCCACTGCAACTGGGTCTGAATGCCCTGGCTCTTCTGAAATCTCTGCCCATGTCTTCAGCCTTCCAGAACTTGTTCTCTGCTCAGGCTTCTGGTCTCCCACCCTTCTGCATACACAATTTAGGATCTGACTCAGGAAAAAAAAGGGGGTTTTCTTACATATAATTTTTGGGTTCCTTTTTAGTACTCTGTGTCCTAAATCCCACGTGTCTTGGAGTCAGTTATGTCCTATCTTCAGTCACATATACTACTGCTATTTGGTACAGACATGTTTACTTGACTTTACTTCACGTTTGCCATTCCACTCTTCACTCTTCTTTCTTGCAATTCAGACAGTCCTGAGGTCATTTTCCTTCTTCAGATCCATCCCATATTCAGATGACTTAAAATCACCTGTCACCCATGCTGTGCTTTGAGAAATGTTTATGTTAGCTACTGACATCAGGGCAGTCAAGCCTCTCATTGTCATTGTTATTCAAGGTAGGTTGAATTCCATTAAAAAATAAAAATCCTTGAAATTTGGTTTACTTATTGGGAACCACACAATGATATCAAATTCTTTTTAATTCAATTTTTTTTCTTTTGTGGTGGAAGGGCCAAGAATTGTTTCCTTGCTGAAGCAGACTCCTATCATAATAATTTGAATACTAACAACGTTATTTTAATACTAACAACGTTAACCTTTAAATCAGATTGATGTTAGGTTCTTATCTAAGAATGAAATATATCCAACCGTAGCAGGTTGAAGGTCTCTCATATATGTAACCTGTTCAGGACGAGACAATTCAACCACTTTCCTTAAACTCTGATCTAAATGCCTTTACATTCTTTGTTTTAAGGGCCACATAAAAATACTCTGAAACAATTTACACATCAGAAAAATGCTAATACTTTCCTCCTGGCCCAGCACATCTCCAAGTTAAAAAAATCTCTAAATTCTCAACCCATAGTTTAATCATGGTAACTCCCTTCTACCCCCAACATAGATTTTTATGTAACTGATTTGTAACTACAACCCTAACCCTACAATCACAATTGTCATTACAAAATACTAACAAACATGTGCTATTACCAATAGATGGTTAAAATCACTTAGGGATTATGAATCATGTCATTCTTGTATTTATTTGTACTTATTCTTTGTGTTTATGTATTATGTCAGCTTCAAGCTGATTTCCCTTTCCCTTGCTCCCCACACCTTTTGTTGTTCCTTTTCAGCATCCTGTGTATGTTAGCTCTAAGCCCAGCCAAGCCCCATGCCCTCCACTTCAGGGACAGAGGGTGGCTCATCCCTTTCGTGCTCCCTCAGCTCCCTCCCCAGTGCCTGGTGGCTGGTTGGCATCACAGCCATGCCCTTGAATAATGGGCGCTGGTCCACACTGCTTCTGTGGTCATGCAGTCATCCTCCCTCCACAGAGCTGGGCCAAAAAGGGCTCCACTGCCCTTAGGCATTGAGGGAATGGACATTCTGAGTGGCACTGTCTTGTGTGATCCCACAGGACAGAAGGAGATTCCATCAATGGGAGTAGTCTGTTGCTGAGAGGGATCCTGAAAGATAGGGGGACAGAGACACACTGGGAGGATCCACATAAAGAGGAAGCAGCTGAGAACAAAGGAGCCCCTGCCAGAGGAATATCCTTGGGGAGTAAAAAGCTGACTCTGCCCTTTCTCCCCAGCCCATTCATCCCAGCCCAGACAATTCAAATCTACCTTCTATCAGGACCTAGAAAGGATGTAAAACGGCTGGGTATAAATATCCCCTGGGTCTGGGGAAACTGTCAGGAGCAGTGACATCACAGGAAAAACCACCAACCAAGGCCAAGGAGACCAGAGCCCAGCACCTCACCCAGAGGACCCCAGTCAGAGGCCCCATCTCAGACCCGAGGCTAGCATGGGCTGCAGGCTGCTCTGCTGTGCGGTTCTCTGTCTCCTGGGAGCGGGTGAGTTGGGTTCACATCAGCTGTCCTTGAATTCCAAGCTTTTTCCTTGTGATTTCAGCAACAAGCCTCCTCCTGGGCTCTGCCTGAATTTTGTCCCTTTCCCCCCACAGTCCCCATGGAAACGGGAGTTACGCAGACACCAAGACACCTGGTCATGGGAATGACAAATAAGAAGTCTTTGAAATGTGAACAACATCTGGGTCATAACGCTATGTATTGGTACAAGCAAAGTGCTAAGAAGCCACTGGAGCTCATGTTTGTCTACAGTCTTGAAGAACGGGTTGAAAACAACAGTGTGCCAAGTCGCTTCTCACCTGAATGCCCCAACAGCTCTCACTTATTCCTTCACCTACACACCCTGCAGCCAGAAGACTCGGCCCTGTATCTCTGCGCCAGCAGCCAAGACACAGCCTTGCAGAGTCACCGCTTTCCTGTGCAGAAACCTTAGGGGCCCTCCAGGAAGCTGTGGGGGCCACCAAAGCCTTCGGTGAACATTTCCTGCAAGAGCCCCGACAGAAGATTCAGAACATCATAGCACCTGCTCATTCATCCATGTGGCAACGTTACATCCTATGCTCATATTTAGAGTGTGGGTTTTCTTTAGCGTGTGACTCTGCCCTGTTAACTGATTTGAAAAATGATAAACACATTCAGATCTAGTCTTTTTAAAATCCCTTTTTAAATTGTAAAATAAAGCAAGCATGCTATAAGGGGATTGTTTGGTTTAAGATGTTATAAGACCCTCTCAACAACCACCTGCGTCACTACAGAGTCATACCCTGCACTGGACCACAGAGTGTCCTGTGAGGAGCCAAGTTCTTCTGACACTTTATGCCTGGTGGTCTCCGTGCCTCTCTTTCTCAGTAACCAGGGGTCCATTCTGTCATAGGTTGCTGACACCCAAGGTCAAGCAGCACTGGGTTTGGGGGAATCATAGAGGCAACTTCCAGGCAAGGGTCCCAGGGCGGGAGCCAGCTGGAGAGAACAGTAGACAACTGAGCTTTTGGGGAATGGGTTTGAGAAATATCTGTCAACCCAATTCTATTATTCTATCTTCCATCTTGTCTCTTCTCTATTGTTCTTATTTAAACTCCAAGCTAGAGCGTAAATTCCAGCCCTGATCAAAGCTCCATATCCCTCACAGACACCTTCTCTGAACCCCGCAGGCAGCAAATGTGCCTCTGTCCACTCCCATTTGTGTGGGCGGTAAGCCACCCAAGTCCTGAGGCAAGAGACCGAGGGCACGAGCTGTTCCAGTATAATAAAGAAAATATATAAAATAAGAATAGTTATACTAGTAATAGATTATAGATATGATGGTATACAAATATTATGAATAATCAGTTTGTAGCATTACTCTTCATTCCAATATTATAATAATCCTTGCTCTACAATTATAACCTAGGAAAAACCAGGCCATACAGAGATAGGAGCTGAAGGGGCACGGTGAGAAGTGATCAGAAGACAAGAGTGTGAGCCCTCTGTCATGCCCAGACAGGGCCCCTAGAGGGCTCCTTGGCCTTGTGGTAACCCCAGAGCCTGGGAGGAAGCCCCTTGCCTAGAGGACCTTGGTCTAGCCTTAGCGTCAGTGCCTAGAAAAAGCACCCATTACTTAGCCGACCAGGAAAGGGAGTCTCCCTTTCCCCGGGGGAGTTAGAGAAGATATTGCGTGTGGCTAGGCTTGGTGCTCACGCCTGTAATCCCAACACTTTGGAAGGCTGAGGTGGGTGGATCACGAGGTCAGGAGGTCAAGACGAGTCTGGCCAACATAGTGAAACCCTATCTCTACTAAAAATACAAACAATTAGCGGGTTGTGGTGGTGTGTGCCTGTAATCCCAGCTACTTGGGAGGCTGAGGCAGGAGAATCACGTGAACCCGGGAGGCAGAGGTTGCTGTGAGCTGAGATCTTGTCATTGCACTCCAGTCTGGGTGACAGCGTGAGACTCCACCTCAGGAAAAAAAAAAAATAAAACGATACCGTATGTGTGAATGTGTGTGTGCCTATGTGTGTGAGTGCGTGCATGTGTGTGCATGGATGTGTGTGTGCATGTGCATGTGTGTGGATGGTGTGGATGTGTGTGTGTGTGTGTACGTGTACATGTGTGTGTGTTCTTGTGGAAACTCACCCACATGGACCCAGGTTCTCTGGGTGGCATTACTGAGAGGTGCTGGGTCACTGGTAGAGCTCATAGGCAGTTCTGGGGAGTGACAGGAAATGTCACAGCCAATTGAATCTGCCTAAGTTACAGCTGATAGGGTTGTTTATTTCAAGATTTTGTAAGTTCAGAAATAGATTTATAAAAAATCCAAGAATTTTCTTTCTAAAATGCACTACCTAAAACTTGCTGATAATTCATTTAAATACAAAATATGAGAACATGGGTCTGATTAATCAAAAGGAACGATTGAATACAGTTTCCAGGATAGGGCTGTTTGATATCTTCACACTGTTTAAATCTGTGGCCTGTATTTTTCAGGCTCCTCTCGTCCATCCTAGCATACTAATTGCAATGCTGTAACATTGTTTATTTTGCAATCAAAATGTTGGTTAATGCTTGCTTTTGCTAGCTAAAGGTGAACTTTCAGATCAACCCTATATTGGCCCTTCTGGGCAAGTATACAGAGGGTGTGTGTGAGAGGGTGGGGATTGCAGGAGTGAGGGCAGGGCATCTCTCTTCCTTCTCTGGACAATCTTGAGTTCATCAGGCCAGGTGTGAATCCGTGAGACTGTGGATCTTTGGCCACTTGGAGGCGCTGTAGCTCCACGATGCTGTAAGAAACCCTGGGCAGGGCTGGAGAGTGGCCAGGAGAAGAGGGCTGAAGGGGATGCCTGGCTGCCTGCTGCCATCAGGGGCCCTTTGGGATTCCCTGAGTGGGCCTGGACATGTGGAATTAAGCACAGACCCCTCACTGCCAAAGAAGGGTAGGGATGCTAGAGTCCTCAGTTTGTACCAAGGAGGGAGGGTGTCTGCCTCTGCGTGGGCAGTGGAGGGTGAAGGGGCTGGGGTGGCAAGGGCTGGGAATAAGTGTCAGGCCTGGGACAGGGAGGACATAGGAAAGGCAGGTGTGATGGGGCATGTGGGGGCTGTGCTCCACCCGCTCCACCTTTAGTTTCAGGGCTGTGTAAGACAGGAAGATCTCATGGAGTAGCAAAGCCTGGGCCCTGCCAATGGTTGCAGAGTGCAGGGGTGGCCGGCAGAGGGAGTAACTGGGAAAGGCCAGTTCCCCAAGGAAATGCCAGAAACTTTCCTGCCCCATTCAGAAAGTGACTGTGAGGCGGGTGCTTCCAGCCAGAGGGGCTCAGGCCCTGCTGAGCTGACAGCGTTTTCTTTCCCAGACATTCTCTGCTGCTTCTATATGTGATCTGTTTTAATGCTCACTGAAATCACAAGTATTTATTATTTTGACTGTTTTTGTATCTGAGGGAAGGCAGCTGTCCCTGGTCTCATATTTAATAACTGGCTGTCGTGTGCTCTCCAACACCTCTCCACCCTCCCTACTCAGTACATCTGTCCCGTCATCTGGCTTCCTCTCTCCAGGTCCCATTAGCAGGAGGGGAAGGTCATGCCTCCTATGTGACCATTAGAACCTCTTCCTTGACAAGTCCAAGAAACACGTGACTTCCGGGCCAAGCATATCCATTCATTCTTCATTGCAGCCAAAAGAAAGATGAAATTTTCTACCCTGTAGACTTTCTGTCACTAATGCAATGTACCTTGAGGAAAAGTAACATGAATAACTGTTATTCATTAGTTAATTTCTTTTATATCCTTTATTCAATAAAGTCTTTGAGGCCCTTTCTTTGTATATTTTATGACATAAAATAAAAAATGGGAAAAATTGTTTAATAACAAATATTTCTTACTTTTTAGAGTATTAAGGCTTAAATTTATTTTGTTTTATTTTAGTTTTATATTCAAAGTACTTTACTCAGTTTCTGAATTACAAAAATTTCCCTTTCTTTCTCTGTCTCTCTTTAGCTACCTCCCTCATTTTTTTTGCCAGCATTTTAATTTAATGTGGTAGGAACATGTAACATGAGATCTGTATTTTAAATAGATTTTTAAGTGTACAATACAGTATTGTAATCTACAGGTACAAGGTTGTACAGAAGCTCTCTAGCTCTTACTTATCTTGCTGAACTGAAATTTTATACCTGCTGACAGCAACTCCCCATTTTCTCCATTCCCAGCCCATGGATATCACCATTTTTATCTTTGCTTTCATGAGTTTGGCTTTTAGGTAGCCTGCTATAAGCAGAATCAGGGAGTATTTGTCTTTCTGTGCCAGGCTTAGTCACTTATCACAGTGTCCTGCAGCTTTATCCATGTTGTCACGAGTGACGGGGTTTTCTTCTTTTTAATGCTTAATAATATTCCATTGTATGAATATACCACATTTATGGACTTTGACTGTTTCTATGAAACTGTCTGTCACATAAGTGGGAGAGTCATTTGCAGAACTGAAAGCTTGGATTACATGAATGGGCATTCACATTTCAATTCTACTCCATGGGCAAGACGGAGAATAAAATAATGATTCCATCATTTACTCTTACTTTGCTATACACAAAATAGAAGTCCTGCTTTTGGGAAGTTTCAGTTATTTAGAAATTCGACTGTCAGAAGAAAACCCTAAGACACAAATGCTTTTCTCATTGTACACGTGAGAGAATTGGCTCATTGGTTAAATAACCTGACCAAATTAAATAGCTATTAGGATGCAGTACTGATCCTCCAACCCTGCCCAGTCTAAGTTCCATGTTTATAGCTCTATGCTATAAAATATTTCATAAAGCTGCCAACCTAGAAAACATTGGAAAGTTTTCCCCTACATCCCCTTTAGGCCTGCTGGCTCTAATAGCATCATAGTCAGAGATCAGTTTACCCTGGAGATGGTGGAGTAGGGAAAGAAGTCTGAAGAGGCACCATGACTCCCCGCCCTGACTCCCACTCTAACACCAGCTCATCAAGACCTGAGGCCAGTTCTTAACGGGTTAACTTAAGTTTTTCAGTTTTTTTTTTACCTATAAAATGAGACTACTACTGTCCATCAGCAGAGTTCTAGATAACCTTTAATGGCATAAAATATCTAGCATATAGTAGAAGCCTAGCTATTTTGATTTCCTTTGCTGATCTCAGACAACCTCGTCCACCACACCAATGTGCAAAGACAGATATGGACACATTCTGCCAAGAAATCTTAGGTTGAGGACTCAGAAGTCACAGAAATGGAAATATATATGCCTGATAATTCATCTGATAAAATTAACTAGAGGATGTAGCATACATATCTCCTCAGGCATTTAAAAATCAACATTATTGATCTTTAAAGTATATGAAGTTAACAGGACACCTTTTAAATGAACATATCTGTGATTTTTGAGCAACATATATCTATATATGCAACCCCACCTCTATGAAGATGTATCTGCATCACCCAGAAAGTCCCTCACTCCCCTCTGCAATGCCTCTGTCTGTCCCAGCAACCAATGATGTGACTTCTATCACTGGAGAGTCGTTTTGTTGGCAAATATTTTTAATGCAAATGTCAAACCTCTTCTGAATAATCCTCTTGAATACATAGCTAAATCATCAAGGCAGGGAGGAGTTCCTGGAGGTTTTATGGTTTTAGAAGTGGTTGAAGCTAGGTGAGCTACCTGACCCATGGTAGGGACAATTCTATCTGGAGATGGATATTGTGCCGAAATAACCTCAAAAGGTCTTTTCGGATGGTAGAAGCTGATTCTACAAAATTTATTCATTTTCATTCGTTTATTTTCTCGTCAATTCATTCAATCAAATAATTTTATGTTACGTTTTGACAAAAGTTAATCATCTTTAAGGAAATTATTTTGAGTTCCCATCAGACACACATGCAGCTGGGCTTTGTGTTCACACAGTGAGCATGCTGGGGTCAAGCAAACCATGATCACAGTGACTTCATTGACAGATGATGTCTTATTGGGAGAAGGGTTCTCTTTGACTTGACCCCATGTGTCCAACCCATAAAACCTGAGCCTTAGGCTAAAATCCATCTTCCTTTTCTCACCCTGCCCTGGGCACCAGGCCACTGTGCTGTGTGTTTCTCTGTCTCCTGAAGCAGAGTCCTGGGCGCAGATTTGGAACCTATTCGTGGGCTTGTTTGATCCCAGCTGTGACTTTCAGTACCAGGGGGTCCTTTGCTGTGACTTGAATTTGTGTTTTCTTTACTCTTAAGTTCCACAGATGCTGAGTGACCCAGACCCTGGTCATGCTCTTGTGCTGAAAGGAAACCAGCACACGGGGAGGTGAGCAGTATATGAAACAAAATCATGTATTTACAACCAGTGGCAAGACTTACTGGCAGGTGCTTTGTTCAAACACTGTTAGGAATTTGAAGATCATGGCAGTAGAATGTGAAACCAAGTGCAGGGTCCTTCCAAATGCAGGCCTCTGTGCACCAAAGATAGACTTTTGGAGCTCATTTTTTTTAAACAAAAACGGAAACAACACTCTATGTTCATGGCTGTAGGCCATGCGAGAATATTTTTTTAAATTTTAATTTAATTTTTATTTTTCCATATATTATTGGGGTACAGGTGGTATTTGGTTATATGAGTAAGTTTTTAGTGATGACTTGCAAGACTTTGGTGAACCCACCATCTGAGCAGTATACACTGCACCATATTTGTAGTCTTTTATCCCTCACCCCCTCCTGCTGTTTCCCCAACACTTCCCCAAAGTCCGTTGTATCATTCTTATGCCTTTGTGACCTCATAGCTTTGCTCCCAAATATCGGTGAGAACATGCTATGTTTGGTTTTACATTTCTGAGTTACTTCACTTAGAATAATAGTCTCCCATCTCATCCAGGTAGATCATTCCAAATGCTGTTTATTCATTCCTTTTTATGGCTGTGTAGTATTTCATCATACATATATGATATATATATGATATATATGATATATATGTGATATATATGATATATATATGATATATATATATCACAGTTTCTTTATCCACTCGTTGATTGATGGGCATTTGGGTTGGTTCCTTTTTCTTTATCACTAAATTAATGGCAGCAATAAATCCAGAACATTCCTCATTACCCTAAAGTCAGCCCTGTCTCCCAAACTCCCTTACACATCAGGATACCTTTGTGCCCATAGATCATGGGCAGTGCTTGGCAGCCACCACTGTCCACACAGAGAGGGTAGTCAGTAGCGTGAGGTGGTTCTGCCTGCTGGGATCTCACCCCAGGCACAGAAAGAAGGAGCCCTGGGTGGAGCTGAAAGTGCTCATCTGGGTTTGTCAGGAGTCCCATCTGTCAGTGAATTCACAAGAAACAGAACAAAACAACTCCTTCAATGTTGATGAGACTGCCCCTGGGATTTGGAAAGCTAATAACAGAGAAAACCAATATAGACAAAGGATTTTAAACAGGACTATCGGATTATGATCAATTAAGCAAATTAGAAAAGGATACTTGAAGGAGTATTTGGGACACAGGAATCAAAAACACCAGGAAGACATGAGGAGTTTTTCCAAGATTGTAGACTATAGCAATACTTAGATAACCAATACCAGTGTATTAATGAGTAATTATTAGTATTATTATTTTGAGATGGAGTCGCACTCTGTCATCAAGGCTGGAATGCAGTGGCATGATCTCGGCTTACTGCAACCTCCGCCTCCCTGGTTCAAGAATTCTGGTGCCTCCGTCTCCCGAGTAGCTGGGACTATAGGTGCACGTCAGGATGCCTGGATAATTTCTATATTTTTAGTACAGATGGGATTTCACCATGTTGGTCAGGCTGGTCTCCAACTCCTGGCCTGAAGTGATCTGCTCTCTTCAGCCTCCCAAAGGGCTAGGATTACAGGCATGGGCCACTATGCACAGCCAAGTAATTTGTATCATCATGGGAATAAAAAATATACATTGAGTTACAAACTAATTACCAAAAGATATTTAAAAAATGGTAGACTTGCATCGATTCAGACAAAGGCATTCTTCCCATCCAAACTGTTCACTGGTGCATTGATCTTGAATTTGACCATCTGGGGAAGGGGCGTGGCCTCTCCTGACAGCAAGGCTCTGGGGCCCAGGCAGGGAGAATGAGGTCTCAGAATGACGCCCTTGAAAGACGTGTTCCCTTTTCACCAATGCACAGACCCAGAGGACCCCTCCATCCTGCAGTTCCTGCCATGAGCCTCGGGCTCCTGTGCTGTGGGGCCTTTTCTCTCCTGTGGGCAGGTGGGTCCTGGGCGGGGCCCCTTGTGTGGATTTCAAGGCCCATCCCCTTTCCACTGGAGCTGTAGCATCAGCTTTGTCCTTCTCTGCAGGTCCAGTGAATGCTGGTGTCACTCAGACCCCAAAATTCCGGGTCCTGAAGACAGGACAGAGCATGACACTGCTGTGTGCCCAGGATATGAACCATGAATACATGTACTGGTATCGACAAGACCCAGGCATGGGGCTGAGGCTGATTCATTACTCAGTTGGTGAGGGTACAACTGCCAAAGGAGAGGTCCCTGATGGCTACAATGTCTCCAGATTAAAAAAACAGAATTTCCTGCTGGGGTTGGAGTCGGCTGCTCCCTCCCAAACATCTGTGTACTTCTGTGCCAGCAGTTACTCCACAGTGCTGCACGGCTGTCTCCTCTCTGCACAGAAAGGCAAGGGAAGGTGCTGCCCTCCTCCGCAGCACAGATTCAGCGATGCCCTTGGTCCTAGCACCGAAAACTTTGGAGCCCCAATGGGCCCGGGCAGTGCGAGCCTTCATCTGTGCCAGGTGCCTCTGCAGTCGGTCTCGGCCAGGCCTGGATCGGTCCCAGGACCTCAGATGTCTTCCTTGTTGCCCTCCGGTCTTTCCTCTGAGGTGTCCTTTTGGGCTAGTGCCAGGGGTTTCCCAGCTCTGACTTTCCTAGTCATTCACCTGAGTCTGAGGCCTCCTAGGTGAAATAGGATTTGTATTTCAGATCCATCTAGACTCCCGTCTCTACCTGGGTACCACGTGCTTTCCTCTCTCTATGATTTTTCCTCATGTTGAACCCTACGGTGGTCTCAGCTGCAGCCTGCATTTCCTATATTCACAGTCGCCCTCCAAGGCCTTGCTGGGTTTCTCCTCCCCGACCTCCCTGCCCTTCTCTACTCCAGCCATGTTGAGAGACTCCAAAGTCCATTTCCTGTGCCCTGGGCTGGAGCCTTCCTTTCTGTAGTGGTCAACACCTACCTGTGCTTCAGATCTCAGCATCATCAGCCCTAGTGATAATCACCATTATGCTTCCCTTGGCTCCCAGCTGAGGTCAGTTTCCCTCTCATAATCTCTCATGGTATCATGTGTCTGTTAATCAGTAGAATTTAGCACAGTTGGAATCTTCCAAGTACTTTAAACCCCATGAAGGCCAAGGCTATGCCTGGGTTATAAATCAGCAGCTGAGCCTGGCACAAGGGGAGATGCATTTCAGAGAATGGATGAGTCAGTGATGGAGTGAGTGATGAGTGGATGGATGAATCCATAACAGGAGCACCCTAGATCCATTTTACCCTTGCGGAGATCTGGCTGTAAGTACAAGAACTCTTACCCTTTTGATTGCTGGGCTACGGGAGGTCCTTGAAATTAATGGGGAGTCGCTATCATGGGCGGCCCCACCTTGGTCAAAGATTCCTCCTGAGTCTGCAGCACCAGACCTCCTCCAGGTCTCTGTGCTCTCCTTCAGACTCTTTCCCACAACAACTCTACACAGATCAGAGATCCCTTTCCAGAAACCCATGCATAGAGTTGTGTTATTTTGGAACCACTTCTGGTACCAAAAACTCCATTAGGTTTACATCAATAAAACAGAATCACTAAAAGTACTATGGAGAGGAGGATTTATGACAGGAGTTAGACCTTATATAAATGTAGGGGGAGCTGAGGAAGAGAAGGTCTGGAGGGGAGATATAGCTAGGCAGATTTAATTCATGATTAATGTGACCGTGACCTCTTATTCTACTCAAAGGAGAGCATATGATTTCAACAAAAAAAATATTGATTTTCCTTTGTAAAAGTTTGATCCAAATAGTGAGCTATTTTTGTCCCATAATTGTCTTAAGTTGGCTAATGGTGGAACAAATCCGACTTTGATTTCCTTGAAAGAACAGGAAAAAAACCGTCATTCATATACAGTCTTACAGGCTCTATTTCATGGAGGAAGCATAATAAATAGGAAAGAGAAAATCAGAATTCTCTTCTGGAACCTACATTGGGACTGTCCTCAGAGCAGGTTGTGATGTGAGGAATCAAATCTACAGGGGTATTTCGCAGCTTGGAGCGCAGCAGACTGTTCCCGACCCCATGCATTTGGGGGTGAGACCAGAGACAGTTGAAAAACTATGGAATCTTGACATTCTGCACTCTCAAGCCTGGCCTCTCCCTGAATTTCACAGATTAACATAAGACCAATTTATTCCGACTATTAAAAGTATTAGAACAAAAACCAAGGAGGACCAGTGAGCAGAAGCAATAAACCATTAAAATGGACATCCTAAAGATTTAAAATTTTGCCATCATAAGATGTGAACGTTTGAAGAGCTACATTTAAATGAATACAAGAAGGGACTGAAACAAGAATACACACAAAAAAGAGACGGCCCGAAACCATCAAAAAACATTAAAGAAATAATCAAATAGAATGTCTAGAAATCATTACGATTACTCCACAAAACAAAATGGAAGCTAAACAGCAGATTCAATGCTTCTAAAGAGATTGTTAGCAATATCAAAGGAGGATCTCAAGAAATCACCTAGAATGCAGCACAGAAAATTAAATGTAAAATATAAAAAAAGTGAAGGAACAAGGAAAAAATGAAGTTTCTAGAATATTAGAAAGCATATAATGTTTTATTGAAACTTTTCTTACTTTCTTGTATATAACTGACGTTTCAGAAAGAGAAAATAAGGCAAATGATCTGAGGTGATTGTGTATGTGATGCTAGCTGAGAATGTTCCTGAGATGTTTGAGGACCGAAATCCTCGTTCAAGAATTCAGATGAATTGCAAGACAAGTAGGCAGGTCCCTGTGAAACTGCAGACCACAAATGACAAAGAAAAGATTTTAACAGCAGTCAAAAGGGAAAGATAAATATCCTCCAGGGGAATAGAAAGAAAGAAATAGTCAAAGTCAAGAAAGAGGATTAAAAATAACTGTTAAATCAGAATTGAGATTGATAAAAAATACCTACAGGACAGGACAAGAAAATATGGAAAACCAAAATAATTCTGTGAGTTTGCCACCAAAGTATCTTTTCAGAGTTATAGTTAACAAGGGTGGGAAATGATCCCAGAAGAAATGTATGAGGGCAGTTTGTGAGGGAACCCATGTGATGGGACAATCCCGTTGGGCACATGTGAGTGGGGGAATGGAGGAGGCTGGGGCATGAATGGGGATGGCAGAGGGGACCCTGACTTGGAGGAAAGACAATGAGCTCATCCCATGGTGCCTGGTGTTGGGGGCACTGTTGGCACATCCTACAGAACGTGTTCAGCAGACAGAGGAGCGGCTGTGGGATGAGAAGGTGAACTCGGAGATGCAGCGTGAGGCCTCCAAGTCCAGACAGCATGGGAGCCCAAAGCGATGTCCCATGCAATAACGTTGTTTACAAGGAGCTTATAAATATTTAAAGTAGTCACCCAAGTGTGGTCTAATATAAATCCTGTGTTCCTGAGGTCATGCAGATTGAGAGAGGAAGTGATGTCACTGTGGGAACTTCCGTGTAAGGACGGGGCGTCCCTCCTCCTCTGCTCCTGCTCACAGTGATCCTGATCTGGTAAAGCTCCCATCCTGCCCTGACCCTGCCATGGGCACCAGGCTCCTCTTCTGGGTGGCCTTCTGTCTCCTGGGGGCAGGTGAGTCCTCAGACACCAACCATTCTCATTGTGTGTGTGTGTGTGTGTGTGTGTGTGTGTGTGTGTGTGTGTGTGTGTGTAGGGGTGGGCTGTGTGCATTCGTGTGATGACTAAAATTATTTTCCTCATTCTGTTCCCAACTTTGTCTCCACAGATCACACAGGAGCTGGAGTCTCCCAGTCCCCCAGTAACAAGGTCACAGAGAAGGGAAAGGATGTAGAGCTCAGGTGTGATCCAATTTCAGGTCATACTGCCCTTTACTGGTACCGACAGAGCCTGGGGCAGGGCCTGGAGTTTTTAATTTACTTCCAAGGCAACAGTGCACCAGACAAATCAGGGCTGCCCAGTGATCGCTTCTCTGCAGAGAGGACTGGGGGATCCGTCTCCACTCTGACGATCCAGCGCACACAGCAGGAGGACTCGGCCGTGTATCTCTGTGCCAGCAGCTTAGCCACAGCATGGCACAGTCGCCTCCTTCCTGCTCATAAACCTCATCCTTCTCTCTCCTTGCAGCTCCTAGACACCCTTAACAGAGGCTTCTCTTTGCTTCTCCCTCCCCATGGGAAACAAGTAGATTTGGACCTCAGCTTGTCCTTTGGGTAGAAAGAGACCACAGATTTACCCTTAAGACACAGTAACTGTAAATGTGGGTGGTGGAAGCAATCGTGGCCCACCGGGCTATTGGAGTCCTCAGAGCCAGCTCATTGCTCTAAGGCAAGCACTGGGTGTCTTAGCCTTGGCCTTCAGGGCTGGGACACACAGTCTTCTTTGGGGCCTGGGAGGTTGCTGCCCACATAGAGAAGCTTCGGGCATGGCTGAGGAACAGGTGTCTTCCCCTACATGTGTTGGGGCATCTGCAAGGTCTGAAGCTTCATCCACAAGAACATTCTTTCTTCTGAAGCCTCTTCTGTTACATTGGAAGTTTTCTGCAATACAAGAGCAAACCATTCTTCCTGTTTGATTTAAAAGTCTTTGTGGCTTTTGTGGCCATTACTTGGTGAATACAGCCAAGATAACAATAAGACTTCGTTTCTTCTGCCTAGTGTAAGCAATGCGAGTTCTTTATTTTGTTTTCATTTACCACTGCTCCTGTCCTGAGAGACTGAAGCATGCGTCCACTACTGCTCCAGTGTCAACTTGGTTCCCTAGGAAATCGGGTTTCTAGAACCTGAATGCTGACAAATAAGAGTTGTGTACATGTATACCATGCAACCTGCGTTTAAAAATGTATGTACATGGTGAAGTGACTAAATCTAGCTAATTAACATATGCAGTACCTCAATCCTTATCCTTTCCTGTGGTGAGAATACTTGAAATGTACTCTGTTAGCAATATTCCAGAATACAATCCACTGTTACTAACTTTAGTCACTGTGTTGTACAATAGATCTTTTGAACTTCTTCCTCCTATTTGAGTGAAATTTTGTATCCTTTAACCAACATCTCCCCAGCACCCCATCTCCATCCCAACCTCTGGTAATTGCTGCTCTAGTCTTTTGATTTGAAATAATTTCCCTGAGGTCTTTAACTTGAGAAGATGGAGTTTTAAAAACAATAATGCTTATATTACTTTTGTTTTGTTTGTTATTTTACATATTGCAATATAGTGTTTGTTGCAAATATAAATGAGTATACTGTAATAAAAATTCTTCACCTCTCTTTGAGTGAAGCTACATTTCACATATATGAAATTTCAAGCTGTGGTCAGAGCTGACATGATTATGGATCATGGGTTTCTGGGAGTCCTCAGAGACAGCCCTATACACAAAGGTTAAGATAGATTATCCCAGACCCAGCCAGGACAGAGGTGCCCTGAGTCCTGCAGAGCTGGTTGGGGAATTATAGTTCCCTAAATTCACTTATCAGAAATTGTGGTAGCTCAGATACCAAATTTCTTTCTCTAGCAAATGATGATCGTTGGCAGGGATTGTTCTGAATCCATTCTAATTGTTCTATCAACAGATCATTCCTTTTTTAGTTGCCCTGTGTGTCCTGGGAGTGAATAAGTCCCAGGCACAGATGGGAATTTCCTGACCTTAGGATGCTGTTCCAAGGACTTCCTTGCTAGACCCTGTCTCCAGCTTTTCCCACCTTTATCCTCATGACCCCTAAGACAAATGGTCCTAATAATGGACCAGCTCTGAAACTTAAGATTGAACAGAACACAAACCACAACTGTAAACACTGATGCTGAAAGAAGTGGTAAAAAAAGGTGAGCAGGGTTTCCCACCTGCACTGAGAGTTAACATACAAGGACAGCAAAGGGAAGGTTTTATTAATAAGCAAACAAGAAGCAATAAAGGCCCTGCTCCAAATGAATGTAACTAATCTCTTTGAGTTAAAAAAGGAGCACGTCAATAAAAGTATTTCAAATCAAAGTCTAGAAGTTTCCAAACCAGCCAGCACAACCCTGAGAGCTCTGTGCTCTCAGCAACTTCAGAGAACTCATCAATCCTTTCTGGGCTCAAACTTCCCTTTGTCCACTCGAAGACCCAGGGTCACACTCTCATCCTATTACAAAAACAATGGGCTTTGCTATCGTTGCTGATGCCTCATTTCTAGGAGTTGAGTATTAAGCACTGAAGAGCTTTGAAAGTTGGGCTTCTGAGTCAATTGATGTGCTGGAGCCAACTTTTCTGACTCACGAGAGACAAATAGGCACACTCTTCCCAGCTCCCCATTCAGTGAAGCCATGTTGACAGCTTGAAATCCACCATAGTGCCTGTGTTGATACAACAGAAATTGGTAAGTACTACTAGGCATGTGCCCACCTCCACAGACACTCAGTGTACCAGCACATCACTGGAATGTTTTCTGAGACAGTGATGTCCCTGTTATGTCGTCATGTCTTGTGGGGCCAAAAGGACTCCGAATTCACCTCCTCTCTGTTCTTGCTTTTAGAAACCATAATCTAAAATAACCTCACCTGACACTATTTCTATTCAATCTCCAAATTCCCTCACTTTGTGGGTCTGTGTCTCCTGTAAGCATGTCAGTCCACAACTTGACAACTATTTTGAATGTAGCTAAAGGATACAGTGAACCAGTTTATTATTTTCAAATTATCCTTCCTTGCATGGAATATGTAGATGCTGCAGTCATTGGGAACAGAGATGGGGCAAGCAGCAGCTCTGGGCCGTGAACCACTTTAGAGTCAGACAATTCTTCAGTGGCACAGACACACCCTTGGGCATGGACTAATTTGCTTTGGAAACTAAGCAGTTCCACACCAGTCACCAATGACCTTGGATCTATTTCCAGCTGAGAGGTCAAAAAGATCACACTACCTAAATGTCCTCCTCTCCAATATATAGTACAGCCCCCGTCCATCTCAGTCCCTGGAGGTCATCCAGAGCTCCCAGAGAATCTCTGCTCTGGGGCAGAATCACCACGTCTCCTCCTCGCCAGCTCCCCACAGGCTCCAGCAAGGCTTTCCTGCCAGGTGCAGGGCATGGGTGTGGCTCTGCTGTCTCTCAGGTAGAGGGAGGCCATACGATGATGTTTGTATAAGAAGGATTGGGTTTCAGAGGTTCCTCTCAAATACTTGACATAATTTTATTTGCTTTTTGTTTCACTCTACAATGTCACCATTTAGGAGAGCAATTATTTTGGTTGCATTATTTATGGAACTTTGAAAGATTTTTGTGGTTAAATTAATTTAAGAAATCATTCCCATTGTGCATCTTTTCTGTTCAGATATAATCTGAGGCAGTGAAAGAAACAGCAATGATTCTGAAAGCAGTCACTTACATGCCCTCTGATAAAGGCATTGTTCAAGGTTCATTACTCACACCTAACTTTCAGTCTACTGGAAATGAAAGGCACAGAGTTGGGGGCCTGTGATCAAGCCACAAGAGAGGACTATACCAGCTACTCTGGGACTTCAGGGCACGAAGAGATGACCTCCCCTTTAGACTCTGCTCAACGACGAAGGAATGAGTTGGTCCATGGGAACCTGAGGAGCAGAAATTCCGGGAGCCTTTAACTGGGACGGAGCAAGGACTGTAGAGCAAGTCATTGGAAAGGGAAATGGTTCATCTGGTCTGTCACAGAAGATAGTGGATAGAAAGGTCATATAATCCCCAGTTCCCTGGCTGATTTGCTTCCTTATGATACTATTTTGCAGCAGCGTACCGTCATCTCACACCACTCCTCTACCTCTTCCAGAATCATCTCCTCCCTCTCTGCTGCTCAGATCAGCACATGTGCATTGCACAAGCTATTCTTTTACTGTAGCAGACCTTTTGCTGGTCTTAATTATATCCATCCTTATTTTCCCATTAGATACTGCTCCCTCCATGATTGCTTATTGCCTTGCAAGGGATCCTTTACCCCCCGCCCCCAGACAGAGTCTCACTCTGTCGCCCAGGCTGGAGTGCAGTGGCGCAATCTCGGCTCACTACAAGCTCTGCCTTCCGGGTTCACGCCATTCTCCTGCCTCAGCCTCCCGAGTAGCGAGTAGCTGGGACTACAGGCGCCCGCCACCACGCCCGGATGATTTTCTGTATTTTTTAGTATAGAGACGGGGTTTCACCGTGTTAGCCAGGATGGTCTCTATCTCCTGACCTCGTGATCCGCCCGCCTTGGCCTCCCAAAGTGCTGGGATTGCAGGCAGAAGCCACTACGCCTGACCAAGGGATCCTATTTTTTATATCCCAGTTTTACTTTTTATTAACACATATCTGACCCCATCTTGAAGGTAATCACATTATCTGCCTAGACTTTTGCTAATCTTTATTTTTATGGTACCATTGTCATTTGGGGGGACATATTTGTTTATCTTTGGTAATGGAAATGAAATTACGTTACATTTCACTTTCTGTGTTTTCTTCCTACTTTAGGGTAAATATTATTTCCTTCTATTCTTCCTATTCTATTCCTCTCTCTTTAGATAGTTTTAAGGGAGAAAATGTCAGTGAGACTGTAACTGCAGCTATGGGGTAAGAATTATTTAGAATGAGGGTGGGATATTAAGCTTGATAACTCAAAGGAACAGTCAGGGTTAAAACTAATGTTGGGATCGGGGTTCAGAGAAGTTGCTTGTAAAACCTGCAGGATGGCACTTCTGGAATAGTCTCCCGGCTCCCTCTGCAGACACTTCCCAGCATCCCTTGGGCCATTTCCCTTGCAAAAGCAATGATGAAATTTCACTTATTGGCCACAAGATGGCACTGTGGTCCACTGGGCTCTAAGAGACTCTGGGGAGAACCTGGGAGAGCAGCCTAGGAAGGAAAGGGTTAAGAAAAATCAGGGCTGGCATCCAATATCATGCAGATGTTGCAGCAGTTTTCAGTTATTGCTAGACTACCTACAGTTATACAACATACAGGAAATACCTCTAATCTTTAATGAGATCCACAGTTGAAGAAGTTTGGCCTGGCAGCCTTGGTGTCAAGGGCAGGTGCAGACAGAGGAGCAACTATCTCAGAGGAAAATGGGAAAGTGAGGGGTGGGCTGTGGCTTAAGCCCAGTGCGTCTCTGCTGCACCCCATCTTCCCTGCAGCTCTCACCAGGCAACAGCCTCCATGAGAGTAGGTGGATCCTGCCTGAGCCCAGTCAGAATGCCCCGGACTAGGTGAACTCTGTAGGCATGGGGAGTAACACAACAGGCCCACCTTTCACACGTTTCCAAAGTCTGGGCTCCAAGCCTTTTTTTCCCCTTTCCTCTGCAGAGTCCTGCCACTTCTGAAGCCTTGTCCTCACTTTCTGCCTGCCTCTCCCACAGCCCCCATGGAGGCAGGGATCAGCCAGATACCAAGATATCACAGACACACAGGGAAAAAGATCATCCTGAAATTTGCTCAGATTAGGAACCATTATTCAGTGTTCTGTTATCAATAAGACCAAGAATAGGGGCTGAGGCTGATCCATTATTCAGGTAGTATTGGCAGCATGACCAAAGGCGGTGCCAAGGAAGGGTACAATGTCTCTGGAAACAAGCTCAAGCATTTTCCCTCAACCCTGGAGTCTACTAGCACCAGCCAGACCTCTGTACCTCTGTGGCAGTGCATCCGCAGCCCTGCACAGCCAACTGCTCTCTGCACAAAAAAGGGCAGCCACAGGCTGGAGGTGGGCACTCCTTCCCAAGGCCTCTATCTCAACCAGGAGATAAAGATGCCTTTTTTGAAGCTCTTCTCAGATGTCCCAGCAATGGGCTCCCAGTCTGTGCATCCTCCTGCAGCAGGAACTTCAGTGTGAGCTGAGGTCCATCACTGTGATGTGGATGCACGAATGCAAACAACACTTAATGTTATTTTACTCAATTCAGAATATTCTGGCAGTTGCGTAAAATAGGAATAGTAGCTCCCAAAATGAAATTTGTGTCTCATTTTCTTTATGAGAGAAAAGAAAAAAAAACAGAAAGCAGCTGGGCAGCTTTAACCTGCTTGAGTGATCTGGGATTCTACAAGTCTACAAGTGGTACAAAGAACATCACCTTGGCCTGGATTCCAATGGATACCAAACACTACAAAAAGTATTGAAAACAATTTATAAAAGACCTAAGTAAACAATCTACTTATAGGAAATGTTAGTAGATCCATCGCATAGTGCCATTATACCTGACGATGATCAACTAGTGAAATTATTATGTAGAGATTATCAGCTAAGCCTCTACTTATTACCTCTGAGCATAGAGCAGTGTTTGAGCCTTCTGAGGGTATCTTAAGGAAGGAACTTAATTCTTACCATTACTTTGGCTTGGATTAAAATCCATGAGCTTGTCGTTTTTATTGTAAAATATTACAGAATAATAATGATCAAACGTTTTATTTTCCTCTAGCGTTTATTCCTCTTTAGAACGTGCAGGTTGAAGCTCACACACATGAGCAGGGTTCCTTAAGATGAGATCCATTAACTCCAGGACTGGGAGGTACACAGCTGGCCTTCACAGGAAGTGCAAACCCCAAATGCAGTGACCCCTCCTGTGTCTACGCTGTGCCCAATACCCCTCTGTGAGGCTGCCATAAAGGCGGGCAGGCTCCTTGCTTGGCAAAAAAATCAGTTCACCAATTGGCCACTTTGCTGAAGACCAGAATAAAAGGCTAAATTGTGAGAATGATGAATGCCCAATTCCCAAATTGTGAAATGTGTAACAGTTCACGATTCTTGGAATAATTTCAACCATGTGTGGTTTGTTTTTTTTTTTAAGTTTTTCTTTGTCGACAGCTTTCTTTCGGCCACTGATCCTCAGTTGTTTCCCAGCCGCCTTGTCAGCTGATCTCATTTTGATGCTAATTTTTTTTTTTTTTTGCTAGCTTTGGGATTATTTGTTCTTGTTTTACTATGTCCTCTAAGTGTGGTGGTAGGTTGCTAATGTGAGATCTCTCTAACTTGTTTATGTGGGTGTTTCGTTCTGTAAACAATACTCCTAACACTGCTATAGCTGTGTCCCAGAGATTCTAGTATATTTAATCTTGGTTTTCATTAGTGCCAAAGAATGTCTTGTTTTCTACCTTCATTTTATGGCTTACCCAAGTCATTCACTAGCAGATTGTTTAATTTCCATGTAATTGTATGATTTTGAGAGATCTTATAACTCTTGATTTCTATTTTTTTTGTGCTGTGGTCCAAGAGTATGGTTGACATGATTTCAGTTTTTTTTATAATTTGTTTACAATTAGTCTGTGTCCAATCATGTGGTTGATTTCAGAGTATGTGCCATGTGTAGATGAGAAGAATGTGTATTATGCTGTTATTGGGTGGAGTGTTCTGTAGATGTCTGTTAGGACCACTTAGTCAAATGTTGAGTTTAGTTTATGAATATCTTTGTTAGTTTTCTGCCTTGACAATCTAATACTGAGTGTTGAACTCTTCCAGTATTGTTGTGTGGTTTTCTACGTGTCTGTAGGTCTCTAAGAACTTGTTTTATGAATCCAGCTGAACCAGTGTTGGGTACCTATATATTTAGGATAGTGAGGTCTTCTTGTTGAATTGGGCCCTTTATCATTATGCAATGCCCTTCTTTGTCATTTCTGATAATTGTTGGTTTAAAGTTTGTATTGCCTGAAATTAGAATAGCAACTTCTGCTCTTTTTTGTTTCCCATTGGCTTGGTCATTTTTCTCCATCGCTTTATGTTGAGCCTATGGGAGTTGCATATGAGATGGGTCTCCCGAAGACAGCATACAGTTCAGTGTTTCACTTGTCTATACAACTGGACGCTCTTTTTTTTTTTTTTTTTTTTTTTTTTTTTTGAGATGGAGTCTCGCTCTGTCGCCCAGGCTGGAGTGCAGTGGCGCGATCTTGGCTCACTGCAAGCTCCGCCTCCTGGGTTCACGCCATTCTCCGGCTTCAGCCTCCCGAGTAGCTGGGACTACAAGTGCCCGCCACCACGCCCAGCTAATTTTTTGTATTTTAGTAGAGACGGGGTTTCACCGTGTTAGCCCGGATGGTCTTGATCTCCTGACCTGGTGATCCGCCCGCCTTGGCCTCCCACAGTGCTGGGATTACAGGCGTGAGCCACGGCGCCCGGCAGCTCTTTTAATAATAAACGACTTTTATGTGCTGTGTTTAGCCTGTTTACATTCAAGGTTAATATTAATACGTGTAGATATGATCCTGCCATTGTGTTCTTGCTTGGTTGTTATGCAGACTTGATTGTGTAGTTGCTTTATAATGTCAATGGTCTATGTACTTGAGTGTGTTTTTTGGTGGCTGTTAGTGATCTTTCATTTCTATGTTTAGGACTCCCTTCAGGACCTCTTGTAAGGCAGGTCTGGTAGTAACAAATTCCTTGAACATTTGCTTGTCTGAAGGGATCTTATTTCTCCTTTCCTTATGAAGCTTAGTTTGGCTGGATATGAAATATATAGGGATACTGGTTGGAATTTCATGTCTTTAAGAATGTTGAATATTGGCTCCCAATTGTTTCTGCCTTGTAAAGTTTCTCCTGAAAAACCTGCTGTTAGTCTGATGGGATTCCCTTTGTAGGTGACCTGCCTTTTCTTTCTAGCTGACTTTAATATTTTTTCTTTCATGTTGACCTTGGAGAATCTGATGACTATGTGTCTTGGGGGTGGTTGTCTTTTATGGTATCTCATAAGAATTCTCCGTGTTTCCTGAATTTGAATATTAAACTCTCTAGCAAGGTTAGGGAATTTTTTGTGCTCAATATCCTCCAATATGTTTTCAATGTTGCTTACTCTCTCTCCCTCTCTTTCAGGGACATCAATGAGTCATAGGTTTGGTCTTTTTACATAATCCCATATTTCTCAGAGGTTTACTTCATTCATTTTTCTTTTTTTTCCATTCTTTTTTTGTCTGACTGAATTGATTCAAAAATAAGTGTTCAAGCTCTGAGATTATTTTCTCATTGATTATGCTGTTAATACTTCTGATTACATTATGACATTGTTGAGGTTAGTTTTTCAGCTCTATCAGATCAATTTTGTTCTTTCATAAAATAGCTATTTCATTTTTCAGCTAATGTGTCATTTTATTGGATTCATCAGATTCCTTAGATTGACTTTCAGCTTTCTTCCGAATCTTGATAGTGTTTGTTTCTAACCTGTTTCTGAATTCTATGTCTATCATTTCAGCCGCTTCAGCCTGGTTAAGAATCATTGTTGGGAAGCTAGTGTGTTCATTTGGTGCTAAGAAGGCACTCTGACTTTCTAAGTTGCCAGAGTTCTTTCACTGGTTCTTTCTCATCTCTGTGGTCTGAGGTTTCTTTAATCTTTTAAGCTGATGTCTTTTGGAAGGGTTTTTTGCTTTTATATTCTATGCCCTTGAGGGTTTCACTGTTACATAAGCTGGGTTCAGGAGACTGGCTTCATTTATGGAATATTTCAGGAGGCTAAGATTCAGCTCAGTATTTCTGGGCTGCGTGTTGTAGGCCTGTGGTGCTGGAATTAAGCCCAGAGCTTTGGTTTTTGACCCCTTAAGGTTAAAGCACCTGCTACACCAGAGGGGCTGAGGCGTTCCCAATTCCACTGGCAACAACACTGCAATGGGGAATGCCAGCCAAAGTACTTTTTCCAAATGGTGGCATTGGGGTACATGCTCAGAAGCATGTGCCAATAATGGCAATGTGGCAGTTTCCATACATATGTTTGTGCTAGCTTTTTTATTATTATATAGTAAACTTCTTTGCCTCTTTTTATAGTTATTGTCTTGAAATATATTTTATCTGATATAGATATAGCTACTCCTGATCTTTTCTGGTTTTCACGTGCATGAAACATCTTTTTGTTATCTCTTCACTTTCAATCTATATGTCTTTTTAGGGGAGGTGTGTTTCTTGTAAGTGACAGATCATTGGGTCTTATTTTTATATTCATTCAGCTACTCTATGTCCTTTGATCGGTGAGTTTAGATCATTTACATTCAATGTTATTGTTGATAACTAAGTACTGGCTCCTGCCATGTATTTGTTTTCTGGTTGTTTTGTGGTCTTCTCTTCATTTGTTTCTTCTTTCCTGTCTTCTTTTTAGTAAAGGTGATTTTCCCTGATAACGTGTTTTCATTTCTTGTTTGTTATTTTTGTGTATCTGTTGTATGTGTTTGTATTTAAAGTTACTACGTTGCATATGTTTGTATTTAAAATT
This sequence comes from Homo sapiens, assembly GCF_000001405.40. Taxonomy (NCBI): domain Eukaryota; kingdom Metazoa; phylum Chordata; class Mammalia; order Primates; family Hominidae; genus Homo; species Homo sapiens. The sequence goes on from NT_187562.1 coordinate 347,024, forward strand.
ACTATGCATGAGGCTTGCAAATAATATCTTATACTGATGACAACATAACACTGATTGCCTAAGCAAACAAACCAAAAAAAAACAGAGAAAACTAGTAAAAATCTTATATTTTAACATTGTCCACCTACCTTTCAACTTTGTGTCATTTCTATTTATATCTTAGGCACTGTCTATGTCTTGAAAAGCTGTAGTTTTTTTTTTTTAATTGGTTCATCTTTTAGTCTTTATAAGTAGTTTACACGCCGTAATCACAGTATTATAATATTGTGTTTTTCTTCGCACTATTATCAGTTAGTTTTGCACCTGCAGATAATTTCTTATTTCTCATTAATGTTCTTTTCTTTCACGCTGAAAAATTATCTTTTGCATTTCTTCTAGGACAGGTCTGGTGTTGAGGAAGTCCCTCATATTTTGTTTGTCTGGGGAAGTCATTATTTCCCTTTCATGTTTGAAGGGTATTTTCACTGAGTACACTATTCTAGTATTAACGTTTTTTTTTTTAGCATTTTAAATATGTCATGCTGCTCTCTCATGACCTGTAAGATTTGCACTGAAAAAGTCTGCTGCTAGACTATATTGGTGGTCCATGGTATGTTATCTGTTTCTTTTGCTGCTTTTAGAATCCTTTCTTTATCCTTGAAATTTTGATTTATCCTTGAAGTTTGATTATTGTCTTGATGTAGTCTTCTTTGACTTAAATATGCTTGGTATTCTATAATCTTCTTTTACTTGAATATTGATATCTTTCTCTAAGTTTGGGAATTTCTCTATTATCATAGCTTTGAATAAACTTTCAGCCCTATCTCTCTCTCTACCTCCTCTTTAAGGTCAATAACTCTTAAAGTTGCCCTTTTGAGGCTATATTCTAGATCTTGTATTTGTGCTTCATTAATTTTTATCCTTTTGTCTCCTCTGGTGGTGTATTTTCAAATAGCCTGTCTTCAAGCTCACTGATTCTTCTGCCTCATCAATTGTGAGGTTGAAACCCTGATGCATTCGTCAGAATGTCAATTGCATTTTCAGCTCCAAAATTTCTGCTTGATTGTTTTTAATTATTTAGCTCTCTTCCGGATTCTGAATTTCTTGGCTGTGTTGTCTTGAATTTTGTTGAGTTTCTTCAAAACAGATATTTTGAGTTCTGTGTCTGAAATGTCACACATCTCTCTCTCTCTCTCTCTGGGATTGGCCTCTGGTGCTTTATTTGGTTCATTTGGTGAGGTCATGTTTTCCTGAATGGTCTTGAGACTTGTGGATGTTTGCCTGTGTCTGGGCATTGAAGAGTTAAGTATTTATTGTAGTCTTTGCAGTCTGGGCTTGTTTGTACTCGCCCTTGGAAAGCTTTTCAGGTATTTGAATGTACTTGGGTGTTGTAATCTAAGTTTTCTATCTCTGAAACCTTATCTGCATTAGGGAGCACCCCAAGTCCAGTAATTCTGTGGTCCTTGTGGACTCACAGATATACTGCCTTGGTGGTCTTGGATAAGATCTGAAAGAATTCTCTGGATTATCAGGCAGAGACTCTTGTTCTCTTCCTTCACTTTCACTCAAACAAACATCTCTGTCTCTCTCTCTGCTGAACTACCTGGAACTGAGGAGTAGTGGTACAAGCTCCCTGTGGCTGCCATCACTGAGACCCTAGGTCAGAAAAAGCCAGCATGATAATGGGTCTCACCCAAGGTCCACAGTAACCACTGCCTTGCTTGTTGCCTATGTTCAAGGCCCCAGGGATCTACAATCAGCATGTGGAAAAGTCAGCCAGTCTTATACCCTTCCCTTCAGGGTCACGAGGCCCCCTGACCCCAGGCACATCCAGAGATGTTATCCAGGAGCCAGGGCCTGGAGTCAGAAACCTTGGGGATCTAACTGGTGCTCTATTCTGCTGCAACTGAGCTGGCATTCAAGTCACAAGATAAAGTTATTTCCACTCTTCCCTGCCCTTTCACAACCAGAGGAGTCTCTCCCTATGGCTACCACCGCCCCAGGCCCACAGCAAGAATTGCCTGACTATTGCCAATGTTCACTCAAGGCCCAAGGACTCTTTAGCCAGCTTGTGGTAAATGCTGCCAGGCCTGAGACTCTTCTTTCAGGGCAATGGGCTCTCCTCTGGCCCAGGACTGGTCCAGAAATGCAATCCAACAGCAAAGTCCTGGAATCCGGGACCCCAGGAGCCTACTTTGTGCTCTACTCCACTGTGGCCAAGGTGGTAGCTAATCTGCAAGACAAAGGCTCCTTTATTATTCCCTCTCCTTTTATCAAGCAGAAGGAGCCTCTCCTCATATTCATCACAGCTGGGAATGTGCTGCATCACACCTGAAACCAGCATGTCTCAGATTCTCACCTAAGCTCTATGGCAAGTACTACCTGGGCATTGCTGCTGATTATTCAGGGCCCAAGTGCTCTTTATTCAGCAGATGATGAATCTTTCTGGGCCTTGTTCCTTCCCCACAAGGCAGCAGGTTCCCTTCTGGCCCATGGTGTGTTTAGAAATGTCATCCAGGAGCTAGGGCCTAGAATTGGGGCCTCAGTACTCTGCTCATTGCCCTATCTGACTATGGCTGAGCTGGTGTCTGATTTTCAAGAAAAAGTCCTCTTTACTCTTCCCTCTCCTGTCTTTAAGTGGAGAGAAGGTATATTAGGCCATTCTAGCATTGCTATAAAGAATACCTGAGACTGGGTAATTTATAAGAAAAGAGGTTTAATTGGCTCATGGTTCTGCAGGCTGTACAAGAGGCATAACACTGGCATCTGTTTCTGGGAAGGCTCCAAAAGCTTATAAGTATGCAGAAGGCCAAGGGAGAGCAGGCGCATCACATCGCAAAATCAGGAGCAAGAGATAGAGAGTGGAGGGTGTATTAGTCTGTTCTTATCCTGCTAATAAAGACATACCCAAGACGGGGTAATTTATTTAAAAAAAAAAAAAAAAGAGGTTTAATAGACTCACAGTTCCACATGTCTGGGGAAGCCACGCAATCATGACAGAAGGTGAAGGAAGACCAAAGGCATGTCTTACATGGCAGCAGGCAAGAGAGCTTTCACAAGGGAACTCCCATTTATAAAATCATCAGAACTCCTGAGACTTATTTACTATCATGAGAACAGTATGGAGAAAACCACCCTCATGACTCAATTATCTCCACCTGGCCCTCGCCTTGATACATGATGATTATTACAATTCAAGGTGAAATTGGGTGGGGACACAGAGCCAAACCATATCTGAGGGGGAGCTGCCACACACTTTTAAATGACAAGATCTTGCAAAAACTCACTCACTATCGTGAAGACAGCACTAAGCCATGAGGGATCTGCCCCCATGACCCAAATACCACCCACCAGGCCCCACCTCCATCACTGGGGATGACAATTCAACATGAGACATGGGTGGGGACAAATATTCAATCTCTGTCATTCTGCCTTTTTTCTCTCTCAAATCTCACGTCCTTCTCACATTGCAAAATACAATCATGCCTTTCCAACAGTCTCCCAAAGTCTTAACTCTTTCCAGCATTAACTCAAAAGTCCAAAGTCTAATGCCTCATTTAAGACAAAGCACATCTCTTCCACCTTACTAGCCTGTAAAATTAAAAATATATATATTTACTCTTAAGATACAACAAGAGTATAGGCATGGGGTAAACATTCTTCTTCCAAAAGGGAGAAATTGGGCAAAAGAAAGGTGCTACAGGCGCCATGCAACTTTGAAGCCCATCAGGAGAGTCATTAAATCTTTTTGTTTGTTTGTTTGTTTGTTTGTTTTTGAGACAGAGTCTTGCTCTGTCACCCAGACTGGAGTGCAGTGGTGCGATCTCAGCTCACTGAAACCTCTGCCTCCTGGGTTCAAGTGATTCTCCTGCCTCAGCCTCCTGAATAGCTGGGATTACAGGCACGTGCCATCATGCCTGGTTAATTTCCATATTTTTAGTAGAGATGGGATTTCGCCATGTTGGCCAGGCTGTTCTCGAACTCCTGACCTCAGGTGATCTTCCTGTCTTGGCCGCCCAAAGTGCTGAAATGATAGGCATGAGCCACTGCACCCAGCCAAAGTCATTAAATCTTAAATCTCCAATAGTTCTTGACTCCATGTTCCACATTCAGGGCACACACTGGTGCAAAGGGGGACTACCAAGGTCTTGGGAGTTCTTCGTCTGTGGCTTTCCAGAGTTCAGCCCCCAGGGTTGCTTTCACATGTTGTTGGGTGTTTTGGCTTGTCCAGGCACAGGGTGCAAGCTGTCAGTGACAATATCGATCTGGGGTCTGGAGGGCAGTTGTCCCCTTTCCAAAACTCCACTAGGCAATGCCCCAGTGGGATTCTGTATGGGGCCTCCAACCTCTAATTTCCTCTCTGCATTTCCCTAATAGAGATTCTCTGTAAGGTTTCCACCCTTGCAGCAGGCTTCTGCCTGATCACCAAAGATTTTCCATAATTCTCTGAAATCTAGATGAAGGCTGCCAAGCTTTCTTGATTCTTGCATTATGTACACCTGTAGGCTTAACACCACATGGAAGCCACCAAGGCTATAGCTTGCATTCTCCAAAGTGGCAACTCAAGCTGTATCTGGGCCCCTTTGAGCCACAGCTGGAGCTGGAGCAGCTGGGATGCAGGCCGATGTGTTCTGAGGCTGGGCAGAGCAGCAGGACCCTGGGCCTGGCACACAAAACTATTCACTCCTCCTAGGCTTCAGGGCTGGTGATGGGAGGTACTGCCTGGAAGATTTCTGAATTGTCTTCAGGCAATTTTCCCAAAGTCTTTGCTATTAGCACTTGGCTCTTTTATAACTATGTTAATATCTCTAACAAGTGGTAGCTCCACAGCCTGCTTGAATTCTTCTCCCACAACATTTTCTTTATTTGCCACATGGTTAGGCTGCAAATTTTCCAAACTTTTACACTCTGCTTCCTGTTTAAATATACATTCCAGCTTTCAGTGTTTTCTTTGCTCTCACATCTGAGTGTAGGCTGTTAGAAGCAGCCAGGCCACATCTTCAACACTTTGCTGCTTATAAATTTCTTCCACCAGATACACTAGGTCATCACTCGCAAGTTCAAACTTCCACAGATTCCTAGGGCAGAGGCAAAATGCACCCAAGTTCTTTGCTAAGGCATAACATGTGTGACCTTTGCCCCAGTTCCCAATAAGTTTCTCATTTCCATCTAAGACCTCAACAGCCTGGACTTCACTTTCCATATCACTATCAGCATTTTGGTCACAACCATTTAACCAGTCTCTCAGAAATTCCAAACTTTCCATCATATTCCTGTCTTCTTCTGAGCCCTCTAAACTCTTCCAACTTTTGCCCATTACCCAGTTCCAAAGCTGCTTACACATTTTCAGTTATTTTTATAACAATACCCAACTTCTTGTATCAATTTTCTGAATTAGGCCATTCTTGCATTGCTGTAAAGAAATACCTGAGACTAGGTCATTTACAAGAAAAATGGTTTAATAGGCTCATGGTTTTTCAGGCCGTACAGAAGGCATAACACCAGCATCTGCTTCTGGTGTAGTCTCAAAAGCTTACAATCATGGAAGAAAGAAAAGGGGAGGCAGGCACATTACATGGTGAAAACAGGAACAAGAGAGAGAAAGAGAGTGTGTGGGGGAGGGAGGGAAGGTCATTTAAAACATACTTTTAAATGACCAGATCTCACAATAATTCATTCTCTATTCTGAGGACAGCATCAAGCCATAAGGGATCTGCCCCCGTGATACAAACACCCCTCACCAGCATGGGGATTACAATTCAACATGAGATTTGGGTGGGGACAAATATCCAAACTATATCCGAAGGAGTCTCACCTGGAGCTGTGGGCTGTGCTGCCTGAGGTTGGGGATGGGGTGGCATAAGCAATTTCTTGGCCACCCCAGCTGGTATCTCACTAGGTCATGTGTCCCCAAGTCCACTGACTCTGAGTTCAGCACAGCACCAAGACTTGCCCAGGAATTGTAGTCCTTGTGGCCTGGACTGTGTTTCAAGTTTATTTAGGACCCTAAGGCACTTTAGCCCATGGTAGCGAGGCTAGCCAGAACTCAGGTTCTGACTGCTGGGATAAGTGATTCCCCTCTGACTAGGGCTGGTCTAAATGTTCTTCCATGAGTGCTGGCTGAGTCCTGCCTGCTGTTGCTATCCACTGTGTGAGGACAGCAACGACTTCCAACACAAAGTCCCACAGTCACTGCACTCTCCCTAACCCAAATGCACAGACTGTCTCTCCAAGCCATATGGCCACTGCCAGGGGATGGGGGAGGCATGGTATTGGCAATTCAAGAGTGTCTTTTCTACCTCTTTAGTGCCTCTTTCAGTGATATGAAGTTAAAACCAGGTACTGTGGTCACTTAGTTGATTTTTGGTTCTTATGAAGGTGCTATTTTGTGTGGATAGTTGTTCAGTTTGATGTTCTTGTTTGGAGGAACAGTTAACGAAGGCTTCTATTTGGCCATCATGTTCTACCTTCTTCTTAATCATTCTATTGGGTCTGTAGTGATATCTCTATGCATTTTTCTATAAGTAATTATATTTACATTTTTTTCTGTTTTCATTAGTAATTTCTATCTCCTTTTTTCAAGTGTCTGCTTTTAAATTTGCCTGTTTTAAAATCTTACGTTGTTTGTTCTTATATTACTAATACGTATAATATGTTTGTATTTTTTATATAAACCTTTTGACCATTAAATATATTGAGTTAGTCTTCTCCCAGAGTGGCCTGCCTTTGTACTTTCTGAATAGTGTCTTCTCATGAACTGAAATTTTCTATTTTTTGAAGTTTAATTCATATATATTTTTCCTTTTACAGTGACTACTCTTTGCATTTCAAGGATATCTTGCCTATAACAGAATTATGAGTTGTTCCATTCTGTTACTTACTCTACTCCTCCTCATTAGTAGCCCCATCCCTTTTTCTTTGTCATCACTTGAAAATGCTAAATCTCCAAAATCACAAATTAAATATTCCACTATCTGCCTACAGCTTCTTATCCTATCATACCTGTTCTTTGATATTATTGACATCTCCTCTCCACTGGTAAATATTCTTTCTATTTCCTAGGGTCCCTACAGAATTTCTTTACTCATTCTAGAGCAGATATGAGGATGCTACGTGTTAAAAATCCTAGCTTGCAAATAGTTATTATTTTATATTGATACTCTTAGGCTTCCCTTTCATTTACAAAAATAAACAAGAATAAATGCACTGATCTCTTTGGCATGGCAGAAGCTGAATGCTGTCAGAGTAAGTCACACCGGCACAAACTGTTATCATGATAAATACATAGTCACTAAGCTTACCTGCCTTTATATCCCTGCTTTGAGATTATAGTATGGTCCTTTTACTAGCTCAGTCTTTCACCCTCCTCAAATATTGTTTCAAATATTTAAGACTTTTTTCCAGTCCCTAATTCTTCTCTTCTTGCCTCTTAAGCCAAAGGCACATCTTGTTAGGACATGCTGGACCTTGCATCTCTGCAATTAACACAGTTTTTCTACTGTGTGAAGGTGTCACCTTGAGTGAAGATGGTTCTTGCGGACGGGAACCCAGTGTGGGGCTCAACTCTAAAGGGATGTGGCAATGGGTCTGAAAATGGGTTCTCAATGAAGCATCACAGTGTCCACTATGTTTATGAAGTAGATCCACCCTGCCACAGACTTCTAGGTAAGAGTAGGTGATCATGCATCATGATTCTCTACTAGAACCTCTTTAGATTCCATGTACTCAAGTCATACTATTTATTTTCATACTGCATATTTTAATGCTTCTCCCAACTCTTTTGGTAATGCTAATTGCATGTGATAGAATTTTTGTTACTGCTATTTGCAAAGAGTGAGAAATTGTATTATTTCTAATTGCAGAATGTTAGAACTTGTATTATTTTGTTAAAGCAAAATAAGATCTCCAAGACTCACTTTTCCATTGCTATGTCTATTAACCATGGTCCTGGAGGTATTGAGGAGGGATGAAAAGACAATTTACAAAACTGTGGCAAGGTTAAGGAACCCAGTAAGAGAAGAGAAAGGATTATGGGGATAGTATAGTGAGTGCTCTTATTCACATTGGCCTAAAAGAAGTAGGAGAGTGTGTGGATCTCGGGGCTTTTGACATTTTACATTTGGGGTAAGGATGTTTGTAGGGTGCTGTGACCTTTGGTAGAGAAAAGCAATCAATATGAAATAGTCCAGCAAGGAGGCAGCCAGGAGACACACAAACCGGGACAGTTGGTTACCCTCTCTCTCTCTCTCTCTCCTGCCATTGTCTCTCATAAGACAAACTCACTCTGGAGTACACAAAAAGAGATGCAGTTACTATAATCCATTGGCATCAACCTCTGAAGGCAGGATGGATCTGGAGGGATAAACATAACCTGCCCAGAGGATGACTCATAGGGTGGCCTTGTGGGTGCTGAATCCCAAGTGGTTAGGTCTGTGCTGTGAGCTGATAAAGCCCCAGAATTATTTATGGGGAATCTATACTCCTAATAATTTACAGACAACACAGATCCACTTTGGACTTGATCAGATGGACAAAATCTTGGGGACTTGACATCACTGCGCACACAGGGGAGGAGCTGGGATTGTTGTCCAGGAAAGGAAAATATAAGGAGAAACCTTGGTTTGAATTTGGTGTCAGACATATGATGAGAGGACAGCCAGGAAGATCTGGAACATGAAGATTTAATTACAGGCCACTAACTCTCAGCTGACGGGCAGGTCTGTGAGTTCCAGAATGGAGCACTGCAGCAGTAGGTGGGGAGGAGGCTGAGAGGGCGATGAGGCAGTCTGAGTGCTGAGGGCAGTGCAGTCAGAGAAGCAACTGCCTCATCACAGAAGCTTCTGCCCTTACTCAGCCCCCTTGCTCTGCAGGATGAGGAGGGAGTTCCATGGGTAGGGACCACTGGACCTAAGGAAGCCTGAAGGGGAAGGACCACAGGACAGTGACATCACAGGATATCCTTCCTATCAGGAAAAGTGAGGCTCAGAACTCAGCTCTTCCTGGGAGGACCAAGCCCTGAGCACAGGTGCAGTGCTGCCTGCTCCGCTGTGCCATGGGCTCCGGACTCCTCTGCTGGACGCTGCTTTGTTTCCTGGGAGCAGGTGAATCCTGTGGACAGGACAGCACCCCTATTCTCAGCTTGCCCACCCCTGTGTCCCCCACTTCACCATGGGGAGGCACAAGTTCATTCTCCACCTATTTTTTCCTCAGGCCCAGTGGAGGCTGGAATCACCCAAGCTCCAAGACACCTGATCAAAACAAGAGACCAGCAAGTGACACTGAGATGCTCCCCTGCCTCTGGGCATAACTGTGTGTCCTGGTACCTACGAACTCCAAGTCAGCCCCTCTAGTTATTGTTACAATATTGTAATAGGTTACAAAGAGCAAAAGGAAACTTGCCTAATTGATTCTCAGCTCACCACGTCCATAACTATTACTGAGTCAAACACGGAGCTAGGGGACTCAGCCCTGTATCTCTGTGTCAGCAATTTGATGCAGGCCTGCAGAGCCAAGAACATTCTGTGTACAAACATCCCTGCCCCAGTGTGGAGAACTTCAGCCCTAACATATCTGTGAGAACTTGAGGACTGTAGTGGGAAAGAAAAGCAGTTTCAGGAAGCTGGATCCTAAAACCTGGGGTTTTCTGCCAGTTAGGAGTGGGGATAACAAGGCCAAGAGGGTCTGCTCAGGAGGTGGTGAAAACTACCTTCTTCGCCAAACGCTGTACACTATAGGGATAGTGGAAGTGTTTGTAATTTAATAGCTGGTGCCCTCTTTACAGGGCAGCAGATTTAATTTCAGGGTCAAGATTCTTGATAATAGTGTGGAAGGGAAAATCATAGGGTTTGCTTTATATAATTCAGGGAGAAGAAAGTGAGATTTGGGGAAATTCTATGAAAGAGAAAATGATCAAAGATAGTTGAAAACAGAGATAGAGCAGAAGGTAATGAAACATGGTGATCTGTGCACCATGAGCTCCCTTCTCCTCCCACAGTTTTTGATATCCAGAAAATACAAAGAAAGGTCTTATACCAACTGACATCACCTGGGGACTGGTCCTAGTTGGGGATATCACAAATAGCAGCCTGCCTGATGTGAGGGCCTTGGGGTTGGTTCTGACATCTTCTTTCTCGACTTCTGGATCTAGTCTTGCCTGCTCGAGGCACAGTCAAATACTTCCCAAAACACAAAGGAGGTCAGGTCAGTCTTGGTCCTAAAGGGGCAAATGCTGTCCGTTTTCTCCCAAGATAAAATTCTGCATCCCTGGGATTCCTCTCTGAGACTCAGTGCCCAGATTCAATTACCTTCTGTAATTAAACAGTTCTTTGAACATTTTCTAAAACTCATCAGCGTTGGTATCATCTGCATTTCTGCTATTTCCTTGGCCTGGAAACTTTTGTTCTCTCCAGACACATCTAGCCCCTGCTCATCTGTCAAGGATGGTCTCACATCTGCCTTACTCTTTGCTTCTTACCCTGACATTCCCTGGAACTGGACTGTATCAATTTATTTATTTACTTTTTTAAGACAAGAGTCTCACTCTGTTGCCTGGGCTGGAGTGCAGTGGCATGATCTTGGCTCACTGCAACCTCCATCCCCCCGGTTCAAGCTATTCTCATGCCTCAGCCTTGAGAGTAGCTGGAATTACAGGCACATGCCATCATGCATGGCTAATTTGTTTTGTATTATTAGTAGAGACACGGTTTCACCATGATGGCCAAGCTAGTCTCAAGCTCCTGACCTCAAGTGATCCCCACGCCTCAGCCTCCCAAGTGCTGGGATTACAGGCATGAGTCACTGCGCCCAGCCCTGGACTGTATCACTTTCTTTTCTTTATTTTCATAAGAAAAGCCAAGTTTATAATTAATAGTATCTGAAGTTTGTAAAATGAAAAAGTTAATGCATACTTATATAGAATCCTGGAATATCATTAATCACCATCTTCCCTTCAATGGGACTCCTCTTTCTTAAAATGTAATGAAGATTCTTAGAGACAGTGTCAGTTTTTCATATAATTTCTGCAATATTCTAAGCAATTGTGTCTTCATAGTCAGAATTGATAACCAATGCTATAAAGTATCCTAACTCTAAGGCTGGAATTTGCAAATACTCTTTTGGAGCAAATAAAATTGTGTTGTAGTAATATTCATCCAGTCTCATGATCCTGAAAAAACAAATTATTCAGCATAACCACACTTTCCACAGCCACATTTTTAGAGATTTGATGAGACTGGAACATCATCAAAGATGCTTCTCAGAAATCAACCTAAAAAACTGAAATAAAAATTAGTTAAGCTCAGTAATGGAATCTTATCATCCTTTCTGAGTAAAAGATATTGTGTGTGCAGGAACAGAAAACCAAACACCACATGTTCTCATTCATAAGTGGGAGTTGAACAATGAGAACACATGGACATAGGGAGGGGAACATCACACACCGGGGCCTGTCGGGGGGTTGGGGGAAGGGGAGGGAGAGCATTAGGACAAATCCCTAATGCACGCGGGGCTTAAAGCCTAGATGACAGGTTGATGGGTACAGCAAACCACCGAGGCACATGTATACTTATGTAACAAACCTGCACGTTCTGCACATGTATCCCAGAACTTAAAGTAAAATAAAAAAAAAAAAAACCCAAGATATTGTGTGTGTGTGTGTGTGTGTGTGTGTGTGTTTGTGTGTGTGTTTGTGTGTGTTTTCTGTGGAGACTCAGCCGCATGGAAATAGTTTCTCAGGGTGGCATTACTAAGAGGTGTTGGGTCATTGGCAGAGCTCCTAGGTACTTCTGGGTAAAGAAAGGAAATATCAGACCCAATTGAATCTGCCTAAGTTATATACAGCTCATAGGGTCGTTTATTTCAAGATTTTTTAAAATTCAGAAATAAATTTGTAAAATTGAAAAATCCTCTTTATAGAATGTGCTATCTAAAATCTGGGAATAATAAATCTAAATATAGGCCAGACGCGGTGGTTTACACCTGTAATCCCAGCACTTTGGGAGGCCGAGGCGGGTGGATCACGAGATCGAGAGATCGAGACCATCCTGGCCAACATGGTGAAACTCCGTCTCTACTAAAAATACAAAAATTAGCTGGGCATGGTGACAGGCACCTGTAGTCCCAGCTGCTCAGGAGGCTGAGGCAGGAGAATGGCTTGAACCCAGGAGGTGGAGGTTGCAGTGAGCTGAGATTGCGCCACTGCACTCCAGCCTGGGTGACAGAGCAAAACAGCGTCTCAAAAAAAAAAAAAAAAAAAGTCTAAATACAAAGTGTGAAAAGGTGTGGCTCTGATTATTCAAAGGGAGCTCTGGAATGTCGTGTTTCCAGTCTGGATCTGCTTGATATCCTCACACTGTTTCACCCTGTGGCCTGTATAATTCTGGCTCCTCTCTTCCATCTTAGGATACTCATTGCAATGATGTAGCAGCAGTTTATTGTGCAATCAAGATGTGCCCTTTTGTTTTCACTGGCCAAGGGTGAATTTGAAGTTCCACCCTAAGTCAACCCTTCTGGGAAAGCAATAGAGAGTGTGTGTGTGAGAGGGTGTGGGTTGCAGGGGTTGGTGTAGGGGCATCTCTGCTCCTGACTTAGACAATGCTGAGCTCATCAGGTCAGAAGGTGTGAATCCATGAGACTGGAACTTTGGCCACTTGGAGGTGCTGTGGCTCCACAAAGCTGTGGGGAACCCTGGGGAGGGGTGGAGGGTGACCCAGGAGAGGACGGCTGAAGGGAATGCTTGGCTGCGTGCTGGCATCAGGAGGCGGTTGGAATTCAGAGTAGGTCCTGGGACTGCCCAGGGCAAGGTAGGCACACCAGGGACCTCAGTTTGCATCAAGGAGAGAATGTCTTTGCCTCTGCATGGGCAGTGGAGGGTGAAGAGGCTGGGGCAGCAAGGGCTGGGAGTCAGTGCCAGGAAAGTGACAGGGGTTGTCAGAGAAAAATAAGGTGGGATATGGGCATGTGGAGACTGTGTTCCACCTGCCCCACTTTTAATTTCAGGGTTGTGTAGGACAGGAATGGTGCAGGAAGCAGCAGAGCCTGGGGTCTGACAATGGGTAGAGCAGGCAGGGGTGGCCTGCAGGGAGAGTTACTGGGAAAGGCCGGTTTCCCAAGGAAATGCCTGAAACATTCCTGCCCCACTCAGGAAATGACCATGAGGTGGGTGCTGCCAGACAGAGGGGTTCAGGCCCTGCAGAGCTGACAGGCCTTTCCCAGGCACTCCCTGCTGCTTCTACATGTGATCTGCTTTAATGCCCACTGATATCAGGCAGGGTAAATATGATTTTACCTGTTTATACATATGGGGGAAGCAGCTGTCCCTGTTCTCATGTTTAGTAACTGGCTATAGTCAGTTCCTCCAACACCTCTGCACGCCGCCCTGCTCTGTACATGTGTCCTCTCCTCTGGCTTCCTCATTTCAGATCCCCGTTAGCAGGAGGGAAAGATCATGTCTCATATGTGGTCATTAAAACCTCTTCCCCGACAAGCCCAAGGAACTTCCAGGTCAAGCATCTACATTCATCCTTCACTGTAGGAAAGAAAAAGAAATAAAATTTTCTGCACTGTGGACTTTCTGTAACTGATGTAATATACCTTGAGGAAAATGAGCATAAATAGTTGCTATTCATTAATTAATTAATCTTATTCTTTTACTCAATAAACTTTTTGAGGATCCTTCTTTGTATAAGGTATTCTGTGACATAAAATTGAAAAGAAAAAATATTAAGTGGAAAAAATGTTTCTTGCTTTTTACAGTGTTAAGGTTTGCATTTATTTTTTAAATTGTTTTCTTTATTAAAAATAGTTTACTGATTTCTAAATTATACAAATTTACTTTTTTCTCTTTTTTTTGGCTAACTAGTCCCATTTTAGACAGCCATTTAATTTAACTGTGGTAGGAATATGTAATATGAAATATATCTTTTTAACAGATTTTTGTATGTACAATACGGTATTGTAATCTACGGGCAAAAGGTTGTACGGCAATCTCTAGATCTTATTCATCCTCCTTAACTGAAATTGTATACCATTGACAGCAACTCTCCATTTACTCCAATCCCCAGCCCTTGGAAATTACCTTCACCTTTGCTTCCGATACTTCGATTATTTACGTTCCATCATATAAGCAGAATCATGTGGTATTTGCCTTTCTGTGCCTGGCTTATTCACTTAGTGTAATGTCCTGTGGGTTTATCCACATTGTCATATATGGCTGGATTTTCCTCTTTTTAAATGTTTAAAATACTTCTTTGTATGCATCTAACATGTTTAAGTTCTGAAGTATAAAATGTGTCATATCTGACTGTTTCTATGAAACAGTCTGTCACATGACTGGCAGTCATTTGCAGAACTGCAAGCACTGAGTACACTGATGCACATTCACAGTTCAATTCTGCTTCATGGAGAAGACTTAGAGAAAATATTAATCTAATCATTCATTATCATTTTATGATGCACAAAATAGAAAGCCTTCATTAGGAAAATTTCAATTAATTAGAAATTCAACTATACGAAAACATCTTAACGTGTAAACGCTATTCTCATTTTACAGGTAGAGGAATTGGCCCATAGTTTAAATTACTTGACCAAATTAAGTAGGAATTAGGATGCAGTACTGGGGTTCTAACCCTGGTCTATCAAAGCCCTGTTTTTTATAGCTATATACTATAATCTATTTCATAACAAATGATGCTTATCTTCACAAAAATTCAAATGTTATCTCCTAGGTCCCTTTCAGACCTGCTGGCTCTAATAACATCATAGACAGAAATCAGTTTACCCTGGAGGGGGGTGGTGGGAAACAACTATGAATGGGTGCCATGACATCAAGCCTGACTCCCATTCTAGCACCAGCTCCTCAAGACGTGAGGCCAGTTCTTGACAGATTTGGCTTAGTTTGTTTTCTGTTTTTTTGTTTTTGTTTTTGTTGTTGTTTTTGTTTGTTTGTTTTAATCTATGAAATGAGACTGCTACTGTCCATCCGCAGGGCTGTGTACAAAATTAAATAGCATAAAGTATCTAGCATGTAGCAGAAATCTAGATATTAGGTTGGTGCAAAACTAATTGAGGTTTTTGCCGTTACTTTTAGTTACTTTTAATGGTAAGAACTGCAATACTTTTGTACCAACATAATATTTTAATTTCCTTTGATAATCTCAGATAGCCTCTTTCACCATGCCAATGTGCAAAGGCAGATGCGGACATATGATACCTAGAAATCTTAGGTTGAGGATTCAGAAGTCACAGAAATGGAAATGTACATTTCCTCTGATGATTTATTTGATGAAATTAACTAATTAACTAAAGAATGCAGTATGGATCCCTCTTGAGGTATTTAAAAAATCAATGTTGTTGACATATAAATTATACAATGTAAACATTATACATCTTAAATGAACAGATCAGTGATTTTTGAGCAATATATATGTATATGCCCTTATAATCCCCACCCCTCTTAAAATGTAAAATATCCCCACCCCTATTAAAATGTAGACTATCTCCAGAAAGTTCCCTCGAACACCTCTGCAATGCCTATCTTGGTCCCAGAAAACCAATGATGTAACTTCTATCACTGGAGAGTAGTTTTGTTCACAAATATTTTTAATGTCAATTTAAAACCCATACTGATTAATCCTCTTGAATACATAGCTAAATAATCAAGGCAAGGAAGAGTTTCTGGGAGGTTTTATGGTTTTAGAAGGGATTGAAACCATGAGAGCTACCTTGATCCATGGTAGGAACGATTCTATCTGGAGATGGATGTTGTGCCGAAATAACCTCAAAAGGTCTTTTCAGCTGGTAGAAGCTGATTCGACAACATTTATTTATTCATTTTCATTCATTTCTTTTCTTCTCCATTCATTAACTCAAATTGTTTAGTAATGATATCCTGATAACAGTTAATTATCTCCAAGGAAATTATTTTGAGTTCCCATAGGACACACATGCAGCTGGTTTTGTGTTCACACACTGAGAACGCTGGCGTCAAGCAAACCATGGTAACAGAGACTTCATTGAAAGACGATGTTACATTGGGAGAAGCATTCTTTTTGCCTTAACCCCAAGTGTTTAACTCATAAATCCTGAGCCTTCAGCTAGAATTCATCTTCCTGTTCTGGCCCTGTCCTGGGCACCAGGATCCTGAGCTGTGTGTTCCTGTCTCTTGAACCACAGGAGTCCTGGGCACGCACATGAAACCCACTAATGGGCTTGTTGGATCCCAGCTGTGACTTTCAGCACCAGGTGGCCCTTAGCTGTGACTTTAATTTCTGTGTCCTTCACTGCTAAGTGAAGCCCCATAGACGCTGAATGACCAGATCTTGGTGATGCATTGTGCTGAAAGGAAACCAGCACAGGGGGAGGTGAGCAGAATATGAAACAAAATCATGTATTTACAACCAGCGACATGACTTACTGGCAGATCCTTTGTTCAAACACTATTAAGAATTTAAAAATCATGACAGCAGAGTGATAAAGCAAGCGTGGGATCCTTCTGAATGCAGGGCTCTGTACACCGAAGATACAGTTTTTGAGCTCCTTTTCATTTATTACTAAATTAATGGCAGGAATCCTGAACGAAGGGATATTCCCTATGAGACATGACACCTCAAATAAAACGAGAGCATTTTTCCTTATCTTGAAGTCTGCTCCCTCTCGCCAAGTCCCTCACTCATCAGGACACCTTTGTGCTCACAAGTCTTCAGCAGCGCTGGGTGGCCACCATTGTCCACACAGAGAGGGCAGTCAGCAGCATGAGGTGGTTCTGCCTGCTGTGGTCTCACCCCAGGAACAGAAAGCAAGACTCCTGGATGGAGCTGAAGGTGCTCAGCTGGACTTGTCAGGAGTCCCATCTGTCAGTGAATTGACAAGAAACAGAGCAAAACTACTCCTGCAATGTTGATGAGCCTGCCCCTGGGATTTGGAAACCTGATAACAGAGAAAACCAATATAGACACAGGACTTTAACAGGATTATGGTCAATTAAGCAGATTGGAAAAGGATACTTGAAGGAGTGTTTGGGACACAGGAATCAAAAACACCAGGGAGACAAGAGGATTTTTCCTAAGATTCTAGACTACAGCAATACATAGATAACTAACACCAGAATATTAATGAGGAATTATATCATTGCAGGAATAAAATTTATGTTGAATTACAAACTGTTTGCACAAAAGTCAAGAAAAACTTGAAAGCCTTATATCAAGAAGCATTCTTCCCATCCAAACTTCAGTGGTGCATTTATTTTGGATTTGACCCTCTGGGGAAGGGGCATGGCCTCTCTCGACAAGAAGGTTCTGGGGACCAGGCAGAGAGAATGAGGTCTCAGGATGACTTCCTTGACAGCCCTGTTCCCCTTTCATCAACACACAGACCCAGAAGACCTCTCTGTCTTGTAGCATCTGCCATGAGAATCAGGCTCCTGTGCTGTGTGGCCTTTTCTCTCCTGTGGGCAGGTAAGTCCTGGGCAGGGCCCATGTGTAGATTTCAAGACCCAGAGCCTTCCCATTGAGGCTGCAGCATTGGCTTTGTTCTCCTTCTCTGTAGGTCCAGTGATTGCTGGGATCACCCAGGCACCAACATCTCAGATCCTGGCAGCAGGACGGCGCATGACACTGAGATGTACCCAGGATATGAGACATAATGCCATGTACTGGTATAGACAAGATCTAGGACTGGGGCTAAGGCTCATCCATTATTCAAATACTGCAGGTACCACTGGCAAAGGAGAAGTCCCTGATGGTTATAGTGTCTCCAGAGCAAACACAGATGATTTCCCCCTCACGTTGGCGTCTGCTGTACCCTCTCAGACATCTGTGTACTTCTGTGCCAGCAGTGACTCCACAGTGCTGCACAGCCATCTCCTCTCTGTACATAAATGCAGGGGAGGCTCTGCCCTCCTCCCCGACCCCAGACTCAACCATGTCCTTGGCAGAGTTCTCAGCACTGGGAATCTTGGAAGCCCAATGGGTGCCGGGCAGTGTGAGCCTCAGTCTGTGCCAGGTGCCTCTGCAGGCAGTCCCAGCCAGGCCTGGACTGGTCCCAGAGCCTCAGAGGTCTCTTTTGTTGCTCTCTGGTCTTTCTTCCAAGCTATCTTTTTGGGATGGGACCAGGGCTTTCCCAGCTCTTACTTTTCTACTCATCATCCTGAGTCTGAGGTCCACAGGATGGAACAGGATTTGTATTTCAAATCTGTCTAGACTCCTGTTTCTCTCTGGGGGCCACGTTGCTTCCTCTCTCCAGGGTTTCCTCCAGTACCCACTCTCATGTGGTCTCACCTGTGGCCCGCCTTTCCCATCTGAGCAGTCACCCCCGAAGGCCTTGCTGGGCCTCTGCACACCACCTCCCCTCGCCTTTCTACTGCAGCCATGAGGCTGCCTCTTCTGTGCCTCCTTCCTTTCCAACACAGAGACCTCAAAGGCCATTTCCTCCGCCCTGGGCTAGTGCCTTCCTTTCTGCAGTGGTCAGCTTCTACCTGCACTTCTGATCTCAGCATGATCAGCCTCTCCTGCTGGAAGCACTCCCTCAACTCTCAGCTGAGGTCAAATTTCAGTTTCCCTCTCATAAGCTCACAGAATCATGTGCCTCTTAGTAAAGTTCAGCACCGTTGCAATTTTTCCAACACTTGTTTTATTCCTTTTGTGCTCCACTTAATTTTAAACTCATGAAGCTGAAGGCTGAGCTTGTTACATTCACCACCAGCAGTGCCTGGCAGGCAGGGAGTCCTCATTCATTTCACAGAGAATGGATGAGTGAGTGACAGGTGAGTGAGTGATGAGTGGGTGAATGAACCAGTAACAGGAACACACTAGATTCATTGTACCCTGGCAGAGGTCTAGAGTTAACTTTGCCTGAGATGCTCTGTTATGAGCTCATCAAGGAGCACTCACTTGTTGAACAAGCATAGGACCATGCATGGTGCAAGCCAGTTTGTCAGTCTGGGAATTTCCAATTTAAAATATGATGTGTTCTTCAAGCTGAATGAGGGTAAACTCTCTGTATATAATTATAATATCTAAGCCATTTCTTAAAGTTTTGGGTTAGGAACAAAAAACCCCTGAAGAGGGCACATTTGTAGATTTAGGATTTTTAAAATATATTTATATTATTTTCCCTTGGAAGAACAGGATGGGAACAGCCTTATAGTTGCTAATTTGTGGAGAAGGCATCATATAAAAGTAAGAGAAAATCAGAATTGTGTTCTAGAGGGTAAATTGTGGCTGTCCTGAGAGCATGTTCCCCAGGAACCTAAACCGTGAGCATGTTCAGGAACCCAGAGTGCAACAGACAATTCTTGGCCCCATGAATTTGGTGGTAAGACTGGAGACAGTTGGAAAAACCATGGAGTCTTGAAGTTCTTCACTCTCAATGCAGGCCTCTCTTGAACACCACAGACTAATGTCAGATAAATATGCTTCCACTATTAAGACTATTAAAACAAGAACCAATGAAGAGAAGTGAGCAGAAACAATAAGCAATTGAAGTGTTTGAAGACAAGAAATTTTTACCATTAAAAGGTATGAAAGTTTGTAGAACTATGTTTAAAGGAAATTGAAATGTGAACAAGAAAAAAAGACTGACAGAAACCATCAAGATAACATTAAAAAATAATCAAATTCAATACAGAAATGATTAAGATTATCACTGAAAACAAAATGGAAATGAAGAAAGATGAAATGCTTCTAAGAGATTATTAGTGATGTCAAGGACAGAGCTGAAGAAGTTACATAGAATGCAGCACCGAAAATTAAATATGTAACTTTAGAAAGAGCTTAAGGGTGGTTTCCAGCATAGTAGAATATATAATTTTTAATTATATATATTTATTTATATAAAGTTATTTATATTTATATATTTAATTATATATTTATTATATAAAAATATATAATATAATAATATAGAATATAGAATATATATTCTATAATATAGAATATAGAATATATATTATATAATATAGAATATAGAATATATATTATATAATATAGAATATAGAATATATTATATAGAATATATAAATATATATATTTCCCATTTTTCTTATAGATAATTGAAGTTTCAGAAAAAGAAAGTAGAGGGAATAAGTGATTGTGATGAGACATTAGCTGAGAATTTTCCAGAGGTGTTTCAGGACCTAAATTCTCAATTTCAAGAATTCAAATGAATATGAAATAAGATAAATGTTTATATTATAATGAGATTGTGGAACATAAGTGACAAATAGATGATTCTAAAAGCTGTCAAAAAGAAAAGATAAATCTCTCCTAGTGGAATAGACTGAAAAAATCAATGAAAGAAAGAGGATCAGAAATAACCATTTAGTCGGAATTATAATCCCCATTCATTAAACACTGAGATGGAGGAAAATATATTTACAAGTGGAAAAATTAAAAAAAAAGACTATGAGTTTTCCAATAAGGTATCTTTTCTGAATTATAGTCAACAAAGGTGGGAAGTGGTCCCAGAAGAAAGGCATGAGGTGCAGCTTGTGAGGGAACCCATGTGTTGGGACAGCCCCGTTGGGCACGTGTGACTGGGGGATGGAGGAGGCTGGGGCATCAATGGGGATGGCATAGGGGACCCTGACTTGCAGAAAAGACAATGAGCTCATCCCTTGGTGCCTTGTGTTGGGGGCGCTGTTGGCACATCCTAGAGAACATGCCCAGCAGACAGAGGAGCGCCTGTGTGGTGAGGAGATAAACTCAGAAATGCAGCATGAGGCCTGTAGCTCCAGACAGCTCTAGAGCACAAAGTGAAGACCGATGCATTGATGTTGTTTAAAAGGAGCTAATAAATATCTAAAGCAGTCATCCAAGTGTGTTCTAATATAAATCCTGTGTTCCTGAGGTTGTGGGGATTGAGAGAGGAAGTGATGTCACTGTGGGTACTGTTCTGTGTCAGGACAAGGACGTCCCTCCTCCTCTGCTCCTGCTCACAGTGACCCTGATCTGGTAAAGCTCCCATCCTGCCCTGACTCTGTCATGGGCACCAGGCTCCTCTGCTGGGCAGCCCTGTGCCTCCTGGGGGCAGGTGAGTCCTCAGACACCAACCAGTCTCATTCTGTGTGTCTGTATGTGTGTGTGTGTGTGTGATGAGTACAACTGTTTTCCTCATCCTGTTCTCAACTTGTGTCTCCGCAGATCACACAGGTGCTGGAGTCTCCCAGACCCCCAGTAACAAGGTCACAGAGAAGGGAAAATATGTAGAGCTCAGGTGTGATCCAATTTCAGGTCATACTGCCCTTTACTGGTACCGACAAAGCCTGGGGCAGGGCCCAGAGTTTCTAATTTACTTCCAAGGCACGGGTGCGGCAGATGACTCAGGGCTGCCCAACGATCGGTTCTTTGCAGTCAGGCCTGAGGGATCCGTCTCTACTCTGAAGATCCAGCGCACAGAGCGGGGGGACTCAGCCGTGTATCTCTGTGCCAGCAGCTTAACCACAGCATGACACAATCGCCTCCTTCCTGCTCATAAACCTCCTCCTCTCTCTCCTTGCTTCCTTATGATACTATTTTGCACCAGGGGATCCTCATCTCACACCACTCCACTGCCTCTTCCAGAATCATTGCTTGCATGTCCGCTGCTCAGATCAGCAGATGTGCGTTGTATATGTTAATCATTTTCTGTGGAAGGCTCGTTGCTGGTCTTCATTATCCATCCTTATTTTCCACATTGGATACTGCTCCCTTCAAGATTACTTGTTGCCTACAAGGGATCCTACTTTTTACATTCAAATTTTACTTTTTATTAATACGTATTTGATGCCATCTTGAAGGCAATCTCATTATCATCCTAATCTTTTGCTAATCTTTATGTTTACGGTAACATTGATTGTTATTTTGGGGGACACGTATTTCATCTTTGGTAATGAAATGAAATAACTATGCACTTCAATTCCTGTATGTTCTGCCTACTTAAGAGTAAATCCAATTTTCTTCCATTCCTCCCATTCTATCCCACTCCCTTTATATGATAGTTTTAAGGGAGAAAATATTAATTAGACTCTAACTGCAGCTATGTGATAAGAGTTATTTAGAATGAGGGTGGGATATTAAGCTTTGAGTAAAGCAATAGTCAGGGTTAGAACTAGTGTTGGAATCAGGGTTTAGGGAAGTTGCTCATAAAACCTGCAGGATGACACTTCTAGAATAGTCTCTCACTCACTCTGCAGACACTTCCCAGCATCCCTTGGGCCATTGCAAAAGCAATGATGAAACTTCACGTGTTGGCCACAAGATGGCACTGTGGTCCACTGGGATCTAAGGGACTCTGGGGAGAGCCTGGGAGAGCAGCCTAGGAAGGGAAGGGTTAAGAAAAATTAGGGCTGGCATCCAATATTATGCAGATGTTGCAGCAGTTTTCAGTCATTGCTAGGCTACCTACAGCTATGCAAGATGCAGGAAATACCTCTAATCTTTAATGAGATCCACAGTTGAAGAATTTTGGCCTGGCAGCCTTGGTGTCAAGCGCAGGTGCAAGCAGAGGAGCAACTGCCTCAAAGGAACGTGGGAAAGCTAGGGGCGGGCTGTGCCCTAAGCTCAGTATGTCTCTGCTGCACCCCATCTTCCCTGCAGACCTCGCCGGGCAACAGCCTTCATGAGAGGAGGTGGATCCTGCCTGAGACCAGTCAGAAGGCCCTGGACCAGCTGGACTCCGTAGGCATGGGGGGTGACACCACAGGCCCACCAGACTATTCCCTAGGGAGCAGCCTCCAAGCCCCAGCTCACAGTCCTGAGGATCACTGCACTTAGTTGGGCCAGCCCCTCCTCACTCTGACCCTACCATGAACCCCAAACTCTTCTGTGTGACCCTTTGTCTCCTGGGAGCAGATAAGTTCTGGAAACAGCTGCAAAACCCTGTCATGGGTTTGCAATGTCTGGGCTACAAGCCTTTTTTGTCCTTTCCTCTGCAGAGTCCCCTTATTTCTTAAGTCTTGTCTTCACTTTCTGTCTGCCTCTCCAGCAGGCTCTATTGATGCTGGGATCACCCAGATGCCAAGATATCACATTGTACAGAAGAAAGAGATGATCCTGGAATGTGCTCAGGTTAGGAACAGTGTTCTGATATCGACAGGACCCAAGACGGGGGCTGAAGCTTATCCACTATTCAGGCAGTGGTCACAGCAGGACCAAAGTTGATGTCACAGAGGGGTACTGTGTTTCTTGAAACAAGCTTGAGCATTTCCCCAATCCTGGCATCCACCAGCACCAGCCAGACCTATCTGTACCACTGTGGCAGCACATCCGCAGCCCTGCACAGCCAGCTGCCCTCTGCACAAAAAGGGCAGTCACAGGCTGGAGGTGGGCACTCCTTATGGAAGCCCGTGTCTCAACCAGAAGAAAAAGCTGCCCTTTCTGAAGCTCTTCCCAGACTTCCCAGCAATGAGATCTCATTCTATGTGTGCTCCTGCAGCATAAAACTTAGAGTGAGCTGGGTCTGTCACTGTAGTGCGGATGTGTAAATGCAAACAACGTAATGTTATTTTGCTCAATTTGGAATATTCTGGTAATTGTGCAAAGGAATGGTAGCT